>NC_000002.12:238196638-238550148 GCF_000001405.40 Homo sapiens
CAAAAGCTTTAATTAAAAATTTATAAACTTAAGGGAATGAAATTTCTCCCGGGGTCTTTGCGTCAGAAGTACCTAAAATACACAAGAAATTCCTGAGTTAACAAAAAATAACTATTTTGCTTTATATCCCTAATACAAATGGGAAAATGTATTCTAATCCTTCAGGATGACCCTAAACAAATTAAGGAATTGCAAATACTTTCACTTTTCTTACAAGTGACATAAAGACTCTATTAGAAGTATACAAGAAGCAGAAGAAAGCCATTAAAAAGTATTTAGTATGGCCAGGTGTGGTGGCTCACACCTATAATCCCAGCACTTTGGGAGGTCAAGGTCAGGACTGAGGTCAGCAGTTCAAGATGAGCCTGACCAACATGGTGAAACCCTGTCTCTCCAGAAATACAAAAATTAGCTAGGCATGGTGGCGGGTGCCTGTAGCCCCAGCTACTTGGGAGGCTGAAGCAGGAAAACTGCTTGAACCTGGGAGGCGGAGGTTGCGGTGAGCTGAGATAGCGCCACTGCACTCCAGCCTGGGGGACAAAACCAGACTCTGTCCCCAGCACCCAAAAAAAGTATTTAGGATAACCATTACTCAATGTATTAATCCACTTACAAGAATTCCTAATATCCCGAAGTAGGTCACTTTTGCCCAAACATTGGGTCTAACAATCACAACGCCCGTTCTCCGGACAGACTCAAAAACCACATGAGATGTTCCAGACAATCACGCTGCATTCAGTGGTGTCACAGAGCCAGATGTCTTAGGACAAGGGAGGGGACATTTACAGGTAACAGCCCAACATGAAGAGCAAACAACCCTTCCGCTTGTACCAGGTCATATTTTAACTTTTGAATTAACTTGCCCATCTAAATCAGGTCTTTCCACTGCCACTGTACAAGGGAGGAAGTCTTCTTTTACCCAGGTAATAAATATATTTTCAGTTCTTGTAAGCATTCCTCACAATGCAACTTACAGCTTAGTATTAATACTAGCCTGGCCGCCTCTCCTCTGGCTACAATTCAGTCAGATGGTGCCCCAAACTGAGCCCCATCCCCAGAGAACTGCCTATCACCTTCTTTCTCACTCTGGAATACTATGAGAGGTATTTCAATTAAACACAATGAGACCATCCTACATTTTGCTGGCCACAACTGGGAATGGCTTCTAAAAATGATAATACTGCCTGCCTGTCAGGCACTATTCTAAGAGCTCCACACATCTTCTCATTTAATTCTTATGAGATAGGTACTATTATTATTTACCGATGAAAAAACTGAGGCACTGAGGTCAATTACCTGTTCAAGATCACAGAGCCAGTAAGGAGTGGAGTGGGGATTCAAAGCCATGCAGTCCGTGCTTTTAGTGAGGTACTATGCTGCCTCCATACATGGGCACCCTTCCAGAAACTTCATAAACATCAACTCATTTTACCCTTACAACAATCCTATGATGATAATCCTGAGATTTTATAAAATCTCTGGAAATAATTTTTGCATCATCAAAAGAATCTAACTTAGAAGTCTGTATGTGGATTCTTTAAAAAAAAATCTATAGGTCATAGATACATAAGGAAACTACTGATTAGTCAAAACCTTAGATTTTTTTTTTTTTAAATTGAGACAAGAGTCTCGCTCTGTGAGCCAGGTTGGAGTGCAGTGGTGTGATCACAGCTCACTGCAGCCCCAACCTTCTGGGCTCAAGCAATCCTCCCTCGTCAGATTCCCGAGTAGCTGAAACTACAGGCATACACCACCATGCCCAGCTAATTTTTTAACTTTTTGTAGAGACGGGGTCTCACTATGTTGCCCAGGTTGGTCACGAACTACTGTACTCAAGCAATCTTCCTGCCTCAGCATCCCAAAGTGCTGGGATTACAGATGTGACCCACTGCTCCAGGCCCTTACATTCTATTTTGAATAAACTGAAATTCAAAGCATTGGGGGCTGCAATCATTGGACAAAGTGTGACCCTGACCTAAAAATCTGGAAGAGGCCCCTCCCCTAATCTTAAAAATATTAGAACCCTAATAAGAATACAAGACTAAAAATGTCCATTAATCATAGTTAATCTCATCTAGAACTTTTTTTTTTCCTCAGTTATCTACATTCTGGAGCTAAGTCTACTGGAAGTTATATACTATGCTGAGAAAAATACCCTTGGGTTGATCATATTCAGGTTAAAGGTTGCTGTATCCAATAAAGTTAAAAAAGGATGTTAAAATATTTTGGCTAAATTGTTTTTTATACCTCAATTTTTTCAACTATAAAATAAATCCAGGTGTTTTCCAAACACCACAGAGGTATTATCAGAAAAAAGGGGGGACAGGTTCCGCCACACCCCCCAACCACAGTATGAGTTTAGTGTATCCTTTCCACTTTCCTTAATGCTCATGCACATGGACTCATGCATTTTAATTTGTAGAAGACAGAGTCATACTCTACACAATACTCCACATATAGTGTTCACATAACCCATCAAGGCATGCTCCAGGCCAACACACCCAAGTCTAATTCATCCTCTCCAACAGCCACACATGGGAAGCATCTCCACTCATTCGACCAGATCCTTACTGATGGGTTCAAGCTTTTCCCAGTTCTTCATATGATAAGTGACGCCACAATCAACAATCTGATACATGTATTCCTGCTTAATCTGCTAGACTGCTCGTCAAAGGATATTAGTTTAAATCTGATAGAAGCCAAAATCTGTTCCCCAAAAAGTTGTAATTTTCACTCCCAAAACACTTTATGAGAAAGTCTACTTCGCTACACATTCACCAATGTTACCAACTGTTGCTAATCTGATGGGTGAAAAGGTAAATAGTTCCTCAGCAACTTTCTGTTGATGGGCCATTTGTATTCCTTACCTCTGAACTGGGAGGATACATCCTTTGACCATTTTTCTAGTGGGTTTTATTTTTTCCCATCAATTCTGTGAGCCTTTCTTATACCCTTAGTAATGTATATTGCAATTATTTTCTCGGTTTGTCTTTTGCCTTTATAGTATCATTTGTCCTGCAGAAATTTTAAATTTTTACATAGTCAAATTCACTTTTTTATGACTTTTTTCTTGTTCAACCCTGTAGTTTTACAATCTGTTTTCCTCTAATACCTTAACCTTTATGTTCAAATATTCTTCTTTTTTTTTTTTAATCGTAGAGACAGGGGTCTCACGAAGTTGTGCCAGGCTCTTCTCAAATTCCTGGCCTCAAGCCATCCTCCTGCCTTGTTCCCCCAAAGCGCTGGGATTACAAGTATGCGCCATCGAGCCCAGCCTCCAATTTTTTTAAAGTATTTTTAAGATGGTGTGGCCATCAAATATTTTATTTCCTCCTCAACAACTGACCATCAATTTTTAAAGTACTAGTGTAGCAACCAAATAAGTAAAAGAACCACCCTATAAAAGTGAAATCAAGTTACTGGCGAAGCAATTTTAAACCATGACACCTTCAACTGACATACATGGATTGTCAATATAAGCTGCCAATCTTAAAGACATCAGGTCGGCACTTTTATGGGTATGACATAGGAAAGTTCCATTTCTGCCTGATATGAACAAACACTTTTTTTTAGGTAAAATATATACATCTCTCCTTTAAAAAACTTGATTCATTCAGCAATTAAAACTTTTAAGGGCTTGGATGAAAACTACTAATTTAGCAAAATACCTGAAATATTTAGTGCATTCTATGTATTTTTCTAGATTATAAACATTTAAGAGGTTTAGGGGTGGGAACATTAGATGCAACGTTTAAAACAAAAATAAAAAGATCTAAACAAAATATTAATACATTTGATGTGATATAAGCAGTGTAGTATTCTCCCTTTGGACACTCAGTGCTTTCCCATAATTCATTTAAGACTGCGTTTTTCCACTTTTAAACAACTGTTAATGGCTCAGCCAGGCACAGTGGCTTACCACTGTAATCCCAGCACTCTGGGAGGGCCAAGGTGGGCAGAACACTTGAGCCCCAGGAGTTCGAGAGCAGCCTGGGCAACATGGCAAAGCCTTGTCTCTACAAAACATACAAAAATTAGCTGGCTGTGGTGGTGCGCACCTGTAGTCCCAGCTACCAAGGAGGCTGAGGTGGAAGAATCACCTGTGCCCACGGAGGTCGAGACTGCAGTGAGCTGTGTTTATGTCACTGCACTCCAGCCTGGGCGACACAATGAGGCTGTCTCAAAAATAATAACCCTGGCTAACATCTATAAAACACTATACATTCTACCCCACACTATGTGCAGCACCATACATACTGTACTAATTTGTACAGTAACAGTGGCAAGTGTCACCCCTTTTTACACATGTAGGAATAGCCACAGAAGGCACAGTTAGTAAGCGAAGAGCTGGATTCTAAACCAAGTAGTCTGGTTACACTTTCTGAACAACTTTTCTTGCGCTCTGGGAAAATAACGAGGTCTTTTATTGTTCACTGCATTAGAGATTTGTGGTACCCACATATCATGTGTGAGGGTCATGATGCACAGTTTAGACTCATTATTCCATTCACTTTAGCAATCAATATGATTTATTCAAAGTATGTTTTTTTTTTTTAAATCACAGTATTTTCACAAGTATGTGAAACCAGATTCTGTTCTTGTACAAACGATTTTAACCTGTCAAATCTCATCTTGTTGGTTGTAGCTAACAGCCTGCAATGATAACTATGGATCCCAATTGTCACTCATTTTAGTACTTATCCCTCTCAGCTTCCAATCATCTACAAATTCTGAGATCTTCTTCGTTTTAAAGCTATTTTTAAAAATACACTCAGCCAAGCAGGACCTGTTGACAATGTCAGTGCCCTCCTGGCAGATGGGGAGCAGCTGACCAATCCAATCTCAGGGTGGTCAGCAGTTTAAACACCATGCACCCCCTCTGCCACCCTTTCAGCTCAGTCAAGGTTGGAAACTGAGTTTGGAAAAAACGGCAACAGGATGTACCTTTCCCACTGTATCTGGCAAAAGGCTGCTAAGGTGCCAACCTATGAGATTCTGAGTTGCCAGGTTTTTTGTCAGTCAAGGGAGCCTGCTCCTGAGCAGAACCTAATTAATTGCAGGTAAAAAGCAATGGAGATTTTAAGACTCATAGGTTTACACGCACACTGGTGAATCCAAATGCTGTCCCAAATATATTCAGATAGAAATTATACTCCATTGACAAGAGAAAAAAGACTGCTACACAAATCCAATTTTTACCCACAGCTAAAACCGTGGTTATTTTGAAAATGAATGGCTGAGTCAAGTTCAAAGACTCCAGGACCAGTTACTGAGATGCTCTGTACCATCAGAACGGTCAGTGGGGGCAGGGCACGGTGGCTCACACCTGTAATCCCAGCAATTTGGGAGGCCGAGGCGGGCGGATCACCTGAGGTCAGGAGTTCAAGACCACCCTACCCAACATGGTGAAACCCCGTCTCTACTAAAAATATAAAAATTAGCCGGGTGTGGTGGTCGGCGCCTGTAATCTCAGCTAGTAGGGAGGCCTAGGCAGGAGAATTGTTTGAACCCGGAGGTTGCAGTGAGCTCAGATCTCACCATTGCACTCCAGCCTGGGCGACAAGAGTGAGACTCCGTCTCAAAAAGTAAAATAAAATAAAATGTTTTCTCGCCCAGAATTACTGCAAATCACAAGCCTGAACATCCTTGGAAGCTCAATTCAAACACTGCCTCCTTCCCCAGTCTCTCGGTGCCCGACAATCCCTCCTCAAGAGTCCTCAGCATTTCCCACAGTCATTAACTTTTGCCAGTTTTAATTACCGTAATTAGTACCCTTCAGAAAGCAGCTCTTAGAAAGCGAAGGCTGGGCCTTACTCACCTCCGTCTACCCTACAACAGCAGCTCCCAAACCACTGGTCTCCAGCCCCCGCTGGGTTGGCCTGGGGATTTAGTAACAGATTCGGAAACCCCACTCTCAGGGATTCGGATTTACTGGGGCTGAGGTGGGCCTGGAAATCTGAACGTCTTAAGTTTTCCAGGTTTTCTGCCCCCAAGTTAAATTTTGTAATAAGGCCCTAAACTACAACATCAAGCTGGAAGTCTTGCATATGAAATATTCACGCGTTTTGACAGATGAAACCCGGAGACTGTAACCCACAGGACGCAGGGATTAACACAGGCCCTGTTTCAAGCTGCTAGGATGCTGAGCTCAAACCACAGCCCACAGGGACTCCCACTGGCAGGGGCCAGCGCTTAGGAGATGAGCGGACCCCTTAACTTCAAGGAGAGGGGGAACTTCCCGTGGACCAGAAAAAAAAAAAAAAAACTACTGTTAATTATCACAAAATCACAGGATGACAGAGGAGGCATCCTGTCTTCCAGGCTTCAAAAACACGAAGGATTAAGATGGTGATTAATTCAATCTCCAGTGCAAATAAAAACGCCAAGCCCCTGAACTTGCACCGGCCCGGAACGCGGCCGTTCCACAGCCCGCGGGTGAAGTGCGGCCCGGAAGCCGCGGGCGGGCGACGCGCAAGGCAGCCCAGGCCGCGGGTGGAATCGGGGCGCGGGGGCCCGCGGTGCCGCCGGGCGTTCAGAGCCGGTCCCTCGGGTCGGCCCACGCGGTCGCGCCGGCGCCTTTCACCGCCACGCAGAGGGGCCGTGGCCACGACGGCTCGGCCCTTTCCTTCCTGCGTAGCGAAAATGGCGGAGCGGCCTCTCCGAGCTCCGCGAGCGACCGGGCCTCCGACAGGGCCGCCAGTGGGCCGGACGGGGCCTGGCCAGGCAGGAGCAGGCCCCGTGCAGCCCGCGCCGCCCGCCGCCTCCCAGCGCGGGCGCCGCCTCAGCCGCCCCGGGCCTCAGGCCGCCCCCATCCCGCCTGCTCTCCCTTCCCTGGCCGGCCCGGCGGCAACGCCGCTTACCGGCAGCCGGGCGCGGCGAGCGCTCGGGCTCCGGCAGGTCCCCGAAGAGGTCCATGGCGGAGGCTGGGTGGAGGCGGCAGCAGCGACAGACACTCAGCCCGCGAGCAGCGGCCGGGCTCCACACCCCGGGCGGGCGGCAGCAGCGGGCGGGCGACGGGCAGGGGCGGCCGGCGCCGTCAGTCACCTGCAGGGAGAGTCCCGGACGCCACCAATCGGCGCGCGGCGTGGCCCGGCCGCCCCAGAGGGCTGCGCGCGGGCTGGGCGGGGCGGCTGGGGGCGGGGCGGTGCGCATGCGCGTGGGCCCCTCCCGCGCCCCGACTGCGAGCCGGGCGGACGGCGCCGTCTGGGCCCCGCGGTGTTTCCCGCCTTGGCGAACCCCGGGCCCCTCCTGCTTTTCCTTGGCTGGGGGTGTCCGATTTCTGTCAAGTTTCGTTGAGTTCCTGTCCAAGAAGCCCTGTCCAGAGAGAAACGTCTGAGCTCAAGGGCAGCCCCTGATGCCTGGGAAGGCTTTCTGGAGCTCTTGCCATCTCTTCGGCTCGTCCTTTCACCACGGCGTGCCTGGTTTCTGGCCTGTTTTAGAGACTGAGAAACCGAGGCTTGGATGGAGCGGCCCTGGGCGTCAGGACGGAAACCTCAAAAGATGCCGGAGGGAAAGGAGGCATTCCCTGACTTGTCTGCACCCACTGGTGTCTGTGGGGAGCGGAGAAGAGGGGCTCCTCCTTAATGGTGTCCCCCTCCATGCCTGTAAAGAGAAAGGCGGCCACTGACATCGGGGAGCTGGCCTGGTTCTGCAGCCAGGACTTGGGGTTGGTCTGGCACAAACAGCTAGGCCTGGGTGTTCTCTTTGAATGTGAACAATTTCATAAAACACCAACATCAGGCCGTGATACAGATCAAGAGAAAAAAACAGACCACTGTGTAATCAAGTGTGAACACAGACAAAACAGGAACACTGTCCAAGCCACAAAAGTGACCACATTCCCCTCGTCTTGGCCAATAAGAGTGATTGCTGCTTCTTTACCATTACATGTTTAGCCTTTGTCTCGTCCTCCTGCCGTCTAGATAAGCTTCATCAAGATATCCAATCATGGAATCCTCCTCTTCCTGACATCCAATCCGGAGCAAAGGCCCGTTTCCATAAATGTTTCCCCAAATCAACTAACACAAACCCAAATCTTACACCTCCGTTCCAACATCGTTTACCCAAG
This sequence comes from Homo sapiens, assembly GCF_000001405.40. Lineage (NCBI taxonomy): Eukaryota > Metazoa > Chordata > Mammalia > Primates > Hominidae > Homo > Homo sapiens. Next base: position 238,204,707 of record NC_000002.12, read on the forward strand.
TTCCCCAGGTTATGTGGTCTCCCTCCATGCAAAGAGTTTTCAGCCCAGTTCATTCTGGGGCAGATGTATTTCTGACGCTCTCTGGCTGTAGGACATGGAGGGAGCCCAACAAGGCTTCATGCCTCTCATCTGCGTGGCTTCTCACTAGCAACCGTTTGAGATATTCATGCTGCCTCCTCCATTACAGCAGAAACACTCAAGTAACAATGCTTGTAACCGTTAAAGAAAGAGGAAATAAATACAAAAAGCGGCTCAACATTAAAAGGTTTATTTCAGAGAATAAACCTGAGAGGGGATTCTGGCCAATTTCGATCAGGAGCGCTCTCTCTTACAGACTAAGCATTCTCTCTTACAGACTAAGGATATTTAAGGGTTTTGGAAGTGGGGGAACGTTTATTGCAGGGTTGGAATGTCTCTGGTCGGAGGGGAGGCTATTGGAGGAGAGGTTATTTCAGGGTTAGCATGTTTCTGGTTGAAGAGAGGTTTATCTTAGGGTTGGAATATTTCTGGTTATGCTGACATTAGCCGTTAGGCTGATGTTTTGGGGTAGGATTTAGGTGGTTTTTTAATCAAGGGGAACTTAGAAAGGTGGTGTTTGTCCAAGATGGCAATGCTCCTGCTCTATCAATCCAGTCTCTATAGTTATGAAAAGGACAAGGGGCAGCGCATTTTTTCTGGCTACTTCCTGCTGGGGGAGTGAGCAGAGAGTTCTTTGGTTTCAGATTGATTGTAGGAGTAACGCTGTCTGTAGATGTTTTTGGGTAATTGTCTGTGAGATGGCCATGATCCTGCTGGTTAAAAATCTTTGAAAAAGGTGGCCAGGCGCGGTGGCTCACGCGTGTAATCCCAGCACTTTGGGAGGCCAAGGCGGGTGGGTCACGAGGTCAGGAGATCGAGACCATCCTGGCTAACATGGTGAAACCCCGTCTCTACTAAAAATACAAAAAAAAAAAAAAAATAGCCAGGCATGGTGGCGGGTGCCTGTAGTCCCAGCTACTTGGGAGGCTGAGGCAGGAGAATGGTGTGAACCCAGGAGGCGGAGCTTGCAGTGAGCCGAGATCTCGCCACTGCACTCCAGCCTGGGCGACTGAGCAAGACTCCGTCTCAAAAAAATAAAAAAAACTTAGAAAAAGGTTAATTAAGCAGGGTAAGAACATTATTCCTAGGCATATTTTTAGGAGAGAGCCCAGGAATGGGATGACCCATATTAGGACTTTGTTTTTAAACCAGTAATTTATTTGGTTGTCTTGTTATTCTCTTAGCTTTTTAGCCCTTTCTTTAAGTTTTTTAGCAGCGTCTCTTACTAGGCCCAACTGATTGAGATAGAAGCAACATTTTTTACCGAATGAGAGGCAGAGGTCCCCTCTTTCAGTTGTTATAACATCTAATTCCTGTCTATTTTGGAGGACTACTCCAGCCAAGGAGTCTACTCCAGCCAAGGAGTCTAGTTGGCCTTGGACTCTTATAAGGCTTTGGGCCATATGCTCTAATGAACTCTGCAGTTCTGTTGAAAGAGATTTCAAGTATGTTAAGCAGGTGGCGAATCAGCCTGCTCCCAACCCAAGCCCGGAGGTTATACCTAAGGCAGCCATTAAAGGAATGACGTGGATGGCTCTCCTCTTCCTAACATATTGGATGGATGGAACGGGTAAAGATTGATTAGGAGGAACTAGTCCAATGGAGGGAGAAAGATAAACTAGGGTACAGGTTCTGGTCTGGTTGATGGGGAGACAAAGAAATATGTGTTGAGACCACACAAAAAGAACAAGCCTTTATTGTAAATACAAGCAGAGATATGGACAGAAAATAAGTGAATTAAAGATGAGGTGTTTGTTCTTTCCTGTGGTTCATTACTCCAGGTGGACAAGGAGGAGGCCTGGGAGACACCTACTATACTAGAGGTATAGGAAGAGTTATTTTTTACAGATTTAATGCGGTCGGATGCTGCACTATTGATATTGAGCCAAGGAAAATTGTGGGCACTAGGAGCAGCACAGGTTAGGCTGGAGGCATTGGCTGAGGGAAAGGCTGTCAAACGAGCCAGCTGCAGAAATGCTCCGTTCGCTTCAGGTGATACTTGGTAGTTAGCCTGGTTAGTTTGATGGTCAGAGGGGTGTTTAACAATGATAGTGTGGTTGCATAGGTTAGATGTTAAGGACCCTACAGGGAAATTTCCCTCCGAGGCTGAAAAGCAAAGTGAGGCTCATTATAAGAGGAGGAGTGTGTTTAGTTATGGGCCCTTCAATGGGAGGGCCGTGGGGCTTAAGGCGCTGTAGGGAGTTATCCTAGGTTTGAAATAATTTGTTGGCCTGATCGGCCCTGGAAGTGGGATAATCACCGACTAGAGTGTCAGCTCTTTCAAAAAAGGAAGCTCCTTTTTGGAGTTTATAAATTAGGGTTGTGTTTCCTGTTAAAAGGTCATGAAGGAATGTAGGAAGGGCTGTGTAAGCTAAGGAAGACAGCGATAAACACACCCAGCATTCCAGAGCAAAGGAAGAGTTAGCTTGCCGCAAGAGAGATTGTGTAAGGTTTATAGAGCGTTCTAGTTTGAGAGCAGTGAGGAGTGGTTGTATTGATGAGGTTGATGTGATTAGGGAATTTATATTGAAAGAAACAAGCAAAAAGCGAAAAAAGTTATTTGGGTAGGAGTAAAGTCCTGGAAAGTTCCTTGAAGCCATAGGTCCCATAGAGCAGTAACGAGCTGATCAGGATGTATAATGGGAGCTTCCTAAGGGCACCACTGAAGGTCTGTAACAAGGTTAGTTAGGAAGTGATGAAAGTTTGGGAGAGAAAGAGACATAAGCGGCTTATGTGGATTTCTCCTCCTTTTCCTCAGGGATTTGGGTGAGGCGAAGAGAAGTGGGTCCTGGGAGACACGAGAGAAGGCCGAAGGGGTTTCAGACTTGGTTGTTTGGGTATGTGGTGAAGGGAAGTCTGTTTTCTTGAGAGAAGTACAATGAAACCAGCTGGGGAGTCCCTGGAGTTTCGGTGCTGTGGGTGTGGTAAGGATGATCTGGTAAGGTCCCTTCCACTTAGGTGTGAAGCAGGAATTGAGGGTAGGACTGGGGTATTTTACCAGAACCCAGTCTCCTGGCTGTAGGGAGGGATTAAAGGAGTCGGTGATGGGTTGTGGCAGGTATTTGTCAGCATATTCCTAAATGAAATGGCAGATGGTATGTACAAGAGGGGAAATGAGAGGGATTGGTGGAGGTGGGGCTTGACCCTGAGGTGGAGCAGAGGGGCAAATGGTCTCCCATACATGAGTTCAAAGGTGCTGAGCGTTAGAAGTTTACATTGGAGCACCCGAATTTTTAGAAGGGCTAAAGGCAAAAGTGTAACCCAGTCTTTATGTGTTTGGTGTGAGTACCTGGTGAGGGTGTTTTTGTAGAATGCCATTCATTTCTTCAACCTTTCCTGAAGATTGAGGTCGAGAGGGGAGGTGCAACTTCCAGGTGATTTGTAGGGCTTGTGCAAGTGTTTGAATAATTTGAGAAATGAATTCAGGGCCATTATCAGATTGAAAAGAAAGAGGCACCCCGAACCTGGGGATGATTTCTGTTATTAATTTGGAGAGTAGGAGCTCGTTTGTTGGTTGTGGGAAAGGCCTCGACCCGTACCAAAAAGGTATCAACCAGAACTAAAAGAAATCAAACCCTTTTTACTGGGGGCATGTGGGTAAAACCAATTTGCCAGTCCTGTTCTGGAAGGTGTCCCTTGGATTGATGGGTTAGAAAAGAAGAGGGTCTAGTGTTGAAGTGGGGTGAAGCTTTTTTGCAAACAGAGCATTGATGGGAAATGGCTTTTAACTGTTCCTTTATGTCTGGGGTTATGTATATATGGGAACTTAAGAAATGCTGTAGAGGGGAATGGCTAGTGTGGAAGAGGTTGTGAATGTCCCATAGAAGAAATTGTTTTTTCAGGGTCAAGTAGGACTAATTTGTTTTGTATGAACCAGTATGGGGGTTTAAATTGTCTGCCCCTACTGTGATTGGTTGTTGTGTTTGGTGTTCTGGATAAAAGGAGGGCATATGTTGTGTGAGGGGAAATAAGTATTGGGGAATTGGGTCGTTGGCTGAGGCGTGTTTGGCCCAATAGTCAGCCTCATGGTTCCCTAAAGGAATGTGGCTTTTGTCTGATTGATGTCCTTTGCAATGGATAACCACAACCTTTTCTGGAAGTATAGCTGCCTTTAATAGATGATGGATGAGTTTTCCATTAATGATAGGGGTTCCCTTAGCTATGAGATAGCCCTGCTCACTCAAAATTTGGGCATTGGAATGGATAACGTTACAGGCATATTTAGAATCAGTGTATATATTCACTTGTGTGTTTTCTGCTAGAGTTAGTGCTCTTATTAGGGCAACTAATTCTGCTTGTTGGGAGGATGTGCCCAAAGGCAAGGGGGCAGCCTCTATGGCTTTCTAGGTGGGAGAGAGTGGGTATCATCATGATATCCTTTCAATGATGGCATATCCTGCTTAGAGGGGAGAGTGTTTTGATGTGCTCCCATCTATAAACCAATCTGGGTCTCCTTTTATGTGAGTGCAAGTAAGGCGGTGATACATAGAGAACTTCCAGTTAGATCAGAGCATGAGTGTTGGTCGGGGTCTAAAATTGGTGTTGAAGGTAAAGAGTGGCGGGGTTAGTCAGGGAGCATCTATGAAGAGATATAGAGGGTTGAAGGAGAGTTGAAAGTAGGGCTTGCCTGCGAGAGGATGAGCTGGAGGTGAGCACCTTGTGGCTGAGCATATCTTGTAGACTGTGAGAAGAAAATACCTGAAGAGGTTCATAAAACATGAGATTTTGTGCCTCAGGAATAATTATTGCTGCTGTTGTGACCAAAATGTTTAAGCAAGGGGGCCAGGTTTTATAAATGGGGTCTAGTTGTTTTGAAAATATACCACTGGTTGGAGGGAGTTTGCCATGAGTTGGGCTAATAGACCAAGGGCCTGATTATGAGAACTGTGTAAATACAGATTAAAAGGTCTTAGGGGGTTTGGAAGGCCTAAAGTGGGGGCCTGTAATAACACACGTTTTAGGTGAGAGAAAGCATGATAAAGATCTGGGGTGGGAGTGAGGAGTTGGTCAAGATTTTCTTTTGTGTGTTCATAAAGGGATATAGCAACAATGGCAAAATTTGCTATCCATATTTGGAAATATCCCACTAATCCGAAGAAGGAAAGTAAGTCCCTTTTTGTTTTAGGAAATGGGATTTGTTGAACACCTTGCTTTCGTGCTGACAGAATTTGGAGTTATGATAAGTCCTGGGTATGAAATTTTTGAACTTTTCTTTTGGATACCCAGTACCCACATTCAGCCAAAAAATGTAAAAGCTTGGTGATGTGTTGAATACAGTATTCTAGGGAGGGGGTGCAAAAGAGTAAATCCACATATTGAAGCAAAATGCTGGGTTGTAGAGGTAGTTGGGAGAGGTCTAATTGAAGTGCCTGACCGAAATAGTGAGGGCTGTCCCTAAACCCCTGGGGGAGGACAGTCCAGGCGAGTTGTTGGGAGTAGCCTGTGTCAGGATCAGCCCAAGTGAAAGCAAAAAGGTTTTGAGAGAAGGGATGTACAGGGATAGTAAGAAAGGCATCTTTGAGGTCTAATACAGAGGAGTGGCTAGTGTTGGGAGGAATTCGTGATAGGAGGGTGTAGGGGTTTGGGACAACGGGACAAACAGGAATAATAGCGGAGTTGATTTGTCACAAATCCTGGACCAGTCTATAGGAGCTGTCTGGTTTTTTAACTGGAAGAATAGGAGTATTGTGGGGAGAATGGGTGGGGATTAAAATACTGGCACCCAAAATCAGGATATGATGGGCTTGAGTCCCTGCAATCCATCAGGGTTGAGGGGACAATGTTGGAAACACTATATAGTGCTTAGGATTCTTCAATGAAATTTGGGTTGGAGAATGGTGGGTAGCTATTATGGGGAAGTCAGCGTTCCATATGATGGGGTTTACATGGCTGAGAAATTTGAGATTTAAGTCTGTTTGATGTGGAGTGTCTGAGGAGGGCTTCTGTTCTTGACATAATAATAAATAAGGGTGTCTTTGGTGTAGGGCCGATAAATGAATGATTCCCCCTGTTTGTGTAGAATATCCCTTCCTAATAAGGGAGTGGGACAGTGAGGAATGACCAAAATAGAGTGAGTGAGGATGACTCCCTGAAATGAGCAGTATAGAGGCGGTGTTTTATATGGGGTTTCTTGTATGCCCTTCATACCAACACAGAAATGGATGAACGTTCTAACGGGCCTTGATAGTCAGTTAATACCAATAGGCTAGCCCCAGTATCCAAAAGAAAGGAAATAATCTTACCAGATACAGTCCCAATTACCCTCTGGGTTCTGTGGACTCACTAGACATGGGGGCAAAGAATCCTGGGTACCTTCAGTCCTCTGCTGTCAGCACCAGCAGTGAAGAGATTTCCTCCTGTGGATGGCTGGGGGACTTCATTATGAGCCACACCGAATGGGGAAGGTGTCCCCATTGGGGGCAGTCCATTTTCCAGTGTCCCCAAAGACCACAAGTTGAGCATGGCTTGGTGGAGGGCTGGGGGTTAGGACAAGCCTTTGCCCAGTGTCCAGGGTTGCCACATCGGAAACAGACTCCCAAAAAGGTGGCAGAGTTTCCTTTTGGGTTATCGGGAGGCTTTTGTGTGATTGACTTTTGGACAGCAGAGGTGAGCATCTGGTATTTTAAATGGAGATGCTTGTCTTTTTGAATTTTTGGTTCCTCATCTCTGTTGTTAAAGACACAGAAGGCTGCATTTAGGAGGTCCCACCGAGATGTCTGGGGACCCTCTAGTTTTTGTAATTTTTTTTCTGGATATCTGGGAAATAAATTGGAGGTAGAAAAAGTTTGACCTTCTCTAGATTCTGGGTCCAAATTGGTATATTTTAGCATAGCTTCAGTGAGGCGTGATAAGAAGAGGGCAGGATTTTCCTGGGGCTCTTGTGTAATTTAACTTTTTCTTTTTTTTCTTTCTTTTTTTTTTTTTTTTTGAGACAGAGTCTCACTCTGTTGCCCAGGCTAGAGTGCAGTGGCGTGATCTCAGCTCACTGCAACCTATGCCTCCCGAGTTCAAATGATTCTCTTGCCTCAGCCTCCTGAGTACCTGGAATTACAGGTGCCCGCCACCATGCCCAGCTAATTTTTGTATTTTTAGTAGAGATGGGATTTTTTGCCATGTTGGCGAGGCTGGTCTCAAACTCCTGACCTCAAGTGATCCACCTGTCTCAGCCTCCCAAAATGCTGGGATTATAGGTGTGAGCCACTGCACCCAGCCTCAAAAAACCAACTTTTTACCTCATTGATCTTTTGTATTGTCTTCTTCATTCCAATTTCATTTCTTCCTGTTCTGATCTTTATTGTTTCCTTTCTTGTACTAACTTTGGCTTTTGTTTGCTCTTGCTTTTCTTTAAGATGCATCACTAGGTTCTTTATTTGAAGTCTTTCTTCCTTCCTTTCTTTCTTTCCTTTCCTTTTTTTTTTTTTTTTTTTTGACAGAGTCTCACTCTGTCGCCAGGCTGGAGTGCAGTGGCGCGATCTCGGCTCACTGCGAGCTCCGCCTCCTGGGTTCACAACATTCTCCTGCCTCAGCCTCCCAAATAGCTGGGACTACAGGCACCCGCCACCGCGCCCAGCTAATTTTTTGTATTTTTAGTAGAGACAGGGTTTCACCGTGGTCTCGATCTCCTAACCTCGTGATCCACCCGCCTCGGCCTCCCAAAGTGCTAGGATTACAGGCGTGAGCCTCTTTCTTTCTTTCTGTGCCCAGCCTCTTTCTTTCTTTCTTTCTTTGAGACAGAGTCTTGCTCTGTCGCCCAGGCTGGAGTGCAGTGGCATGATCTTGGCTCACTGCAGTCTCCATCTCCCAGGTTCAAGCAATTCTTGTGCCTCAGTCTCCCAGGTAGCTGGGATTACAGGTGGCTACCATCATGCCTGGCTTTTTTTTGTATTTTTAGTAGTGATGGGGTTTTACTGTGTTGGTCAGGCTGGTCTTGAACTCCTGACCTCAAGTGATCCACCCGCCTTGGCCTCCCAATGTTCTGGGATTATAGGCATGAGCCACTGGCCCCAGCTTGAAGTTTTTCTTCTTTCTTAGTGAAGGCACTTATAACTATAAAATTCCCTCTTGGTACTGCTTTTGCTGTATCCTATAGGTTTTGGTATGTTGTATTTCCACTATCATTTCTTTCAAGATATTTTTCAATTTCCTTCTTAATCACATCATTGATCCACTGGTCATTCAGGAGCATATTGTTTAATTTCCATGTGTTTGTCTAGTTTCCAGAATTCCTCTTGTTATTGATTTCTAGTTTTATTCCCTTGGGGTCAAAGAAGATACTTGACATTACTTCAATTTCTTTGACTGCTTTAATTCTTGTTTTGTGGCCTAACATGTGATCTATCCTTGAGAATGATCCATGTGCTGAGGAGAAGAATATATTCTGAAACTGTTGGATTAAATTCTCTATAAATATCTATTAGGTCCATTTGGTCTGTAGTGCAGATTAAGTGTGATGTTTCTTTGTTGATTTTCTCTTCAGATGATCTGTCCAATGCTGAAAGTGGGGTGTTGAAGTCTCCATCTGTTGTTTTTTTTTATTTTTTATTTATTTTTATTTTTTGAGATGGAGTTTTGCTCTTGTTGCCCAGGCTGGAGTGCAGTGCTGTGATCTTGGCTCACTGCAACCTCCGCCTCCTGAGTTCAAGCAATTCTCCTGCCTCAGCCTCCCGAGTAGCTGGGATTACAGACATGTGCCACCACGCCCAGATAACTTTGTATTTTTAGTAGAGATGGGGTTTCACCCTGTTGGTCCAGCTGGTCTCAAACTCCTGACCTGAGGTGATCTGCCTGCCTCAGCCTCCCAAAGTGCTGGGATTACAGGTGTGAGCCACCATGCCCAGCCTCCAGCTGTTATTGTATTGCAATCTATCACTGTCCTTAGCACTAATAATGTTTGGTTTATAGATCTGCATGCTGCAGTGTTGGGTACATATATATTTACAATTGCTATATCCTCTTGCTGAGTTGACCCCTTTATCATTATATAGTGATGTTGTCTCTTTTTATAGTTTTTGTCTTGCAATCCGTCTTATCTAAGTATCACTACTCCTGCTCTTTTTTCAGTTCCATGCATATCTGTTTCCATCCTTTTATTTTCAGTCTATGTGTGTCTTTATAGGTGAATAGTGTTTTATGTAGGCAACAGACCATTTGGTCTTGTTTTTTAATCCATTCAGCCACTCTATGTCTTTTGATTGGAGTGTTTAGTCTATTTACATTCAATGTTATTATTGATAAGTAAGGACATACTCCTGCCATTTTGTTGTGTTCTAGCTGCTTTTGGTTTTCTCTTCCTTCTTTCCCTCCTTCCTGTCTCCCCCACACCCTTTTTTGGAGACAGTCTTGCTCTGTTTTCCAGACTGGAGTGCAGTGGTGCAGTCATGGCTCACTGCAGCCTTGACCTCTTGGGCTCAAGTGACCCTCCTGTCTCAACCACCTGAGTAGCTGGGACTACAGGTGTGTGATATCACATCTGACTAATTTTTTTATTTTTCCGTAGAGATGGGCTCTTGCTTTGTTGTCCAGGCTAGTCTTGAACTCTTGGACTCAGGCAGTCCTCCCACTCTGGCCTCCAAAATGCTGGAATTACAGGCATGAGCCAACACACCCAGCCCTGTCTTCCTTTTATTACCAGTGAGTTTTGTGCCTTCAGATGATTTTTTATTGCTCATTACTGTTCTTTTCTTTCAACAAAAGGGATTGATGAACTCTCTTTAGCATTTCTTGTAGGACTGGTCTGATGTTGATGAAATACCTCAGCTTTTCTTTGTCTGGGAAAGTCTTTATTTCTCCTTCGTGTTTGAAGGATATTTTCACCAGATTTACTATTCTAGGGTAAAAGGTTGTTTTTTTGTTTTGTTTTGTTTTTTTCTTCAGTACTTTAAATATACCATGCCACTCTCTCCTGGCCTGTAAGGTTTCCACTGAAAAGTCTGCTGCCGGACATGTTGGAGATTCATTGTATGTTGTTTGTTTTCTTTTATCTTGCTGTTTTTAGGATCATTTCTTTATCCTTGATCTTTGGGAGTTTGATTATTAAATGCCTTGAGGTAGTCTACTTTGGGTTAAATCTTCTTAGTGTTCTATAACCTTCTTATACTTGAATATTGATATCTTTCTCTAGTTTTGGGAATTTCTCTGTTATTATCCCTTTGAATAAGCTTTCTACTCCTATCTCTCTCTCTACCTCCTCTTTAAGGACAATAACTCTGACATTTGCCCTTTTGAGGCTATTTTCTAGATCTTTAAGGCATTCTTCATTCTGTTTCGTTCTTTTTTCTTTTGTCTCCTCTGACTGTATTTTCAAATAGCTTGTATTCAAGCTCACGAATTCTTTCTTCTGCTTTATCAGTTCTGCTATTAAGAGACTCTGATACCTTCTTCAGTATGTCAACTGTATTTTTCAACTCCAGAATTTCTGCTTCTTTTTAATTGTTTCAACTTCTCTGTTAAATTTATCTGATAGGATTCTGAATTCATTTTCTGTGTTATCCTGAATTTCTTTGAGTTTCCTAAAAAATGGCTATTTTGAATTATCTGTCTGAAAGCTTACATATGTCTGTCTTTCCGGGATTGGTCTATGGTGCCTTTTTAGTTCGTTTAGTGAGGTCATGTTTTCCTGGATGGTCTTGATGCTTATGGATGTTCATCAGTGTCTAGGCATTGAATAGTTAGGTATTTATTGTAGTCTTCGCATTCTGGGTTTGTTTGTACCTGTCCTTCTTGGGGAGGCTTTCCAGGTATTTGATGAGACTTAGGTGTTGTGATCTATGTTTTTGGTCACTGCAGCTGTAGCTGCATTAGGTACTACTCCAAGCCCAGTAACACTGTGGTTCTTGCAGACTCGTAGAGGATCTAAGATCTGGAGGAATTCCCTGGATTACCAGGTAGAGACTCTTGTTCCCTTCCCTTACTTTTTCCCAAACAAACAAAGTCTCTCACTCTGTGTTGAGATGCCTGGAGCTGGGGAAAGGTAACACAAACACCCCTGTGGCCACCACCACTGGGAGTGTACTGGGTCAGACCTGAAGCCGGCACAGCACTGGTTCTTGCCCGATGCCTGCTATAACTGCTACCTAGCTACCATCTGTGTTCACTCAAGGCCCTAGGGCTCTATGATCAGCAGGTGGCAATGCAAGCCAGGCTTGTGTCCTTACCTTGAGATTGCAAATTCCCCCAGGCCCCAGGTGAGTCCTGGGATCCAGGGTCTGGAAGCAGAAACCATAGAAATCTACTGTTGCTCTATACTACTGCAGCTGAGCTGGTGCCAAAACCACCAAACAAAGTCCTTCCCACTCTTCCCCAGGCAGAGGAGTCTCTTCTTATGTCCACCACCACCACAGGCCCACAGAGGGTACTGCCGTTGATGTTTATTTAAGGCCCAAGGGCTCTTCAGTTAGCTTGTGGTGAATGCTGCCAGCCCTGGAACTCATCCTTCAGGAAGTGGGCTCCCCTCTGGCCCAGGGTAGGTCCAGAGATGCCATCTCAAGCCAAGGCCTAGAATCAGGGACCCCAAGAGCCTGCTTGGTGCTCTTCCCCATTGTAGCTGAACTGGTACCTAAGTTCAAGAGAAAGTCCCCTTTACTCTTCCCTCTGCTTTTCTCAAGCAGTAGGGGGCCCTCCTCATAGCCACCACAGCTGTGAATGTCCTGGTCACAGCTGAAACCAGCATGTCTCAGAGTCTCACTCAAGGCCCATGGCTGTACTACCTGGTTACCACTGCTGATTATTCAGATTCCAAGGGCTCTTTCATCAGCAGATGATGAATCCTGCCAAGACTGGGTCCTTCCCTTCAAGGCAGTGAGTTCCCTTCTGGCCCAGGGTGTGTCTAGAAATGTCATCCGGGAGCTAGGGCCTGGAATGAGGGCCTCATGACTCTGCCTGGTGCCCTATCCTACTGTGGCTGAGCTGGTATCCAAGTTGCAAGACAAAGTCCTTTTTAGTCTTTCCTCTCCTCTCCTCAAGCAGAACAAAGGGGTCTTTTTTGGAGTTGTGAGTTGTGCTGCCTGGGGTTGGGGGAGGGGTGATGCAAGCACTCCCTTAGCTGCACCATCTGGTGTCTCACTAGGCTGTGTGTCCCCCATGTCCACTGGCTCTCAGCCCAGCACAGCAGTAGGACTTGCCTAGGAGTTACAGTCCTTGTAACCTAGACTGCCTTTAAGTTTATTTAGGATCCCATAGCACTTCAGCCCGCAGTGGCAAGGCTTGCTGAGTCTCAAGTTCCAACTGCTGGGATGAGTGATTCCCCTCTGGTCAAGGCTTGTTTAATTGCTCCCTCCATGGTTGCCAGCTGAGTTCTGCCCAGTGTTGGCAGCACTGCGTGCCAGTGCAAAGTCCCACAATCACTGTGTTCTCTCCCCTCCAAGGGCACAGATTGTCTCTCCATGCTACATGGCCAGCTATTTCTGGGGGCACTGGCCAGGGGGGTTGTTGGCAATTCAAGACTGTCTTTCCTACCCTTTTCCTTGCCTCTTTCAGTGATACGAGGTTAGAACCAGGTACTGTGATTGCTCACCTGATTCCTGATTTTTGCTTCTTATGGGGGATACTTCTCTGTGTAGATAGTTGCAGAATTTGGCATTCCTGTGGAGAGAATGATGGGTGGAGGCTTCTATTTGGCCATCATGCTCCACCTCCCCAACCAACATCTGACTACAACCTCCTGAGTGACCTCAAGGAAGGCCTGCCCAGCTAAGCCCTTTGTGAATTCCTGACCTACAAAACCACGAGAAAAAAAAGAAAACAAAAACAAAAACAAAAAAAAAACAAAGCACCCTTGCTTTTTTGAAGCTGCTAAATTTGGAGGTAATTTGTTACACAATAGTAACTGGAAGAGAAATTTGGTACCCAGAGTGGGTACATCAAAGACTCAAAACAGGCTGGGCATGGTGACTCACGCCTGTAATCCCAACACTTTGGGAGGCCAAGGTTAGTGGACTGCTTGAGCCCAGGAGTTTGAGACTTGCCTAGGCAACACAGTGAGACCCCCATCTCTATAAAACTAAAAACATCAGCCAGCATGGTGGTGCATGCTGTGTTCCTAGCTACTGAGGAGGCTGAGATGGGAGGTTTGCTTGAACCCAGGAGGTTGAGACTATAGGTAGCCATGATCACACCACTGCACTCTAGCTTGGGCAGCAGAATGAGATCTTGCCTAAAAAACAAAACAAAACAAAAAAAACCCAACCCAAAACATATGGTATTGTCTTTGGGACTGGGCATCAGGCAAAGGCTGGAATGGCCTTGAGAAGACTGTTAGTGGAACCTCGACGGGCCTCGAGGTTGTTGATGAGTGCTTAAAAAGAGAGACGAAAATGTTATTGAAAGATTGAGGCCGGGCGCGGTGGCTCACACCTGTAATCCCAGCACTTTGGGAGGCTGAGGTGGGTGGATCACAAGGTCAGGAGTTTGAGAGCAGCCTGACCAACATGGTGAAACCCCATCTCTACTAAAAATACAAAAATTAGCCGGGCGTGGTGGTGGGTGCCTGTAATTCCAGCTACTTGGGAGGCTGAGGCAGGAGAATTACTTGAACCTGGGAGGCAGAGGTTGCAGCAAGCTGAGATTGCAATCTTAGCTCATTGCAACCTCCGCCTCCCAGGTTCAAGAGATTCTTCGGCCTCAGCCTCCCAAGTAGCTGGGACTACAGGCACCCACCACCATGGCCAGCTAATTTTTGTATTTTTAGTACAGACAGGGTTTCACCATACTGGCCAGGCTGGTCTTGAACTCCTGACCTCAAGTGATCCACCCGCCTTGGCCTCCCAAAGTGCTGGGATTACAGGCGTGAGCCACCGCACCCAGCCCATTTTCAATTCTTTTGGGTATATACCTAGGAGTGGAATTTCTGGGTCATATGATAATTCTATGTGTAGTGTTTTGAAGAACCACTAAACTGTTTTCCATAGTGACTACACCATTTTTCATTCCCACCAACTGGCTTCTGTATTTTTTTCTTTTACTCTCAGTACACACCAGAGATTTCTGTATTTTTGATACAAAATTTTATGTACACCTACTTGTTAAATATTATAATTCATATTAAGTTAATTAATGTAAATCAATATTATAATTTCCACAATGAAATACTATATTAAAATATATTTTAAATTCATACTAAAAGTTTTTAGATAAATATGGTATTGAGACTGGGCATGGTTACTCACGTCTGTAATCCCAGCACTTGGGAAGCCAAGACAGGCAGATAACTTGAGCTCCCGAGTTATCTGCCCACCAGGCTGGGCAACGTGGAGAAACCCCAGCTCTACCAAAAAAATACAAAAATTAGCCAGACATGGTGGCATGCACCTGTAGTCCCAGCTACTTGGGAGGCTGAGGTGGAAGGATTGCTTGAGCCTGGGAGGTGGAGGTTTCAGTATCTAAAAAGCCAAGTGGCTGAATGCAGTGGCTCATGTCTGTAATGCCAGTACTTTGAGAGGCCAAGGCAGGAGGATTGCTTGAGGCCAAGAGTTGGAGACCAGCCTGGACAAGATTCTCTCAACAAAATAATTTTTTAAAATAAAAATAAATAAGAAATAAAAGCCAAGAGGTACAATGTTCAGGAGAAGAATAAAAATACTTGCAGAAATATATAAAAATTATAGGAAACAACTATAAGTTTGGCTAGAAATACAGTATTTTGGCTACTGAAAATGACTGAGTCCTCTAATGTTGATATTATCAGAACAGAGTTGTTATCAAAGTCAGCTAACTAAAGGATCTGCTTCAAAACATTAAAGAGAAATTTTACAAGTTTCAGTAACTAGCGAACATAAGTTTGAGCAAAAAAGTGAGAAGATGCCAGCCAGGCACAGTGGCTCATGCCTGTAATCCCAGCACTTTGGGAGGCCAAGGCAGGCGGATCACCTGAGGTCAGGAGTTCAAGACCAACCTGGCCAACATGGTGAAACCCCATCTCTACTAAAAACACAAAAATTAGCTGGGTGTGGTGGCACATGCCTGTAATCCCAGCTACTCAGGAGGCTGAGGCAGGAGAACTGCTTGAACCCGGGAGGCGGAGGTTGCAGTGAGCCAAGATTGTGCCACTGCACTCCAGCCTGGGTGACAAGAGTGAGACTCCATCTCAAAAAAAAAAAAAAAAAAGTGAGAAGATGCCATTTCAAATGAATTGCAATAATTATCCACTGTGGCTGCTACTTTGTCATAAAGTAAAAATGATCTGAATAGAGCACATACTTGAATAGATCACAAAGGAAAAGATTTAGATTTTAGGGAATCTACTTCACACAATGGACATTTCTAGAGTTTTCTTGTTTTCTTTTCTTTTTTTGTTTCAGAAATGGGGCAGTGGGGAGGGGGCATCTCACTAAGTTGCCCAGGCTGGTCTTGAACTCCTGGCCTCAAGGGATCCTCTGCATTGCTGAGATTATAGGCATGAGCCACTGCACCTGACAAAACATTTTTCTTCAATATTCTAATGGCAAATGAATTCATTGTGACTGCTCATGTATTCCAAAAAAAATTGTCCTTATTTTTCATGCATACTTTTCTGCAGCAATGCAATAAAATCAAACTTTTGCAACTAAAGAAAAAAAAAAGTTTCCAAAGATTGGAAACAGTTAAACAGAATTTGTGACCGTGAAAATTTTGTTTTATTGTGAGGCTTTCTTTTTTGTCTTCTTCTGAGACAGAGTCTTTCTCTGTCACCCAGGCTGAATGCAGTGATGCAATCAATCATAGCTCACTGCATCTGTGGCCTCAAACTCCTGGGCTCAAGTGATCCTCCTGTTACAGGATCTTTGGGGTGTCACTTTTGACTGGAAACCTCTGTGGCCGGTGGCACCTTTGCCCGAGTTCTCGTTCTGCATCCAGGAAGAATGAGATACGCAGACAAGCAGAGGGTGAGCACGACAAAGAGGAGCTTTATTGACTGTTAGAACAGCCTGAAGGAGCCCCGCAGCGGGTAGCTCCTCTCTGTAAGCAAGTCGTCCTGTTGAGTGTTCATCTCTCAGCAGAAAGGAAGCCCTGGTGACTCCTCTCTGCAGGGGGATTGTCCCAGTGTCTGCCCAGCTCCTAGCAGAGAAGAGGCCCTGGAGTGGGTTGCTCCTCTCTGCAACCGGTAGTCCCAAGGTCTCTGCAGGTCTCTGAAACTCTCAGCAGAGAGGGTAGCTCCTCTCTGCGGCTTGTTTTCCCATCTGCTCAGCTCTGGTTGAGCCAAGGTTTTTATTGGCCTTAAAGGGGAGGAAGTGCATGCTGATTGGTCCCGGGGCAGCCATGGGCAGCCCGGAGAAAGCATCACAAGTTCCCACTCCAGTGCTCCGGCACTGGCAGCCTGGCCCCCAACCTTCAGGCCCTCCCTGGCCTGAAGGTAGGGCCTCACCAGGGACCCGTCCTCTTTTGCCCAGGAATCTGTCTGCCTTCTGCTGCCGTTCATGGCACCAGGGCTCAGCCCCGACTTTGCTCTGAGATTGGAGCAGGCACCAGGAACAGGGAGAGGCCAGGCACTGGGAGCAGGCACTTCTGGGCCTGTGAGGGGAGGAGGGCCTTCCCGGGCCCCCAAGAGTGCAGGGATGCCTGAGTCTGCAGCCGCGGTTTGGGCAGCCGCCGCTGGGCGGGGAAGGGGCCGGTGAGGTTCCTGCCTGCTCCGTGGAGCGGGAGGCCCGGGTTGGCAGCCACGGTTTGGGCAGCTGCAGCGGCACCGGGGAGCTGCTCCTGCCCCAGCTCAGAAGGGGCAGGGCTCCTGCTGGTCCCCGGCTCCTGGCAGCGGCAGGCCGTCTGGAGCGGCCACTGCATCACTCCCACCTCAGCCTCCCAAGCAGCTGGAATTTCAGGAGTGAGCCACTGCACCTGGCTCATGTGATGCTTTTCTAAAATGAAACTGTCTTTTGAAAATATTCAGATTGACAGTTTAATAAATGATGCTTTGCAGAATACCATAAAATAAGTGAAACAAAAATAGATTATTTTGAGTGATTTTAGATATTACATGTTAGGCAAAAAATATTTTACATCTTAGGGGATCACAAGAAATTACTGGAGGCCCAAATGGTGGCATGTTATTAACTTTAGGTGAATTTATAGCTAACCATAAAAAAAGGGAACCAGGAGCCGTGGCTCATGCCTGAAATCTCACTGTTTTGGGAGGCCAAGGTGAGAGGATCATTTGGGGCCAAGAGTTCCAGATCAGCCTGGGCAACATAGCAAGACCCACTCTAAAAAAAAAAAAAATGCCAGGTATTGTGGTATACACCTCTAGTCCTAGCTATGCAGGAGAATTGCTTGAGCCCAGAAGTTCAAGGTTAAAGTGAGCTATGATCGTGCCACTGCACTCCAGCCTGGGCAACAGAACACAACTCTGTCTCCAAAAGAATAAAATAAAAAAGGATGTTGTGCCTAATAACATTAAAGCAAATGTGTACTGCTACTAGAAAATTATATTTGATTTGAGATATTATCAAGAATGAAAGAAGCAAATACTTTTGCTTCCATTTTTAAAAAGACAGGGTCACATTCTGTCACCCAGGCTGGAGTAATCATAGCTCACTTCAGCTCTGCCTCCTCAAGCAATCCTCTCATCTCAGCCTCCTAAAGCACTAGGATTACAGTCACAAGCCACCACATCTGACACCCTGCTTTTTAAGAAAAATTTAATTTTTTAAAAGAGATGGGGTCTTGTTCTATTTGCCAGGTTTGTCTTGAACTCAACGGCCTCCTGCCTCTGCCTCTCGAAGTCCTGGGATTACAGGCAGAAGCCACCAAGCCCAGCCCCTTACTTTTGATTGTGCACCAGATGTAGCCGATTGTGAACAAGTGTGTCAGACTATGAGCACACCCACATGAAGAATAATGCCATTAACAGTAAAAGAAGTTGCATTGACTTTACAGAAATCAAAGAAAAAACTAGGTCTAGCTTATGAAATTAGAGATTGGAAAAAGGTGTTAACATAAAACACGCTTGTGGCCAGGGATAAGATCATGGAACAACTATGGCAGGTTATACAAGGGTGTATAAGCTACCATGACCCTCCAAAAATGATTATGCCAAATTGTGTCTTCCTCGGCTCATAATTTTTTTTTAAAGAGATAGGGTCTCACTTTGTTGCCCAGGCTGGAGAGCAGTGACATGAACACAGCTCACCACAGCCCCAAACTGCTGTGCTCATAATTGATATGCAAAAATTCTGCTTCTGTGAAATGAAATGTGACGACTTGTTTTAGTGTTGTATGTTTGTGTTTGTGTGTGAATTCAATATTCTTACATCTGTTTAAAAAAACTACATTAAAAACACACACGGATTCCCCGCGGAGATCAAGATCAAATGCAACCAAGGCACTTCACAAACTAAAGATATTTGTAAACACTGAATTTTTTTTTGTTTTTTTTGAGACAGAGTCTTGCTTTGTCGCCCAGGTTAGAGTGCAGAGGTGTGATCACCTAGCTAATTTTTTAATTTTTTGCAGAGACAGGGTCTCACGTTGTTGCCCAGTCTGGTCCCTGAACTCCCAGGCTCAAACAATCTTCTGGTCCTGGCCTCCCAAAGTGTTGGGATTACAGGCATGAGCCACTGCACCCAGCATGAGAAGCTTTTTAATACTACCAGTCACGGTGGCATTTTTTTTTTTTTTTGAGACGGAGTCTCACTCTGTCGCCCAGGCTGGAGTGCAGTGGCGTCATCTCGGCTCCCTGCATGCTCCGCCTCCCGGGTTCATGCCATTCTCCTGCCTCAGCCTCCCGAGTACCTGGGAATACAGGCGCCCACCACCATGCTCGGCTAATTTTCTGTATTTTTAGTCGAGACGGGGTTTCACCGTGTTAGCCAGGATGGTCTCAATCTCCTGACCTCGTGATCCACCCACCTCGGCCTCCCAAAATGCTGGGATTACAGGCATGAGCCACTGTGCCCAGCCACGGTGGCATCTTTAAAAGAAATTTCGGTCAGCTGAAGTTAGTGAAAAATTATTTAAGATCATCACTTGGTCAAGAGAAATTCACATGACAATTCTCTCAACTGAAAAACGAGATAGTAGATTTTAGAAATATTCACGAGTTTGTTTGCATTTAAGTAAGGAGAGTAAACTTACCGTTTTTGTATAAGTAAAATATTGAAACTTAAAATATTTGAGTTTTAATATACACACTTCCCAATTTTTTTTTTATTTTCCACTTACTGAAACATTGTGGAAAAAAAAATTAACATTGAAAAACACATTTTTCGACCAGGTGCAGTGGCTCATGCCTGTAACCCCACCCAGCACTTTGGGAGGCCAAAGGCAGGTGGGTCACCTGATGTCAGGAGTTTGAGACCAGCCTGACCAACATGGTGAAACCCTGTCTCTACTAAATATAAAAAATTAGCCAGACGTGGTGGTGGATGCCTGTAATCGCAGCTACTTGGGAGGCTGAGGCAGGAGAATCGCTTGAGCCCAGGAGGCGGAGGTTGCAGTTAGCCGAGATTGCGCCACTGCACTCCAGCCTGGGCAACAAGAGCAAAACTCCATTTCAAAAAAAAAAAGAAAGAAAGAAAGAAAAGAAACAAAAAACACACACACACACAAAACACATTTTGTTCCTCTTGCCTCAGGCTCCAGCATCACTCTCCTGCACGGGAGGGCACTGGTTGGAAGGTGTGTGAGGGAACCTTCTGATGGCCACGCTCAGGACCTTGAGAAGGGTTTGAGGCACAAAACAGCACACACTTGTCAAAACTCAGCAGGTATTCACTCGTGAGCAGGGCATTGCACTGAACGCCAAGCTTTCCATCCAAAGGAAAACCCGGTGGCAAATGGACTGTAACGATGTGCGCACTGGAGTGTTAGGGAAGCCGCCTGAGGTCTATAATTTACTTGGAAATGCATAAAAAATAAAACGGATCAAAGCAGGGAGGATTAACTAGATGTGACAAAGTCCAGTAACATGTGAATGGCACACTCAGGTGGTGGGTGTATATCCAGACGCGCAATGTAAAATTCCCGCATCGCTGCTGAGAGCCGGCAAATGTCCGTCGCCAGGTGTTGGGGGCGAAGGGAGGTCTAGGCCTCTGCTCCTCTGCTTCAGATGCCGGCAGGCCCCGGAGGAGCGCCCGCGACCCCTCGGAGGCTCTCCAGGTGGGCGGCTGGGGTAAAACACAGTATCCTGAGGGAGAAGTGGCCAAGCCTTACGGGGGATGGATCAAGTTGTGGAAAGAAGGGGCAGAGAGCAGAATGTGGCACTGGGCGAGGGGAGACACGGAGCGTCCTCAAAACAGGGGGTGCCTGGCCCAGGACTTCCTCACCCACCCCCGCCCCCCACCGAGTCTGTCCTCCTTTCCCCTCCACTCTGTCAAGCACAAGGCAAGGCCAAGGCTGACAGATTGGCCGGTGAATAAATTGAAGACCTTTTCAGATTTAGTTTATTACTTGCACAGACAACCAAAGAAAGAATGGCCAAAGGTGCCCAGTCCCCATGGACCTTGCGCAGGGCAATGCCCAAAAGTGACCACATGACGGCCACATGGATGACAGGACACGGGGCTGCAAAGAGCTGCAGCCACGCTAAGTGCCCAAGGTGACCTCAGCGGAGCCTGGGAGGCATCAGGAGCCGCAGGGAGGCGAGAGGGCCCGGCTGTGCCCAGGAGCATGGCGATGCCCTCTGCTGAGAGCCGGGTGCAGCTGTGGCCCATGTGGATACGTGCAAGAGCACCAGGGCAGAGCTCTCCCCTGACTCGTCCCTGGGCTTTTCCCTCAGGTTCCTCCACTCCCAAGACGACACCATCAGGGACTCTGGAAACAAACAGATTGGGGGTCCCCTCTAGCTTTGAGGAAAACACAAATAAGTCACTCATAAGCTTAAGAAAAGATGCTCTGTGTCACTCAGGAAATGGGATTTAAAAATCGTCAGACAGCTTGGAAAGGCTTAAGAGAAGGAGGGGCGTCGCAGAGGCCCTCTCAGGGTGCAGCTCTGTCAAGGGGTAACAAGTGCAGTTTCAGTTTTTAAAATCACAGTGAAACACCAGAGTAAGGACAGAGTGAAGAGAGCGCTGCCCTCCCTGATGAGACCAGACCCACTCCTGGAGGGTAGGGACAGTGGCAAGAACACAGACACAGGTGGCTGCGTGGGGGCTGTGGTGGGCAGCCTGTGAGATGGCCCTCAACGCCCCCAACTCCTGGTCTGTCTGTCCTGTGGAACCTCCTCCCCGGGGCTGAACCTACACAAACAGAACACAGCAGAAACAGGGGAGAATTCCCTTCGGCTGCAGGAGCCCGCCTTCGCGGCTTGCTCAGCTATGCGGGAGCTGTGCCAAGGAAAGGTCCGTGCAGCAGAGAACTGAGCGAGGCCTCCAGCCAAACAGCAGAAAAGATCGAGGCCCTCACTCTAATAGCCCATGAGGAACTGAATCCTGCCCACAGGCGCGGGGCCAGCAGAGAAGCCGAGCCTCCCCGCACGGAGCGTGCAATCTACTCACAGTCCGGCCGGGCCCTGACTGAGGCCTCGGGAGGGACCTTGAGGCAGAGGCTCCTTCCCCGGGCCTGGATGTCTGACCCACAGACACTGTGCAGCTACGTTTGTTTGAAGGCACTAAACTGCGGGCAATTTGTTACACAGCAATCGACAACTTTCTGTTCCCTATTTCTGTTCTTTCTCTTCAACAGGGCTGGGTGTGGAGTGGCCCACTCCTGCCAGCCCTGCTCTGCGCACCCTCATGGGCTGAGCTGTGGGGTGAGCCGGGCCCTGTCTTCCTCCCTGCCCTGGCCCTGTCCCCCGATGCCCACCCCCGAGAGTGGGGAGGGCGGTGGGGCTGCGTGGACTCTGATAAGCCTTCCAGTTCCAACTGCCAGGGCGCTGCTGCCCAGGGAGCCGTGAGGAGCGAGGTCGGGCATGCACGAGCTCTGCCTCTGATGGTAAGAAGGGGAGAGAGGGAAATGGGGTGAAGCTAGCGAAGGCAGCACGCGCCCCAGGGCAGACCCCACGCGCCAACACAGCCAAATTCCCAGCAGTGGGAAGGCCCTGCACTTCACTCCTGCCCTGTCACTGGGAAATTCCCAAGTCAAGATGGGGAGCATGGTGGCGCCTGGGGTCTGAAAGGCAAGGCCCCCTCCTCTGTCTCATCCTCCAACCTCTACCTGTCCTGCAGGGCTCACATGCCACCTCCTCCAGGAAGCCTTCCTTCAGGAGCCTGCCTGTCAGAGGTCATCTCACCTTTTTCTCATCTCCCATGCCCTGTTGATTGTTCTCTCATTGCCTTGATTCCTATACACAAATGGTCAGGAAATGTCTGTCCCTCGGAAATTCCACTCTCCTTAAGACAGAGGCCCTGCTCCACCAGGAGCAGCTAAAATTTCCTATTGAGACTCCTCCTGGTTACAGGGGCACAGGTTGCCCCCAGGGATCTGTTCTCAGCTTCCCAAAGGCAGGGTGTGCCTCCTCCCACCTTCCCGCATGCTGCCGGTGCCACAGAACCTGTGCAGGGCCCAGGGGAGGCGCCCACACACTGTACTTGTAGGGCACAAAGGGACAGCCCTCTCTCTCCAGAAGTCCAGGGACTCAGCCTTGGTGCAGACTGGGTCTTAGGCAAGGCAAAGCCAGAGGACAGGATCTGCACGGACTTCTGGAAGAGGAACCAGCCAGCAGCCAGCCTCCTGAGAGGAGCTAGAGGTCTGGGGGTTCTCACCTGATCCTTAGCTAGAAAACTAGGGCTGGGCTCAGGGCGTGCCCCAGGGCTATTTTGTTCCATGCCATGTGCCGCTCCCAGGAGAAGTGGTACTTCTCCCTCCTGACTCTGTCCCCACCTCCCTAAACAAGCCTGTGGCCCTTTAACAAAGCCCAGAGTCCCATTAAAGATCCTGCCTGGTGCTGGTCCTCAGCTACATGGACTGGGTGGCCCTTTTTATAAGGAATGGCAGCATCAGTTCCCCCTTTCCAGCGGCCTTCTCCACAGGGCTGGCCTGACTCCCCACAGCACTCACCTGGGCAAGTGCGGGCCCATTCCCCGGCTGTCCTCCTGCTGTCCCCCGCAGGTCTTTCTCAGCATGGTGAACATGGGAGCCGGGGCTCTGTCTGCATGAGGGAGGTGCTCAGACCCTGCAGGGCGGGAACAAGGTGGAGGAAGTCGCTGGCGCTGCAGAAGCTGGGCAGTCACCCCCTCCACACCCACTACCAGGGAAGGGGCAGGAAGCATCAGGGGAGTCACCTGCTCTCGTCTGAGAGGGAGGTAGAGGCAGAGGGAGGCTAGAGAAAGACAAAGAAGGCAAGGCGGGGCAGAGGCAGGGAAAGCCCAGCAAAAGTGGGTTGGAGGAAGAGACAGAAACAGGGACGAGAGAATGAAAGAAACAGAGAGAGGCAGAGAGACAGGGAAGAGAGGAGAGAGGAAGGGAGCCAGAGAGAGGAAGAGAGAGCTGGTGAGATGGGGAACAGAAGGATATGAAGGCAGGGGAGGATGAAGACGCAAAGAGAACGAGGTGGAAACAAAGAGAAAGGGAATTCCAACCAACAGTAGGCACTGAGAAAACGGCTTTCCATGCTATTTCATTCAACCCTCAAAACAAGTAGGTACTACTGCCATTCCCATGATGTGGATGAAGAGACAACGGTTTAAGAGATAAAGAGGCAGGAGAGAGAAAATATGAGGCAGGAATACAGACAAGACAGAGACTGCGTATTCAAGGATCAAGAGACAACAGGCTGGGCGTGGTGGCTCACGCCTGTAATCCTAGCACTTTGGGAGGCTGAGGCAGGTGGATCACCTGAGGTCAGGAGTTCGAGGCCAGCCTGGCCAACATGGTGAAACTTCGTCTCTACTAAAAATACAAAAATTAGCTGGGTGTGGCGGCGGGCGCCTATAATCCCAGCTACTTGGGAGGCTGAGGCAGAAGAATTACTTGAACCCAGGAGGAGGAAGTTGCAGTGAGCGGAGATCGTGCCACTGCACTCCAGCCTGGACAACAAAGCACAAACTCTGTCTCAAAAAAAAAAAAAAAAAAAAAAAAAAAGACAACAACAACCCAACAGCCTAACTGCCCATAACAGCATAAACTTGAGAAGAAATGCTGTCTGTCTCCAGCAACTAGAAGAATGCCTGACAAAGAGCAGGCCTCCAGTTAACAACTGTGGAATGAACAAGCAAACATTATCTGGACTATGCCGTCAGGGAAATAAAAGAAGCCTTGGAAACTGCATAAAACGAGGAGTGACCAGGAAAGGCTTCAGGCAGGCAGTCTATCTGAGCCAAACCTGGAGGCATGCAGAGGGCAGAGCAGCGGCTTTGGCCATGCAGCAAACCAAATATCTGGCAAGGGCATGGAGACAGAAGGTGGTGGAGGGGGTGTGGAGGCAGTCAGTAAGTTCTGAGTTGGCCCACGTGAGGACCAGGCCTACTATTCTTTGAGAATCTGCAGTGTTGGGCTTTTGAAAAGACTGAAGCTCAGGGCGTAACCTTCAAGGTGGGGGTTTTCTTAATGACCACTGCCATTCTCCAGGTGACAGCCAAGAACCTGAACTACGAATGCAGGAGCCGGACAGGGGGAAAGGGACGTCTAAGACTCATCCTCTTGTTCGTTCAACCTGTTGAAGTGGCAGGATTGCCAGTTCCTGGACGCTACCTGCAGGGCTCCAGTGTCCCCTGGAACCTGGGAGGTCAAGGTTGCCCAGGCAGGGCTCCAGGGAGGTGTCTCCATGGACCGTCTGGTTTCCAGCCTGAAGGATTGATGCCCTTGTTGCTCTGAAGGATCCAGAACATGAAGGGAGGAGCAGGTTTTGTTGGAAAGCTGAGTTCACATTTGAACTTGTTGCAGAACCTGTGGGATTCCTGAGAGGCGACAGCCAGGGGCATTTGGATAAACTCTATGAGAGCTCCAGAGAGGGCTGGGCTGGAAATAGATTTTGCAGCTGGTAGCACAGCAGGTGAAGCCATGGAGATCATACAGATTACAGCCTAGAAGCTAGAGAAGAGGGCCTAGCAAAGAAATGTGGGGCACAATATTTAAGAAGACAATATTCGCCGGGCACGGTGGCTCATGCTTATAACCCCAGCACTTTGGGAGTGAGGCAGGTGGATTGCTGGACCAGCCTGGGCAACACTACAAACATCTCTCTCTACAAAAAAAATACAAAAATCAGCCAGGCATGGTGATGTGCGCCTATAGTCCCAGCTACTTAGGAGGCTGAGGTGGGAGGATCACTTGAGTCTGGGAGGTCGAGGTTGCAGTGAGCCATGATCGTACCACTGCACTCCAGCCTCCAGCCTGAGACAGAGTGAGAACCTGTCTCAAAAAAAAAAAAAAAAAAGACAACATTTAATATCCAGTTGTGAAGAGCCACTGCCAGAACCTGAGAAGGAATGGTGGAACAAGAAGAGCAAGAAGACTAGACAGAGAACAATTTTTTGAGATAAGGTCTCACTCCCATTGTCCAGGCCAGAGCACACTGGCGTGATCTCAATTCACCGCAGCCTTGACTTCCCGGGCTCCAGTGATACTCCCACCTCAGCCTCTCGAGTGGCTGGGACTACAGGTGCGGGCCACCATGTCTGGCTAATTTTTTGCATTTTTGGTAGAGATGGAGTCTTGCTATGTTGCCCAGGCTGGTCTTGAACTCCTGGGCTCAAGCGATCTGCCTAACTCAGCCTCCCAAAGTGCCGGGATTACAGGTGTGAGCCACCGTGCTCTGGCAAGAACAATGTTTTAAGAAGCATGAGGATGTTGAGTATCAAATGCCGCAAAGTTCGGGTGAGAAAACTGAAGAGTCTACTCGGCAATCAGGAGTTCATTGGAGACTCTGGCAGAAGTTTTCTATAGTAGAATGGCAGGAAATGTAGCCATACTGAAATTTTGTTAGGGACAAACAGGTGATGAGGAAATGAAGAAAATGAGAATGAAGACTGTTTTTAAGAAACTGGAGTGTGAAGAAAACAGTAGGACAATAAGTAAGAAACCTCAACGGGGTGTGAGGACAAGTTCCCCAGGATAAAGTGGATAAGATGGAGGTTGGCACTTAAGATTTGGAGCAGGTTCAACAGAGAGGAATGGCAAGGTTTGAGGGATGGTTCCTGACGTCTAAGGGCGCATTTAATATTCTTTCAAGGTTAAGGTGGGGCAAGATCTGGAGGAGAGAGGATAGTACCCCAAGTGTCATCATCCATTGACAGGTCAATAGGTAGTACAGCGACATGGGAACAGAGCAGGTGTGCACAGAAAGCATGGTTTCCCAGGGAGGGCAGTATTTTTCCATGAGGATGCAAGAGTGAAAAGCCTGGGAGATTCCACGAAGAGCTGAGGGGCTTCTGAGCCACAGCTTAAACCTTAACCCTCCTCCTCTCAGATACATTCAAATCCAAGTACTGATAATAATCTAGTAAGACCTGGGCTTCCCTGGCTACCGTCTATCAAGGAATGCCAGTGTCTGCCTCTGGGCAGTGCGCGTTGGATTTGGGTTCTCTGCGGGGTCTTGCTGATCTTAAAGACAATGCAGGGGCCTTGTGAGTCTCACCTCTGTACCCCCAGCACATAACAGGTGCTCAACACATTCGCGAGGGGAGCGCTGAGCAAAGCGGAGGCCCGGGTTCCCTCCTGGAGAAACCTGCTTCCCCTCCAAGGCCTCAAGCGTCCGCTCCTTCACTGACCTCAATCGTTGATTTCGGCTGCACTTCCTATCCCTGGGGGAGCTTTCAACGCTCCGCCGTCCAGGCCGCCGGGCCCCGCAGCCCGCGCCCCGCTCTCTAGGGCTGGGCCCCCAGGGGCTGGACGACCTCTCTCGCCTTCGCTTTCTCAAGCGTAAATCGGGCGGCGGGGGCTGCAGAGCCTTCATCTCTTCCTCCGTCCCGGGATGTCGGAGAGACGGCAGCCCAGCCTCCGCCACCGCAAAGCTGCTTAACGGGCAGCGCGAGTCCCTCGGGCACCGTTGGAGGCCGTTGCTCACCGTTGGGCAAGTGCTTTAAGAAGCACGAGGATGTCGAGTGTCAAATGCGGCAAAGGGCTCAGAGCTCGCCGCCAAGGGGCGTGGCCTCCGGGCCGCGGCGGCCTCTGGGAGTTGTAGTCCCGCCTCAACTTGTGGTGGCCTCTTTAAAAAAACAAAAAACAAACAAACAAAAAAACACTGGCGCTTGGGTCCGTCGCTGCCTCGGTGTCCCTGTCGGGCTTCCCAGCAGCGGCCTAGTGGAAAAGTAAAAGATGTCTGAATATATTCGGGTAACCGAAGATGAGAACGATGAGCCCATTGAAATACCATCGGAAGACGATGGGACGGTGCTGCTGTCCACGGTTACAGCCCAGTTTCCAGGGGCGTGTGGGCTTCGCTGCAGGAATCCGGTGTCTCAATGTATGAGAGGTGTCCGGCTGGTAGAAGGAATTCTGCATGCCCCCGATGCTGGCTGGAGAAATCCGGTGTATGTTGTCAACTATCCGAAAGATAACAAAAGAAAAATGGGTGAGACAGAAGCTTCATCAGCAGTGAAAGTGAAAAGACCAGTCCGATTTAATAGTGTTGGGTCTCCCATGGAAAACAACTGAACAGGACCTGAAAGAGTACTGTAGTACCTTTGGAGACGTTCTTATGGTGCGGCAAAGCCAAGATGAGCCTTTGAGAAGCAGAAAAGTGTTTGTGGGGCGCCGTACGGAGGACATGACTGAGGATGAGCTGTGGGAGTTCTTCTCTCAGTATGGGGATGTGATGGATGTCTTCGTCCCCAAGCCGTTCAGGGCCTTTGCCTTTGTTCCATTTGCAGATGATCAGATTGCGCGGTCTCTTTGTGGAGAGGACTCGATGAAAGGAATCAGCGTTCACATATCCAATGCCGAACCCAAGCGCAATAGCAATAGACAGCAAGAAGTGGAAGATTTGGTGGTAATCCAGGTGGCTTTGGGAATCAGGGTGGATTTGGTAAGAGTAGAGGGGGTGGAGCTGGTTTGGGAAACAATCAAGGTAGTAATATGGGTGGTGGGATAAACTTTGGTGCGTTCAGCATTAATCCAGCCATGATGGCTGCCCCCCAGGCAGTGCTGCAGAGCAGTTGGTGTACGATGGGTGTGTTAGCCAGCCAGCGAAGCAGCCAGGCCCATCGGATGATAACCAAAGCCAAGGCAACATGCAGAGGGAGCCAAACCAGGCCTTCGGTTCTGGAAATAACTCTTGTAGTGGTTCTAATTTTGGTGCAACAATTGGTTGGGGATCAGCATCCAATGCAGGGTCGGGCAGTGGTTTTAATGGCGGCTTTGGCTCAAGCATGGATTCTAAGTCTTCTGGCTGGGAACGTAGACAGTGGGGTTGTGGTTGGTTGGTATAGAATGGTTGGAATTCAAATTTTTCTAAACTCATGGTAAGTATATTGTAAAATACATATGTACTAAGAATTTTCAAAATTGGTTTCTTCAGTGTGGAGTATATTCAGTAGTATTTTTGACATTTTTCTTTAGAAAAAGGAACAGCTAAAGGAATTTTATAAGTTTTGTTACATGAAAGGTTGAAATATTGAGTGGTTGAAAGTGAACTGCTGTTTGCCTGATTGGTAAACCAACACACTACAATTGATATCAGAAGGTTTCTCCTGTAATATTTTATCCCTGGACTTGTCAAGTGAGTTCTTTGCATGTTCAAAATGGAAGCCATGAATTAGAACTACATTCTTTATTCCTTGTTTTAATTTGAACCCCACCATATGGATTTTTTTCCTTAAGAAAATCTCCTTTTAGAAGATCATGGTGTCACAGTTTGGTTCTTTTGTTTTGTTTTTTAACACTTGTCTCCCCTCAAACACAAAAGTACAATATGAAGCCTTCATTTAATCTCTGCAGTTCATCTCATTTCAAATGTTTATGGAAGAAGCACTTGGTTGAAAGTAGTGCTGTAAATATTCTGCCATAGGAACACTTCTGTCTACATGCCTTCTCATTCAAGAATTCGTCATCACGCATCACAGGCCGCGTCTTTGACGGTGGGTGTCCCATTTTTATCTGCTACTCTTTATTTCATAGAGTCGTATCAACGCTGTGAACGCAAGGCTGTGATATGGAACTAGAAGGCTGTTTGAACTTTTGAAACCTTGTGTGGGATTGACGGTGGTGCTGAGGCATGAAAGGCTAGTATGAGTGAGAAAAGGAGAGAGCACGTGCAGAGACTTGGTGGTGCATAACGGATATTTTTTAACTTGGCGAGATGTGTTTCTCAATCCTGCGGCTTTGGTGACAGTGTGCAGACAGCAATGATAGCAAATAATGTACGAATGTTTTTTGCATTCAAAGGACATCCACATCTGTTGGAAGACTTTGAGTTTTTGTTCTTAGATAACCCACTTTATTTGAATGTGTTAAGTGAAATGATACTTGTACTCCCCCTACCCCTTTGTCAACTGCTGTGAATGCTGTATGGTGTGTGTTCTCTTCTGTTACTGATATGTAAGTGTGGCAATGTGAACTGAAGCTGATGGGCTGAGAACATGGACTGAGCTTGTGGTGTGCTTTGCAGGAGGACTTGGAAGCAGAGTTCAGCAGTGAACTCTGGTGTCTCAAAGAAGGGTAGAAGTTCTAATGTCTGTTAGCTACCCATAAGAATGCTGTTTGCTGCAGTTCTGTGTCCTGTGCTTGGATGCTTTTTATAAGAGTTGTCATTGTTGGAAATTCTTAAATAAAACTGATTTAAAAAAAAAAAACCAAAAATCTAAGTAAAGGGGTCGGAACTACATCTCCCAGGAGGCCCCGCGGCTCGCCTCTGGCGGGGCGGGGCTGGAGGGGGCGTGGTCAAGGCCTCGGCTCCTCCGAGCGCCTCCCAGCTCACGGCGCCCCCCGAACCCGGCTCCAAGGGACTCGGTATTCCCCAGCGCCGGCTCCGGGCAGTCCCGGAAGGGCTCAAGGGCTGGGCGACTGGCTGATCGAGACCGTCCGGGTCCTGGCTCTCGGGTCACTTGCAGAGGCCTGAGCAGAGCGTAGGGAGGGCTGGAAGGGAGGAGCCCCGGGGGGCGGCGGTGCTGAACCGGGTAGAGTCTTGAAGGTCACGGTCAGGACTGGAGTGGGAGGGGAGTCAGAGGCCTGCTGCGGAGGCCCAGGTTAGAAACGAGGCTGCCTTGGACTCGGTCGGTGGCAAAGAAGACGACACGTGGAGGCAGGGCTTAGAAGTAGAGCTCCGCCGGGCTTGGTGGCTCACGCCTGTAATCCCAGCACTTTGGGAGGCCTAGGCGGGCAGATCACGAGGTCAGGCGATCGAGACCATCCTGGCTAACACGGTGAAACCCCGTCTCTACTAAAAATAGAAAAAATTAGCCGAGCGTGGTGGCTGGCGCCTGTAGTCCCAGCTACTTGGGAGGCTGAGGCAGGAGAATTGCTTGAACCCAGGAGGCGGAGGTTGCAGTGAGCCTAGATCTCCCCCACTGCACTCCAGCCTGGGCGACAGAGTGAGACTCCGTCTCAAAATAATAATAATAATAATAAATTAATAAATAAAAATAAAAAAGAAGAAGAAGTAGTGCTCATGGGCTTGACTGATAGGACGTGGGATGGCAGGAAGAGGGTGAACTTGAGGGTGACATCTAGATTTTTTTGCTCAATCCATGGGGTACCAAGAAGTGGTAATGCCTGAGGATCTGTTGTTTTGGTGGTGGTGTGAGCCCATCTGACATCTAAGTGCAGTCACTGAGTGGACAGGAGGATACAGAGGAGCCAGCCGCCTGGAGAGGGGCTTTGAATCAAGGGCATGGGATTGGCAAAACGGGCCAGATGGTGTCACTGGGTGTGGGGGCGGCAGGGAAGGCTGAGGACAGAGCCTTGGGAAGAACACGTCCAGTTGGAGGGCGGCAGGGAAGGCTGAGGACAGAGCCTTGGGAAGAACACGTCCAGTTGGAGGTCGGCAGGGAGGAGCATTGAGTACAGGGGACTGAGGATGGCCGATGAGGTAGAAAGAAGGCTGGTGTGGTGCCCTTGAGACTGGAGAAGGAGCCTCCAGATGGATGAGTCATAACCCACGAGAAGTGAAGCTGACATGCGGACATGCCCACTGGGTTGGGAAACATGCTCGTTACTAGAGATTTTGACTGTGCAGTTCCAGTGGAAGGGTGGACAATAGCTTGATTGGAAAGGAATGAAGAGGAATGGGATGCGTGGAAGTGGAGGCAGTAAGTGTAGATGACGCTTTCAAGGAATTTTGCTTTAGAGCATTGAGACAGAGGCTAACAGTATGTCACATCCAGGGAGGTTCTTCCGAGTAAAGGTATTCATATTACAGCCCGTTTGTAGGTTAATGAGAATGATCCAGAAGGGAGGAGAAGCTAATGGTGCAGTGGAGAGCAGAGTCCCTGAGCAGGTGAGCAGGGATGGGGGCCCATGCCCATGTCGGAAGCGGGCGCCACACTGCTTCATGATGGAAGGCAGAACGCCTGGGCCAGGGTGCAGGCAGGTGTCACAGAGAATGTCCTTCATGACCACATCCTAGTTCCCAGAACCTGCGAATATGCTACTTTACATGGCAAAAGGGAGTTTGCAAATGTGATTAAGAATTAAGCTAAAGACCTTCATACAGGGAGATTATCCTGGATTCTCCAGGGGGCTGGTGTCATCACAAGGATCTTTAAAAGTAGAAGTAAGGAGGAGACGTGACCAAGGAAGAAGGGTCAGAGAGACGCAATGCTTCCGAGGAACTCTGAGGATGGAGGAAGGGACCATCCTCCAAGGAATGTGGGTGGCCCCTGAATGAAGAGGCAGGAGAAGGCACACAGCCCTGCCTGCCAACACCTTGATCTTAGCCCAGTGAATCCTGACAGACTTCTAACCCGTGGAACTGCAAGACAATAATCGTGTGTTTGAAGCCACCAAGAGTGTGGTCGTTGGTTTTGGCAGCCATAGAAAAGTAATACAGTGGGTCAGGGATCCGGGTGGGAAGGAGACAGCCCTCAGAGAAGGGATCCGGGTGGGAAGGAGACAGCCCTTAGAGAAGGGATCCGGGTGGGAAGGAGACAGCCCTCAGAGAAGGGCTTGTGGGGAGCCTGGGGGTGCTGGGAGAGGAGCTGGTGTGAAACAACCAGCTGGCTGGGAAGCTGGTGGCCCCAGGCTGCACCGCAGGCAAGAGCAGCTCTCAGCCCCAGGAGGCCAACAGTGGTCACTGGTGTGGGAGCCAGTTACATTTCCAAAAGAAGCTGCACTTGAGGATTACTGTGAAGCTGACTTTAGGGCTGGAGGGGCACAGGGCCAGAGTTCTGGGTTAGTGGCTTCTGACTCTGGTCCTAGCAACGCTTTTACTCCAGGTCAGCCTCCTGCACCTTGCCTCCTGGGCTTCCCCTTGACCCCCTCCTAGGGCATCTGGGAAGGTGTGATGAGTGGACTTGAGAGGTGAAAGTTGTTCCTTTGAAGCAGTCCATGGCTGATGCTCCCTGAATGGCATGAGAGCTCATTGGCATGGCCTCTGGGTGCTACTGGAAACCAGGGCTTTCAGGATGGCCCGTTATCCATCCGTGTCCTGGTGGGTACATCCTACATCAGCCTGTCTGAGGACATTAAAATAATCCCAGGAATGATATTTCCATTGCTCAAGACTTCTTCTGTGGCACTGGCTCCCCCACTGCCCCAATAGCTCGGCTCCAGATGATAAAGCTGCATCTGGTTATAGCCCAATGGCTTCTATGATTGAATTGAGGTGAGCCAGAGTGAACCTCAAACTTTGAAACACCCCTGGTGGCCAGGACCTGCTTGGGGGCTTTTGTAAAGGGGCTGCTGGGAAAGGTGTTCTTAAGGCAAAAGCACATGTCCAGAGAGGAGACCCCGACGTCAATCCTAAGTTGTCACACCTTGGCCCTAGCCTGGGGACTGCCAACCCACAGTGAGAAGCTGCTGCTTTGGGGTCCTGGAGCAGGAGGAGGGGGCTAGGCTAACTGTGGCGGTGACTTCAGCCGGCTGACCACGTGCTATCTGCAGGTCTGGCCGAGCCCAAGAGGGCAGGCTCCCGCACCCCAGCTGCCCATCCTGCCACCCTCCATCCCTGAGGGTTCTGACCTCCTGGACCCAGTTTGACCTAACGCTCAAGCCCCCTGGGGCCTTGGCGCTTTCATTTCAGGCCACAAACTGGGTGGGTCTCCTTGACCCTGAAGTCAATGGCAGCAGTGGGGAAGTTCCTTCTTCAGTCAAGATAAGCAACAACCTCACACAAGTAGACTCATGTCTATGTCATGCTCGTGGGTCCTAAAACAGGTCTTTAAAAGATACTTTCAAACCAAATAGGTAGCAATTAGGCATTATTTTATTATTCCTGAAGCTCATGAACAAGAAAATGGCACAGAGACAGGTCATCTCCCTATTGCTGAGTTACCCTGGAGACAAGCCTCATGCAAACAAACTCCTTCTCCAGGACACACAATGCCCAAGAACAGGCTGGGTCTGAGGACCTGCCTAGCATGGGGGGCAGAAGCACTGCCTGCTGCAGAGACAGCCACGGAGTGCATCCCCACCACCATCACACTGCTCACTCTGCTGAGAAAGGGTGAGGTTTTAAAGGACATTCACCAGCCTCAGATGCAGGGGAAATGTGCTTAGTTTAGCATTTACATATCTTGACACAGTAATGACACATCACTCAACAATACTTCAAGGGTAACTAACTCCAAAATTCTTTATTTAGTAAAATTGTCACATTTGATGTCAATGGAATACACAAACTCAAGTGTGCTACAAACAAGATGTACAGAGCATCACAGCTCTGGGCAGTGCAGCTCAGTGCACCTGCCTCTCATCTCCCCGCTGAAGTGGCAAGTTCAAGCTTTTGTTTAGCCCAGGGCTGCCTGGAACACTAGTGCCCAGCACCATTTCTGCCACCTCTGCCCCCAGAGCCCGCACAGGGCTGGTGAAGCCTGGGTGGGTGAACCTGGGAGAGCGCTGGCAGCTCTACAAAATTCTTCCTCCTGCCCGTAGCTCCCTCCCTCCACCCACTCCAGAGCTGCAGGGTCCCTAAAAGTTTCTTAAGAAACGGGGCTGGGGCCTGACTGGGCTGGTTACCAGGGGCTGCCCTGCAAGCCATCCATCAGAGGAGGGAGGGAAGACCTGGGAGACTTCCAGGGCCCTACCCCACCACATCTGAACCCCTGGGAGGAGGGAGGAGATCCAGGGAGGGCCGGGCCCACCCCCGCAGGACTCTGGCTGGCATTGGTCACCAAGGCCTCCAGACACTCCGGGCAATTTGGGCTGTGGTCAGGCTGCCCAGGGCTGCGGGCACCAAGTCGGGCCCCTCAGCAGGAGCCTGACTCAGTTCAGCCTCAGGGGCCTCCTCCAGGTCGGAGCACAGGTCGTCCCCAGGACCCGGGGGGCTGGGTATTGGGGATCCCGGAGCGCCCCCCGCAGGCCAGCCACTCCGTCCAGGGGCTCTAGGTGGCCCCGCCAGGGCGTCCCCCAGCAGATCCTGGAAGCTGCTGCCCTCACGCAGCGGCATGGACTCGAGCAGATGGTTCAGGAGCTCGGCAGCGACGGTAGCGTCGATGGCCTGGCACGTGGACACGAACGTGTGCACCTCGTGCATGCACTGGATGTAGCCGGCAGCGAAGCGCTCGCTCGCTTCCGCCTGCAGCTGCTCGCGCTCTGGGCCCGAGGGTGGGAGGGAGAGAGCCGCGTCCCGCGCGGTGAGCGGCGACTGCGTGGCCCAGCCCACCCGGCCCGCGGGGACGCGGCTCACCCAGGAGACGCGGGGGCGCACCCTGCTCCGGTGGGAGCCCTCGCCGCCGACAGGACAGGGGCGCCGGGAGGGAAGTCCTCCGTCTGGCAGGGGTTACAGGCGCCCGCGGCCGGCGCCCCCGCCCGCCCCGCCGCCACTCACCGCGCGCCCGGCCCCGCAGCACACCCTGGACCCGCCGCACCGTCAGCTCCAGCACTTCGGCGTTCTCCAGCTTGGCCTGCACCTGCGCGGGCGGGAAGGGCGGTGAGCCGGCAGCGCGCTCCCGGACCCGCCCGCCCGCCCCGCAGCCCCACGGCGCCTGCCCGGCCGCCGCACCTCGGCGCCCGCCAGCAGCAGCCGCAGCTCCTGCAGGCTCTCGTTGATCCGCGCGCGCCGCTTCTTCTCCACCAGGGGCTTCCGGGCCTGCGGGGAGCGGGGCACTGAATCCCAGCCCCGCACGGCCTCCCGCCCGCTTGCTCGCCCATGGCCCCGGCCCGCACCTTGCGGTCCCCTCGCGTCTCCCAGCCGTCCTCATCCTCACGGCCCACACGGTCCCGGCCAGGCGCCGCGGGTGGCGCCATGCCCGCTCCGCCGGGGACGCGGCAGGGGCTAGGAGCAGCGGGGACGGGGAGCGGCGGGGACCGGAGTGCCGGCGCCCTCCGCTGCCCCGCGGCCGCCCAGCAGCAGCCCAGCCGTCCGCGCTCCTCGCGGCTTCCGGCCCGCCGCGGTCCCGCCCCTTTTATAGCCGCTTATTTGCATCTCAATGCGCCGATTGGCCGCGCGGGCCCGGGGCGGCCGACCGCGAGGCGCGCTGCAGCCAATCGGGGCAGCGCGCTTTGTCCGGCCCAGCGGCTCTGGCGGTCGGGCAGCTGGCTGAGCTAGGCGGGGCCCCCAGCCCGGCCTTCCCTAGACCCCCGCGGGGGCGGCACCGGGGCGGCGACCCCGGGTAGCTGCGGCCCTGCCCGCGCTTGTTTCTCTCCGTCTGCTGCTCTAGGACCACTGATCTGCCGCGCGTGCGAGCAGGCGTCCACCCGTCCGTCCGTCCGTCCGTCCACTCATTCATTCACCCATTAATTCATTCATTTCCCTCCTTCGCCGATGGCGCCTCCAGAGTTGAGCGCTGGGGCCACTGGCCCCAGGAGATGCGTCCCTGGTGTGCAGAGCCACAGTCAAGTCCGCGGTCTCTGGACCTAGAGGGGTTTCAGGTCCCGGCTGGGGTGGCTGCCAAGCCCCGGGGAGGCAGGGTCCATTGGGCAGCGGTGGCGGGGCGGCCCCTGAGTTTCTTCCGGACTCGTCCAGACGCCGGGCCGGACCCCCGACGCCGCCCTCCGCCAGCACTGGAGTCCTAGTGGGGCGGGGTCCCGGGTGCTCCCGCCCGCGCCGCTCTCCCCCTGGGCTCTGCGGGTCACCAGCCCCGCCCCCCTCTGAGCTCCCCCATCTCCCTCTAGTCCCCTTTGGCCCCCGGGGCCCCCTCCCTCCCTTCCACTGCCCCCCGCCCGCCTCCCTCCTCCCCTCCTCGTCCTCCGCGCCCCGCCTCCCAGGCCCGCCGAAGCTGCCGTCTGGTCCTGTAACTTGATGCCCGTGACAGTTGGCAGCTGCGGCCGCTTCGGCGGAGAAAAGCGAGAAAAGCGGCGGCCGCGCCAAGAGCGACAGGTGTTGGCCGCGCCTTT
This sequence comes from Homo sapiens, assembly GCF_000001405.40. Taxonomy (NCBI): domain Eukaryota; kingdom Metazoa; phylum Chordata; class Mammalia; order Primates; family Hominidae; genus Homo; species Homo sapiens. The sequence goes on from NC_000002.12 coordinate 238,240,995, forward strand.
GTCTCGCACCCTTTGTCCGGCGGGCAGGCGGCGGGCGCTTGTCCCGGCCAGACGCCCGCGACTCCCCCATCGCGGCGGGCCGCCCATCTGCTGGGTTCCTCTTGGCCGCGGGCGGGGTGCGTGGGCGGTGGGGCCGCGCCCTCGGGCAGCGTCCTGGGGACCCCTGCCCGGCTCCTGCCCCGGCGTCAGTCCAGACGCTGTGTGGAGGAGCCGGAACGGGAGACGCCTTCTCGGACCCCAGCCGGCCGACTACCAGCCTGCCCCGCACAGCACCTGCCTTCCTCAGTCCCCACTACTCACCCGGGCTGGGATCGTCAGGGTCTGTTCTGAGCCCCTCCAGGCTATAAGCGTCCCTGGACAAGGGCACAGTCTGACCTAGGACCCCCTGTCCACCTCCCCGCACCCCCAGCAGAGCCTGGCCTCACAGAAGCGCTGGTAGGTAGGGAAGGTGAGGGGTGGCCCTGGCAGGATGGGCTGGAAGGCCGCGTGGGAGGGGAACATCACGGGACCGCAGCAGCTGAGCGGAGCGGCAGGACTAGGCTGCAGACCGACCGCCCCACTGCCCCTAGAGAGGTCTGACAGGCCTCCCATGGCCCCTTTACTTGCGCCTCTCCACCAGAGGGACCCCTGCAGGCTTCCTGCTGGGTGAGTTTGGTGAGAGGTTTGAAAGCTCCCAAAGTCACCTCACTGACCTCTGTAATTACCTGGGACCCCCTCCCGCTGGCTCCCAACTGTCCCTGCTCTGGCTCTTGGTTGCTCTATGAGCAGGGTCCTGAGACTTCCCCCAGCCCAGCATCACTCACCTGGGTGTGAAACTACCGCTTTACTTCACACACTCCCCACCTGCCCAGTAGTGGGGCTGGCAGGGTGGGGCTGGAGTGGTGGATCCCAAGGAAGTGGATTATTAGCCTGTGACTTTACTCTCCTTCACCACTTAGACATCACCCCAGGGAAGGAGAACCTCCACTCCCCCAAGTGGCTACAATGACATTTCCACTACTTCGAGAAACTGTGATAGGGAAAAATAAACTCACTGATATTTCCTGTACTCCCAAGTTTGCAAACTGATTTACACTCCTCTCATTATCCAAACGAACAAGGCCAAGTAGATGTTTTAGGATGCTCTCATCCTAAAACATCTGCTTTATGTTAGGCAATTTATATTGCAACAGGATGATCAGGGCCCCAAAAGAGGACTTTGGGTAAAGCCTGACTGAACACTTGATTGGATGGGGAACTGGATTTGAGGGGCAAGGAGGACATGATAAAGGCAAATGGTGCAAGCAAAAAAAAAGAAAGAAAAGCAACTAGGAACTCTAGGAAAAACAAAAAGCTTCCCAAGAAATGTAATCTTAGCACATTACTTGGCTCAGGAGACAATTTTCACAGTCACAACAATGTAACAGTGTTCATAGGGTTTTAACATTTAGAATTAATCTATACAGAAGGCAAGGAAGGATTGTTTATGGTTATGGGACATGATATAAAGTTGACCTTGTAAAAACAAAAGGACAGGTGATAGGAGTTATGAGAGAGGAGGCTAAAGGGAGGACTAGGGACCTCAAAAGCCTTGTCTGACAGTGGAGTGGGTGGAGGGTTGAGGAATGCTGTCTAGAGTTGAGGGAGGGAGAAATTAAGCACTGGGATATGCCTCGGTGTGACCAAGGATCCTACAGGGAAAAGAGCTTAAGTAGAGAAGGCTGTACATCAGCAAAATCCTTCTTGGTTGGACTGGAAGTTGCCCAAGGTCCCCTCTGCAAGGTCAGCTTCAATTCCCTTTAGCGGTGCACTGGCCAGCTGGCATGGCCTTTTTGTCCCAGAAGCCTGGCCTATCTTGAGGTCACCAAGCCCTCCCTCCCTCCTTCACAGCAGCCTCCCCTAGCCAACACTTCCTGCCATTTGTCCCTTGGGCCAGTCCTGCCTTCAAAGTTTGCCTGAGTATGGACTTCCTGAGCATTTGAGTCCTTTGATCCCCCTAGAGCCAGGAACAGAGGCCAGCAGAGGCTGGGCAGGGTGGTGGTTGCTGCGGGGATACCAGTTAGCAGTGGGGGTGGCAGGCCATAAATCCCTGGGGGAACAAAGGCAGCTGCGGCCTGTAGACTGTCCAGGCCCCTTGTGGGCAATCTGCCCAGGAGACTCAGAGAATCTCCGTTTGGTTTGGAAATAAATCCCTTGGGGTTATATGGTAAATAAAAATACAATTAAGAGTCTTCCAAAAGCACTCAGGTTCAGTGAAACAACCATATCTGGCCATTTAGAGCAGTTTGCAGAGGCCTCTGTGCTCGCTAGGGAGGACTTTGCCTTTTATCCCATCAGCACTTGGCGTTAGGCAGCCAGGCTAGCAGGCAGAGGAGAGCCCCTCCCTTCTGCTCAGGGAGCTTCTCAGAGGCTGGGCATTGGGTTCAGGATCCATTCAGCTCTCTGCTCCCACCCCCAGGGTCATGGTTTGAAGAGTGGGAGGGATGGGGAGCAACTCTTCGGGCTTCCACAGTTTTGGCCTCACAAGGCTTCATTCATCACTGTGAAAGAAGGGCTGGGGTCAGGGGACTATGCCGCCCTGCCCATATCATTCGCAATGGAGACATGTGACCTTCCTGGTGGAGCCTCCTGACCGCCCCACCTTTAGCCCTACCTAGCCCGATGACCAGAAGACAGGCAGCCAGCCTGGAAAGGCCAGGTAACCCAGGGCAGGGATGCAGGGAAGACAGAGGTGCGTGGAGGCAGAGCTGGGGGCACTCTGGGGCTGAGCCAGACAGCTGCACCCCTCCAACTAAAAGTGAAAAGACTGTGGGGCATGACACGATTAGGTTTGCATTACGTGAGTTCACTCCTGCAGCCTGAAGGAGGGTGTGTGTGTGACACGCACAGGAAGAAAGGGAGCCAGCAAGAAGCAAACGCTATAAGGGAGCTGACCGCCAGGAGGCCTTTGGGATGTAAGATTCTTTAATGCAGAATTCCTGGAGTTCTTTAAAAAAATTTTTTTTAAATAATCTTTGCTCTCTATTCAGGTTTTCCTTTGTGCTATGTGAAAAATACATACAAGTAAAAATAAAAATATACTTGCTTTATTTACCAATTTTCTAAAAGGCAAACAGGTCATAAAAAGACACAAGCAGTCAAACAAATCTATTGCACTGGGTAAAGAAAGTTTGGTTTGCACACAAACAAACCACTTGTCCAGCAAGGCTCAACAAATCATCACAGAAACTCTGAGAGCTTATTTACATATCTCTTCGGGAATATATTAAAAAGAAGGCTCAGTTTAAAATAGAGAAAAACTGTTTAACACCTGTGTAAGCACACACACTAAAGAAAACATGACTTGATGCTTGGCATCACGTAAACAAATTCACAAGATGATCCTATTAAGTCAACTGCTTGGCACGCGCTGAAGCTACAGTTAACAATCAGTGAGCACATATTAAATGATAAAATAATGCTGATGGTAAACATTCATAACAGCAGAGTAAGATTTTGGCAGTTTTGTGTTTCGGTAACATAACTGTAACCTTAGATGAACACCTATCCCTTCATGATCTGACTTTAGAGGCAAGGAGTTTGTAACATCTAATGGCCATAAGAATGCAGACTGCTACCTTATCATAGGCATAGGCAGCTGATGTTACTTTGTAAATTAACGAAAAATTAAAGTGTTCTTGTGTTTATGAAGAATAGGTTTAATAGTCAGGCATAAGATGGTTTTACGATGAAAACCTAGTGGATTACAAAGAGATTTCACCTCCATCAAAAAACAGAAAACCCTGGTCCCAGTTGGGCGTGGTGGCTCACGCCTGTAATCCCAGCACTTTGGGAGGCCGAGGTGGGTGGATCGCTTGAGGTCAGGAGTTCGAGACCAGCCTGGCCAACATGGTGAAACCCTGTCTCTACTAAAAATACAAAAAATTAGCTGGGTGTGGTGGCAGTCGCCTGTGGTCCCAGCTACTCAGGAGGCTGAGGCAGGAGAATCGCTTGAACCTGGGAGGCAGAGGTTGCAGTGAGCCAAGATGGCGCCACTGCACTCCAGCCTGGGCAAAAAGAAACTCCATCTAAAAAAAAAAAAAAAAAAAAAAAAAAAAGAAAACCCTGGTCCCTTTTAAGCCTCATAGTCTTGGTCCAATTTTAAGTCAACTGTTCTTCAGTGATAACTTTGAATTTCCACCAGGGACCAATATTAAATTTTCTGAACCATCTTTGGAATATACAATGCAACATGAGGTTTTGTAAAAAGCCGGGCAGACTGGCCTCACTTTTCCCCAAGTGTCCAAATGACCTAAAAGTGCTGGGGACACTGGCAGAGGCCTGAAGCTGCTCCGAGAGAGGTCGGGCTCATGAAAAGAATGAGGGCTGTGCACCCAACCCAGGGTGCAGTGGGAGAGGTGAGCTCACTGCACCCCTGAAAATACAGATGCAGTCGCAAGCTGTCAGACTGAGTGGCAGTGGCTGCTCTCGGCCAGGAGATGTGATGTGGGCTTGGCTGGGTGGAAGCAGATGTCTGGGTGGTTCCAACGGAAGAAAACCAAACAGGACTGGGTCTCACATGTGTTGGTCACAGCCTGGTTTGCAAAGGGAAGTCACCATAAAGAGATGACTGATGACATATTTTAATCTCCATATTGGCCATCATGGTCTGAAAAGGAGACAAGAATAATGCAGAAATATACAGAGGGTCTGTCTGCGTGTGCATTCATCCGATGGAGTTGGCCACACAAACCACTAGGCTTCTTTAGTCCAGAGCAAATGTTTCAACTTTGTTCACTACAAACAAAACCTATGTCAGACTGAAATATTGACCACACCAGAAGCCAAAGCTGTTGGTTTGCCAAACAACGCTTCACACCATTTAATGTGAAACGTTTTGAAATAAAACTAGGAGAGGCTGCTATCTCCATTTGGTATGTATAAAAAAACACTCTACCTTGACTAAATGATAATTCAGATAAAAAGCAGTCCCCAAGAGAGGACAAAATTTGATCTGATCCAAACACCCTGGGAAAGCTCTGGAAGCCAGAGTCCCCAGCTGGTGCAGCAGACAGAGGTCTCGTCACAGTCACAGGACTTCTGGGAGCACTGAGGCAACTTCCCTGACACTAAGAGGCGCTTAGTCTTTCTCAAGTTAAATAACAACTAAAATCTCTTCCCCATCCCACAAAACTCCACATATATATTTTATATATAAAAACATATTTCTTTCCGAACTCTCCCCACTCTCCACAGTTTTAAGTCGCCCCTTCAGAAAACTATGTTGTTTTTTTTTCTAAAACAAAAAAAGCAACATGAGCATATGTGTCCATTTCAGTGGAAACAGCCATGAAGATCTTTCATCTCTTCCAAGCACCACCTGGTGTACCTCGCTGGCTGCCGGGCTGAGGTGGGGCAGGGGTTACGTCTGCTCTTCGATCCTGTGATTCAAGGGGGATCCATTTTCGTCTTCTTTGGTGTCCGACACTTCGCTGAGTCCCAGAGAAGGAATATCTTCCTCATATGGTATGCAAATATTACCTTTTTCCTTGTTTTCACAGTAAACACATTCCTTAAAAGAAAAAAAAAGAGAAATCAGTAACAAACTTGAGATCTGAGTTGTTACAAAAGTCATTCAAATTGGCCGGGCGCGGTGGCTCACGCCTGTAATCCCAGCACTTTGGGAGGCCGAGGCGGGCAGATCACGACGTCAGGAGATCGAGACCTTCCTGGCTAACACGGTGAAATCCCATCTCTACTAATAATACAAAAAATTAGCTGGGCGTGGTGGCAGGCACCTGTAGTCCCAGCTACTTGGGAGGCTGAGGCAGAAGAATCGCTTGAACCCTGGAGGCAGAGCTTGCAGTGAGCGGAGATCACGCTACTGTGCTCCAGCCTGGGCGACAGAGTGAGACTCTGTCTCAAAAGATAAAAAGTCATTCAAACTGAGTAAGGTGCAGGTGACCAGGTGTCAGCCAGGAGGTGGCTGGCAGCAAAGGCCAAAATCCCTGTCCCAGGAGCTGGCACTCTAGTAGCAGAGAGAGACAATAACTAAGAAGGGCTCCAGAGGCATAGGGTATATAGAGGACATCTGTGATTTTCAACTGGACATTCACAGCAGGCCAAAGAAAAGGTGACGCAATGATTTTGAAACGTGTCCACACTCTTTGCCACTCCTTCCTCAAAAGGTGGGGCCTAATTCCTTTCTCCTTAAACCTTGGCTGGACTTAGGCATTTGCCTCTAACAAAGAGTACCTGACTTCTGATTCTAGGTCCTAAAAGGCACCTTGGCTTCCTCTTTTCCTCTCTGGGGAAGTCACCTGCTACACTGTGAGGACATCCAGGCAGCCCTACGGAGAGGTCCCCATGGCAAGGAGCTGAGGCCTCTGCCAAGAGCCAGCAGTGTGTGAGAGGCCTGCAAGTGAGGCTCCTGGAAGCCGGTCCTCCAGCTGGCAGGTGACAGAAGCCCCCACCAGTATCTTACCGTCAACATCAGGAACGACCCTGAGCTAGAAGTACCCAGCTAAGCCGCTCTCAAATTCCTGACCCAAAGAGACCGTGCAAGGTAATACAAGTTCATTGTTGAAGTCACTAAGCGTTGGGGCCATCTGCCATGCAGCAGCAGATTACTAATGCAGCAGCGGGTGGAAAACAGACTCTAAGGCAGCCAGGGTGAGCCACGGGTCTATTTCAGGAAAAAGGATTCCAAGCAAAGGGCTGGGCATGTGCGAAGATCCTGTGGCAGGGGCCTGCCAGGGCAGTCGGGGAAACAGCCAAGGGGCCAGTGTAGCTGGAGAGGAGGGAAGGAGAGGAAAAATGGGAGATGAGGTAGAAGATGTGGATAGGTGGTCAGATGTGTATGGCTTTGCAACCATTTATTCTGATTGAGGTGGCACAGTGCTGGCAGGAATCTGAACTGTCACCGGAGGTGACACAGGGAGCAGTGAGTGCAGCTTCGAGGCCACTCTGACATCCAGGGTTCATGCCATGGAAGCATCCTCATGGCTTGGACCTGTGTGGTGATGGGCTTCATCTACCTTCAAGGTTAAACCCAGACAATCTGCCAACCCACCAGCTGGGGCCTGATAAGTAGAGCCCAGGATGCCTCCAGGGCTTGCAGGGTGCAGGTGGGGAAAAGAGGTGCAGACACTGAGCCCGAGGGTGGGCAGAAGAGGAAGAGCCTGTGGGGAGGCCAAGAGGTCAGAGGGACAGCCTGAAGAGCACAGGGCCTGGAGACCAAGGGCAGCAAGAGCTCCCTGGAGAGAGCCGCTCACTGCTGCCAATGGTCCCTGGGACGAGGACTGAGAAGTGACACTGTGTTCGGCTGCTGGAGAACTTGAGACCTTGACAAGAGCAGCTTCCACGGTATGTGGGAGGGAGGGGTCGGCAGAGAGCAGGAGAGAGGGGCTGGAGTGCCCACAGGGCCGCTGGAAGGACATGTGCCTGAGAGCACGCCAGCAGGAACTTGTTTTTTCCACCATTATTTAATGTTCTCCAGGGACACTGAGGGTTTGTGACAGGAGAGGGTTTTTTTTTGTAAAATAGAAAACAGAATTGAAAGAAAGAAAAAACAGATTTCAGCAAGTGACTGAGATTAGATTTTTCAGCCTTTTTGGAAACAACATTGAAAAGCCACTGGAGAAAAGTTCTTTGAAGTGGACCTAGTGCTGTGCCTTTAAAAACATAAACCTTTAATTTTAGAAATTTTTTTTTTTTTTTTTGAGACAGAGTCTTGCTCTGTCGCTCAGGCTGGAGTGCAGTGGTGCCATCTTGGCTCCCTGCAAGCTCTGCCTCCGGGGTTCCCGCCATTCTCCTGCCTCAGCCTCCTGAGGAGCTGGGACTACAGGCGCCCGCCACCACGCCCAGCTAATTTTTTGTATTTTTAGTAGAGACGGGGTTTCACCGTGTTTGCCAGGATGGTCTCGATCTCCTGACCTCGTGATCCACCCGCTTCGGCCTCCCAAAGTGCTGGGATTACAGGCGTGAGCCACCGCGCCCGGCCTAATTTTAGAAGTTTTAAATTGACAGAAAAGTTGCAAAGACAGTACAGAGAATCCCCATCACAGAGCCTTTTAGGGCCATATCAGAAATCGAGTCCCGTGAGCTTACTGCCACGTCGATGGCTGCGGGCAGGCCGCCCGTCTGCATCCACTGGTGGACCTCGCGCAGCTCCTGCTTCTGACTCTCCGTGAACCTGGGCTGGAGTTTCTGTAGGAGCTTCAGCTTCTCTCTGTCCTCCTTCAAAACCGCTTCTAAATTTCTTCGCAAGATATTTAGAAATCGGTAAGCTTTCAAATGTCTTAAGGGTATCTATTTTTATTCTTTCAGAATAATGTAGTTTTAGATGATTTTGTTTAATGCAAATTTCCTTTTCTTTAAAAAAATTTTCATTTAAGGTAACTTAATCTCCCTAGTAAAGAACCCGTAGTTTTTCTATGAAAATGATGATTCTGGTCAAGATTTAATTTTTCTGTATTTTACAATAGGCCTGGGAGCTGCGTATCTGCAGGTGTAACCTTGTCCCCTGGGGCTCAGGTCCACACAGGCATGGTTCATCTGGGAGATTCTTGCCAGCAGGACGGCATTCCCCTGCCACTGGCCTGTGCTGGGCTGGACTACAGCTGCCCTGGAGATGGAGCCCCCATATCCACTAGCTGACCAGAGGACTTAGGGGTTTGATATGGTTTGGCTCTGTGTCCCCACAAAAATCTTATCTGGAACTGTAATACCCATGTGTTGAGGGAAGGACCTGGTGAGGGGGGACTGGATCATGGGGGCGGTTCCCCTACGCTGTCCTGGTGATAGTGAGTTGTAACGCGATCTGATGGGTTTATAAGTATTTGGCAGTTCCTCCTTCGCTTGTGCTCTTTTCCTGCTGCCTTGTGAAGAAGGTGCTTGCTTCTCCTCCCTTCCACCATGACTGTAAGTTTCCTGAGGCTTCCCTGGCCCCGCAGGACTGTGAGTTAACTAAACCTCTTTCCTTTATAAATTACCCAATCTCAGGTATTTCTTTACAGCAGTGTGGAAACAGACCTACACAGGGTTCATTTTTCCTTCCTTTCTTTCCTCCCAGCTTCCCATGCCAAGCGGGTGCTCCGCAGGGGAAGGGACCACATGCAGTTCCCTATGGCAGCCTGATGTGGACACAGAGCCCCGGGTCACTGCAGAGCAGCCCGCTCCCTGGGCTGGTCACCTACCTTGACACTTGGTTCCTTCAAGTCTAAGTCAGACAGCCAGATACACCCCATTTACCTCACAGGGTTACTGGGCAACAAAGCAAGAGATGCTGGCACCAATGCTTTGTGAAAATTGAGCATGGCACTGTGAAGGAGGCACCAGGAGCCTGTCTTCCTCGAAGGCTGTAGGGTGTGAATCCACATGGCCCCGGCTTATCCTGGCCACACTGCAGGGCCAGGGCCACCCTGTACTAGCCTGGCAGAATTGTCCAGAGGGAAGCCTGCTTCTCTGCTGCACTCAGCTAAATCTAAGTCTTTCAGAGGGGCGTCCCGCCCCATCTGAATGACCTTGACCTTGTTGTTTCTGGGAGCTCCTGAACCCCATCCCTCCCCAGGTGCCTAGGAAAACGCTGGGTGGTTACCGGGAAGGCAGCTGGTACGTCATCATGACGCTGCTGTCCGCATCTGCCATCAGCAGCCAGATGGGATCCTGCAGGACGCACTTAATGAAATGCTCACTTTCTTCCATACCAGTGTTCATTTTTGCTTTGTGATTATTCTCTGAGGAGTCAATGCTTCCAAAATATTTGCTGGTATGACTTGTGTCACTACTGCCTTTAAAAACAAAAAACGTGGTGCGTCAAAACATTGACATATGAAATTAAACCTTGCATAATGTGCTTCCTCAAAGTCAGAATGATTTGAGAGAGCCCAGTGCCTTCTTAGGTATTGGGTATCTATGCCGGTGCATGTTCCCCTTCTCTCCCACTTCTTGAATGCTCTGGGTAATTAGGAAACAGGATCTCTGCTAGTGCCATGCAGGCGATTCTTTCCTGTGAAGCCCTGAGCAGCTCAGGTGGAGCTGCGTGTTAGAAGCCTTGACCTTCTCTCCCAAGCTCTCACCATCTCCACTCATGTGGACCACAGGGCACTGCAGTTTCCCACAAGGGGAGGCAGCTGGCCTGGAGCGCTCCCTAGCCAGCCTCACCTGTGCAGCACGCCTGCGAAGGGAGGCGAGGTGAAAGCTCACTCCAGAGAAGTAGGGGAGCTTCAATTTTGTGGAGAGTGTGTACATTTCTGGTGCCTGAGATTCCAGATCACATGTGAAAGATCCCAGCGGGTAGAGGCTTGCAGGTGCTCCATACCCTCAGTTCACACAAGTGGAACTAAAGCAGGAAGGCAAACCACTATCTGGGGAGTCAGAGGGCTGGTCCCACAAGGAGCCAGGGTGTGAGGCCTGTAGGCACTGAAATCAGAAGCAAACAGGGAGGATGTGGAATTCTGACTAGCTAGGGCCAGCCATGCTGAACAGGGAGAGTGTGTCTGTGTGGGTGTCTGCATGGGCTCTGACAGCTGCTTGGGGAGTGCCGGTGATCCCTGTTCTGAGCACAGAGGCCGGCCTGTGACTCTGGAGCAGTGCATCCTGCAGGAACCTCCCAAGTGCCTAACACCCCGCCAGGGCCAACATACCTGCCCCACTCGGGGAGGCGTCGCAGCCCAGTGAGCCGGAGCCCAGAGACTCCGAAGCAGCAGAGCCCGAGGCTGAGCAGAGGTCCTCATTCAGCAGGAGGTTTAGGAGGCCGCTTGACGTGGAAAGGGCGTCACTGTTCTGTGTGTCTGAGGGTTCATCACGCTTTAGGGACAGGAAGCAGATACTGCTGTTCAGGGGCTCAGTCAGGACACAGCATATGCAGCGGGGTGGGGGTGGGGGGCATGAGTGGGGTGAGGGTGGAGGGGTGCTGTGGAGCGGCTGCAAGGTTCACGGCCAGGGACGGCCTAACGAGCAGACCACGCATCACCACCAGGCCTACGGTGCAAATTCCACTGATGCTCTATGGATGCCGTCTAGTTACATTTAATTTTCGGAGAGTCACATGGAAGACGGCAATACCTGGGCTCCAGGGGGGAAAGCCTCAGGCTGCTCCTTGGCCACAGCCCCCTCCTCACATGCAGCAGACATGGATGGGGAAAACGCCTCTCACAGCACCCGGTGTGGGGGCTGCCTTGGGATTGAGGGCGGGGCCTGGCCTGGGGAGCATCCCTGACCCTCCTCTCCTTGGAAACCCAGACTGCAGGCCCAGGACTCCAGAAGCAGGAGCCCGGAGGTGGCAGGAGGACTGGGAGAAGCTCCACAGATCTACATGCTTGCACTTCCTCACCCGGGAGCCCTAGGTCCTCTGGCCAAGGCAGGGAATCGCCTGAGGCCTACGGACTGCACTGCTGCTGGCGTTCCCACACACTTGAGCTCGTTCAGAAACACAAGCGTTTAACTGCAAATACAACTACCGTTTCATTAACTGGTTAAGAATCTCACACAGTGTCCCTACGCCTGCGGAGGATGGAAACTGAGGTCACGCTGGTTTTAGGGCTGTGTCCCCCTCCTTCTCCGCCTTCACCGGGGCCACCTGAGCCAGGCTCCGGCGCCACACCCTGAGGAGCCCTAGCTCTGGTATTTAACCTGACTGTGCTTTATCTCTGAAGCGTCATTTAAAAAGTCGAAGCCCACAAATACTGTCAAGTCACATGCTGCTTTCTGGAGTCTGTATCACAATCTCTCCTCCTTCATTCAGATTCCACGACAATAAAAGGCTTCGAATAATCTACTCTGATAGGATTAAGTGGGAAGCATGAATTTCTGGCACACACATTCATGGCAAAACCTACAGGGTTTGGTGGAAACCTCAATCGTGTAACCCCCATGTCTGAACTGAGGATGTGCGGCCGGCCTGCCAGGTGTGCTGTTTGCTGCCTGCTTTGGGGAAAGAGCATCAGAAAATCCTTACGGTCAGAGGCGCCTTCGGCTGCTGGTCCCGAGAAGTGCCAGGTTTGCAGTCCGCCCCTACAGCTGCTGTCTCTGTGGCCCCTGTGGTCCCCATGGCTCCAGTGCCACCCTCAGGGGCTTCCTCCAGCTGCAGCAGGTTGAGCTGCAGGGGCGAGCTGCTGCGGGACTGAAAGAGCGGTGGGGAGGCCCTACCCATGGCCGATGGTGGGGTGGCCCGGGTGGCTGGACAAGCACATGGCTGTCTGGGGATCGAGGTCCGGCTGGGGAACTCAGGCTGTGAGGCAGAGGCCATCTCGGATGTGAGTGTGGGGTGGCTCGGAAACTGAGGCTGGCTGGGGAAGAAGGCCTGGGGCAGGTTTGGGGTCCCCGAGGGGAAGGAATAACTGGGTAGCATGAATGCCATGACAGGCGCCAAAGGGGCAGGGAAAGGTGGGGGCTGGACTGCAAACTGGTGCTGGAGGTCCACGGGCACAGCAGGCACTGTGAAGCTGGCGTGGGGAGGTGCCGGGGGTGCTGCCACAGTCCCTGGCGCTGGAAACACGGGCAGTGAATAAGCTGCTGGCACTGGGGCGGGAAAGGGCACGGCTGGGCAGCTGGACTGGGACGTGTCTGAGGGTGACCAGGCTGTGGCGTTCAAGCCCACCAGCGGGGGCCGGGCGGACACGGGCCCCCCAGATCCGGTGCTCTCAGATGAGTCTCGAGGTTTGACCCGCTTGGACTTCAATTTTCTGTTCTTTCCTGTTTTTTTCCAAGGTGAATCTATTCCGGAAGTATTTCTTAGTCCAGGGGCAGCTAATGCAGAAAAACAAATACTCGGAGTTAAAATTTTAACTCCAAATTTGAAGACACCTCTTCGTTCAACAGTCCTGGGTTTCCAAATGCTGGCCCAGGGCCTGCCTGGTCCACCGAGCGGTTTTCCCTGATCCTCAGTGAAGTGAGAAAAATCAGGGCAAAACATCAGGTTTTTCCATAAAACTAAATTGAATCAACTTAAATTACAAGCTCTTAATTGCAGGACACATTCCTTATTTTCTTCTGGTATTAAATGTCCTTTCTTTTATGAAATGCTAATATGATAAGTGGTAATACAAAGTTCTATTTGTTAAATAAATACACTAAAAAGCTGTCATGTCTCTGCTGTTCCCCAGTATTTGGGGGAAAAATTGGTTAGTGAAATCTGAACGGGAGAGCCACTGACCTCCTCTATTTTTCAATTTATAAGCACTGTCACTACTGTTCCTTAAAGAGGGATGTTTCCTCTTTCACCTGTCAAACAGCCTGAGCAAGATCAGAGGGGAGCATTGCCTTGCAACCAAATTCTTCCTCTGCAATAACGAGTGCTGCTGAGTAAGGCATTCTTCAGGAAGATGGAGGGACTCAATTGGTAAAGGAGGGACTCTGGGTATGTCCCCATGGCCTCCCTGGGGAGTGGGAGGGGGATCCAGGGAACTTTGGTTTTCCTCTCACATCACGCGGAGTGACTTGGGGCTCTTGCAGCAGGTGTCTGGGACATCTGTCAGCTGTGCCAAGGCAGTCCCATGCCTTTGGGATGTGCTGAAGGGAAATGGGCTAGTCCAAGGCAAACTCCTATGTAAATGGAGGTTTTGCAATTCAGCCTCTCTATCTGGTGTTCTTCTCACAAGAAATCTGTCCCCTGGTGGGAACAGTGGCTAAAGCACTGGGCTCCTGGGATGTCATGTCTGGGTCTGGCAGGGCTGCCCTAGGCAGCTCTGTAGTCTGTGCACTGCATAAGGCTACAGAGTTGTCTAGGGGGCAAGCAAGAGCGGGAACTCTGCACTAGGCTGGTCCCATGGGGTGGGTCTGCTCATGGCCATGGAGTACACCTTTTTCTAATTTCTACAGAGGTTCTCTATGGGCTGGCAGTAACTCTTGAATCTGGGGAAGAAGGAGAGAAAGGAAAGAGTGGAGAAGACATAATCCTCAAGGAAGCTGTGGGCTTAATTTCTTACAAATTTCCCTTGGTGCGTCTGCCCAGAGACCCGGGGGAGCTGGGTCCTTGTGGTGAGTGGCTTCCTGGGCTCACTGGCTCTGATCCCTGTGCCAGCGTCCCAGGGGGAAGGGAAGAGGCCCCATCTCTAACAAGTGTCTGGGGGTATGGGAAGGAACTGGGGGATCAGGAGCCAGACTTCTGGGCCAGGAAAGGGGTGAAGAAGCTCATCTATTTTACTTCATCCCTTGACCTTCAACCCCCCAAGTGGCACCTGGCCTACACAGCAGCTTCCCACACCATGACCATGGACTCTGCCTGACTCTGGAGTCCAAAGCCCAGCCCTGAGGCTGGCCCAGTCAGGAGGGTGCATCTCCTGGGGAGAAGGGCACCAGAAATGGTACATCCCTCCTTCCTCATGTGCCCAGCACTACATGCCCACTATCTTGAGGTTGAATTCGCTGATTCTCTGGAGGTCCCGTCCAGGTGGGGCCCCTGCCCACATGGTTACTCAGGCAAGAAATGTGGACATGGCAGCACTGCCCTGCCATGGTTCTTCCCACCTCGGGCACTAGCCTGGGACTATTCCCCAGGGAATGCAAGCTGACATCCCGAGAGCACCCCCCCGGTGGGAAGTTCTACAGAAACAGATGGCGTTGCCAGGGAAGTTCCAACAGCTGTCTTATATGTTAATGCTTCTGAAACTGGACACATTTCACATTTTGAAACCAGCACTGGACTCAGTACCAACAGGAATAAAGTTTTTTAAAACGCACTTTTAATTCGGGTATCACTTACTTCGTTCACTTGGCTGCCCCTTGGATCTTTCTTGCAAGTAGTAATGGCAGTGGGACTGGAAAATGCTGAGTTTTCTTATTTCTTTGAACTTCTGCAGGAAGCTCTGCTCCTCCTTCTGTGTGTGTGCAGCGAGTACCTCCTTGGTGAGGCCCAGCTTCTTGAAGGGCTCCTTCTCTTGGCTGAGACCACAGGCCAGGGCAGGGCCCGCCAGGCAGTCCAGGGATTCTGGCCCACTCGCAGCATCTTCCACCATCTCTGTAACACAAGAACCCAGGGCTCTGGTCCACACGTGCCCTGTTTATTATTTTAAGGCCACACTATATTCACGAACAAGACAAATCATTCACGTATAAAGTAATTTCATGATGCCTGTGGCATGAGGATGAGACTCACAGCGTTTTCATTTAGCTTTCTGAGAAAGTTCATGGCAAAAGGCAAGAAGCAGAGCAGGACAGCCCTGACAGCCAGGTGCTCAGGAACCTGGGGCTGAACAAACGGAAACGTGGGGAACCTTGGGCTTCAGCTCTGCTGCTGAAGATATCCCTCGGCTGTCCTTAGCTTTCAGAACACCAGAAACTTGGATCAACGTGCTGAGTCTTTCCGGGTTTGGGACCAGGCATGGTGATAGATGGGACCCTATGGGCCCATGGGGCAGACAGGACAAGGGACAGGCAGGGCCACTGACCATCCTGAAAGGGAGGGCTTGGGGACTGGATCTTGGACATACACTTTTTCCTTATCATTTCCCTCTTCTTAGTAAAGAACAAATTCAGGATTCATTTTAATCATAATATTCTAAAGAACAAGAACACTCAGCCACCAATGCGCTCATTGTAAATCTGTTTACCACCTGTACTGGCTCCTGTCCACAAACAGGGAGAGCTAACGGTCGCACCTTCTGCTGGGCAGAGGAAAGAACCCCAGGCCTGCCCAGGGAAGAGGGAGGTGGGGCCTCGCTCCCAGTGCTCTCCGCACCAATTAAAGGGGATAAGATCTTGCACCACAATCAACCCTCCTGCGTTGATGCCAGAACAGACAACTGCCACTGGAGGGCACCACAGGGCAGCAGAGACCTGGACAGGTTGCTGCCTGGGCCCTGGCTGGCCGCACTCCACCCTGCATTTTACGTAACTGGATTTCCTGAAACGCCCCCTATCGGGCTATGGTGGAGTTCTTCTGCACTTAGAAAAATTTAAGATGGCAAACTTCTTGTTTTCATGGTTAAAAATCAAACTGCTCTCTGATCCAAGAGCCCATAGTCATACCTAACTCCGGCTGCGGCTTCTTGTCTCCCACATGGACGATGGTGCTGCTGTAGCTGCACTGGCTGGTGAGCGACGCCACACTCTCTGCCTTGCCCGGCAGTGCCAGCGAGGTCAGGTGCGTACCTACTCCCGTGCGGCTGTTCACCCTGGAGGGCGGCTCTGCCTCTTCATGAGAGGAAGGGGGAACAAACATTAGTGTGTCATTACAATGCACTGTGCAGATGAGAAACCGACACCCAAGTGCCCATACAGCTTCCACACCAGGGTGCACACAACCCATCCCATCCCATCCCACAGATGCTCTGGCCCAGGCATGGGGTGATTTGTCCCCAATGTTTATTCATAGAAGAATAGTGGAAAAGAGAAAGTTCTGAAATGGGAGCAGTTACACACTTAAATCCTGAGGCCTCTGCAGGGAGGCGCAGCAGCTTGGCAGCTGCAGGGCACACTTGGTGAGGGGCTCTTGCCTGCAGCCAGGCAGCCCTTCTGCAGGCCTGTGGGGAGGGGCTTTCCGACAGTCAGGAGCCAACCATAATCCGGGATACCCTGTTTCTTTCTTTTTTCTTTTTTGAGATGGAGTCTCGCTCTGTCACCCAGGCTGGAGTGCAGTGATGCAATCTTGGCTCACTGCAACCTCCGCCTGCCAGGTACAAGCCATTCTCCTGCCTCAGCCTCCCAAGTAGCTGGGATTACAGGCATGCACCATGATGCCTGGCTAATTTTTGTATTTTTAGTAGAGATGGGGTTTCACCATGTTGGCCAGGCTGGTCTTGAACTCCTGACCTCAAGTGATCCACCCACCTCGGCCTCCCAAAGTGCTGGGATTACAGGCGTGAGCCACCGCGCCCAGCCGGGGTACCATTTCTAATCCTGGTGGTGAACATCAGCAACACTGACAGCGTTGTGTTAAGCAGCCTGGGATTTAATGTGATTTATGGGCCATGTTAACATTCAGGCCAAGGGCCCCTCTGAGACACACTGGAAAGAGGGCCTGCCCTAGACTGACAACTTGAGACCAGTGTGGCTGCATGAGGGGGTCAGCAGACGGCCCCTCAGTGTGGCCGCATGAAGGGGACCAGGAGATGTCCCTGCAGTGTGTCTGCATGAGGGGGGTCAGGGGACGGCCCCAGGCCTCCAGTAGCCCCACTGGCTTCCTGTTCTCAAAGCCAAGGCTCTGACAGAACCATCTTTGCCTCTAGTTCCTAAGAAGGGTGCTGACTTTTGAACTACTTTCATCATTTGAAAAACAGCCTACACCCTTACACTGTGTCCACAGAAGCCATGGGGACGTCTGACTCTACTCCAGAGGATTTACATTATTTCACATGTACATGGCTCTACACAGATTAGATACCTCCAGCGTGTGGCCCTGGGCTGACTGTGGCCTTCCGCTTATCACTGGACCTTAGCGCTGGGACGTTTGCTGGGAACTCGCATTTCCTCTTCAGGGTGGCAGCCTCATTGCAGCTCTCCAAGTACCTGTGTGAAAGGCATGAACCACTGGTGAGGCCACACAACATGAGAGGAGGGAAGGTGTGTGAGATGGTGGAGACTCGGCTGGAAATGCCGGCATACCTGATGACGCTGTCCAAGCAGCTGATCTGCTGGTAGGAGCAGGTGGGCTGGTTCTTGCAGGCCAACTCCTCGGGGAAGCTGACCCCCAGGCTGTCCTTTTCCATGGCAGGGACAGCTTTCTTCTCAGCTGGGGGATTAGTTTGCATTTCTGAAGGAATGGCAAAATTGTTCTTTCATTCATTTTTCTCCCACAGAAAACGCTGTGTATTTACAAAGCATTTTCGTTCTACCTGAAGACAGGGCTGGGGACTCAGAATCTGCTTCATGAGTATGGAAGCCTGGGGACAGCCTGGCATCTGGCAGCCCTGTGGGCACGAGCACCACAGTGCCGTCCACAGAGAGACCTGGGGGGGGAGCTGCTGCCCAGCCTGGTGTCTGCTTCTCTCTGGGGTCTAGGCTGTCCCCAGGGGTCAGGGACTCAGCAGTGGGAGACAGCAGTTCTCACTTGAACTCTTAAACTTTCAGGGCCAATGAGAGCCCACGTACTTTATGCTCCTCCTGGGCCAGGCCAGTGTTTTCAAGGTGATCCCTGCTAGTAACAATTATGATGACAACTGCCTGCTCACTGTGCTGCAGATTCGACTCTTGCCCCAACGACATTCATCACATGCCTGTCCCCTAGGGACCCTCAAGCAAAGAGCTGTGTCCAGCTCATTAGCGTGTCCCCAACACCCAGCACAGAGTCCAGCAGGCAGCATGTCCACCAACACATCCCCAAGGCCAAAAGTCCTAGCGGTGTCTGGCCAGAGTGTTCCCCACGGGAGGCTTCGGCCTGAGCACAGAGAATGAGCAAGGGCCCACCAGGGGGAGGGGACTGGGATGCATGCATGTGTGCACACGTGTCTGTGTGCATGCTGTGTGAGAAATACATGCGGGACAGAGGAGCAGCATGAATCTGAACCCGCGCATGACACTGTGAAGCTGCCTGGGAAGTGTGGCGCTGTGGTAGGAAAGGGCTGCTGCAGTGGGGGTGGGTCGGCAGCCCCTGGGTGGTACTCCCCACTTCAGACAGGTTTGGTTTGAGTGTATGTGGATGCTGGGCAAACCGTCGGCAGTTGTGTGTGTGTGTGAGTGAAGGGTTTGCAAGTGTAAACACACAGCCATACAGCTACTCTGTACAGCAAGAACAAGCGGCCCAGGCCGTGGCTCCCAGGCACACCCTGCTGGCAGGCCAGGGTGCAGGAAGGCACACTGGTCACAGCTCCCCAGGCCTGCACACCTAGCCACACCCCGCCAGGCCTGCAGGGCATCAGGTGCCCAGTGTGGACATCAGTGCCTGCACTGGCTGAGTGCAGGACTGGGCTGCTCTCGCCTCTTGGAAGCTGCAGACTGTGCTGAACGCAGAAGGGGGTGTGACACGGCTACAAGGTAGACTCCCTGCCAGCCAGAGTCAGCATTTAACCCAGGTTCCCTCTTCTCATGTGGCCATACTCTAGTTTCAGTAAGGAAATGTTGAATATTTTTTTTTTTACCTGTAACGGATTTTTTCTTTTGTTCTCCAGATTCATGAGAATAATGACTTCTATTTTTGGTCTTGTTACCATTTTTACAAATTTCCTTGAAGAAAAACAAAATGAACACATTATTCATTCTAGGAGACCTCCTTCAGTCTGTCCGGCAAAGTGAGAACAGAGGATGGCTGAAATAATTTCAGCAACACAGAAGGAAACTGTGGATGAGAAATCTGACAGGTGTAGAGCTAGATAAAACCTATTTGATGATCCTAAAGAATAATAAAAAATAAAGCAAAACGGCACATTACATTTTTTTTTTTTTTTAAGACAGAGTCTTGCTCTGTCACCCAGGCTGGAGTGCAGTGGCGCAATCTTGTCTCTCTGCAACCTCTGCCTCCCGGGTTCAAGCCATTCTCCTGCCTCAGCCTCCCGAGTAGCTGGGATTACAGGGGCGCGCCACCATGCAAGGCAATTTTTGTATTTTTAGTAGAGACGGGGTTTCACCACCTTGCCCAGGCTGTTCTTGAACTCCTGACCTTAGGTGATCCGCCTGCCTCGGCCTTCCAAAGTGCTGGGATTACAGGTGTGAATCACCGCACCCAGCCCACATTTTCTTCTTTCTATCCTAGTTAAATCTTCACTTTTGCTTGTTTTGTCTGTTTTAAATAATTTTCAACCAACACTTAGCTATGGTTTCTAGCTCTTTCAACTCTTAAGAGATTAAAAAGTCCCAAGTGGACAAAGTTTAGAAAGGAAGCAGCAACAGCTGCAATCAGGAAGCCCCTCCTAACTGCCAAAGGTTGTCTTGAGTGTGCTTTTTAACTCTGGAGGGACATCCACAAACTCATTTTCTCAGGGAGAATGGAAGGAGACGTACGGCTCTCCTCCGGCGTGAGTCCTCATGGCCGTTGCTGTCGCTGGAGGAGGTCTGGCTCATAAGGTGCTCGTGGGACCCGTTGCTGCCCAGACTCCCGTAGCCACTGGAGCCGCTGTGGGGGACGGGCTGGGGAGACAGCAGACAGCGCTACAGACACAGCCAGGGCTGCTGAGCTATGCATGTGGCCCCCTGCCAACACACCCTGTTTCGCAGAGAGGATGGCGACCCGCCTAAGGCTACATGGCAGAGACCAGGGGAGCTGAGGTTTGAACCCCAGGGTCAGCTCCAGAGGTAGACTCCTGGCCTCCAGCCGCGGTGCCCCGACCCAGACATGCAGTCACCGAGGAGACGGCACCAAAGGAATGTGTCCAACCCGCTCATCAACGCATGGCTGCAGCCAGCCACGCCTCTGTGGATGGGTTTAAAACAAACAAGATGCGATGACAGCTTCACTCCACAGTCTCCGGGAACTGACAGGCAGGCGCCTACTCAGGTGTGGGGTTGACTGCAGTGGGCCTGATTTTTTTTAGGGACCTTGAGTACAATGTCCCTCCCTTAAGTCCCACTGCTCTGGATTAGAATGAGCCCCCGCACCACTGAGAGGTCACTCTGGAACTATGCAGCCTGTGTCAGAGCACGGGGTCTGCACACGTCCTTCAGCTACTCACTCAGGGCTGCAGTTCAGACAAGGTCGAATGCAAGGCTGGAGAGAGCCAAGGGTACTATGGACTGTCTCGGACTAGCACAGTCTATGCCCAAACTGTCCCCTGGGGGATGTTCAGAGAATGACAGATGAAGCTGTCTGAGTGGGTGTGCCAGGACCAGGGTTCAGAGCCTATGTCCTCTGCAGGGGGCTCTCAGGCTGCTACCTGGGAGGAGGACATGCAGGCACCACACCCACCTGCAGCAGGAGCCGGTGGATCTGCTCTGTGAGCTCCTGAATGCTGGGGTGCAGGGCCTTCTCCTCTGTGCAGGGGTGGGCTGCAAACACGTCCTCATTCAAAGGGCCCCTGCGTGGTTTTAATTCATCTTGTTAGATGGGGCCCCACAGGAGGACCTCTCTGGCGTGACTGTATAGCCACTACATGCTGCCTGCCTGGGTGGGCCCTCTGCCTCTCCCCTGCAGCCCCCCAGGCTGCTGCCTGTCCACTCCCTACTCTGCTTGAATGAGGTCCCTCCCACTTGGGGGCAGAGGACAGGTCACCCCTGCCTAGCAGTCTGGGGCTCCAGATTGGTGGCAGGAAGCAAGGTTTCGGTCTTGGCCTCTCAGCCCCTCCCTATGCCATCTGTTGCTGGGAGGTGAGGACAGCCCGAGACCCCCGCCCAAGACCCCTGAGCCACCTCGGGCCCTTGGAGCACTCACACCCTGACTTTGTGCCTCCCAATGATGAAGGAGATTTTCCTGCTCCATGGGTTGATGAAGCTGGACCAGCTGGTGTCCAACGTGATGTACTCTCCGTTCCGGGCGCGAAACCGAATGGGAGAATAGTCGAAAGGCTGCCCGCCTGACTGCAGGACTAGGAGAGCAAAAGCCAGCATTCAGGGGAAAAGGGGAGCAAACAGGATTTATAGTAGAGAGAGACAAGTCAAGAGTCACTCAGGCCCAGGATCATTTGCAAACTGTAGGGGTATGAACACTTCTTCAAAGCCACTGCTTTCAACCTCCTGTTTTTGCTGTAGATTACCAGGAGGCTGTTTCCAGCAGGAGCTGTTTCATCCCATGTTTCACCTCTGCTAGTGTCACTTGCATCTATGAGGGCTGGGCTTGGTGAGGACATGCACTGTGCACTCCCCTGGCCTGGTGAGAACCTTCCTAGCCACAGATGAACTGGTCTCCCCTCCTCCCATGCGCCACTGAAGCCAACAGTAAACATAAGATGCTACGGACTCAGGCCACGGACTGAGAAACAACTGGCCACAAAGGAACTCACATGAGTTTACCCCTCTCTCTCGACTCCACTGGGCACTGCAGTGCCAGGAGGGAGGCGGCGAGGCGGGCGTCTACCACCTGCTTGTCCTTAGCTGATCTGACCTGTCAGAGCTAGACTGGTCCCAAGAAGCAGCCCCAAGGACACAGGAACTTCCGCCAAACACTTCAGGATGTACCATGAAAAGGGGACCTACTCTTTTTGTGGATGGCCAGCATCAAGGGCCTGTCACTAGGGTGGAGCTGCACGAGCACTGGGGTTTCAATCAGGTCCTGAGGTAGGTAGCCCAGGAGAGGGACCGCCCTGGAAGGCAAGCAGACACACGCTAGGATTGGCATCCAAACAGATGAGGAGATTGTCACTAAGAACCATCTTATTCCCTGGAAAGAGAAGATACACTCCAAACCCCACCCCCTCCCCCACCCCCGGAGATCAAAAGTTGGACTAACAGAACCAGCTAGACTTTTAATCAATAGCAAACGAAGGTTCACTGTCCAGGACGCTGAAGGAGGCTCCCTCTGCTGGGGCCTGAGTGCTTCAGCTCTGCGTTTCACCTCCCAAGAGATAAGTCATGATCATGCTTTTGTTTTCTTCCTTCCAGCATCTTTTTCTTTTTCAGTGTCATTCATTAGTTTGGCCACATGTGACCTGGCATGGATTTTTGCTTAACAAGTTTTGCCTGGGCCTCGGAAAACCCTTTGTATGTGCTTCTTTTCCAGCCTGGTCTCGTGTGACTTTGGCCTCAGCATCCAGTTGGTTTACTGTGGCTTCTTTGGAGTCTCGGTGGCTGGCTGGGCCTCTGCCCTTTGAGCTCATGCCTCCTCCCAGAGCTGTGGCTTTGCTCCATTGCAGGACGGAGCTGAACTTCAGCAGCACCTTCTGCTTCTGTTTGTGTCCAGCGCCCTCTGCCGGCTCCACCGACCATTTCTTCTCCCGATCTGCCTCTTAACACTTGTTGCATCCAAACCAATGTTTCCTCAAACTCTGCTGCTTGTGTAGAAGGATTTTCCCTGTGAATCTTTAGACCATGGTGCAGAACTTTCTCAAGGGCCTGGCGTTATTCTTTGATTTCCTCCTTCTTGTCTGAGGCTCTCTCTTCAGGCCTCATGTTTTCCTTTGGACAGGATATACAGAATGTTCCTGGCATCCGTCCCATCAAGGCCTTGCTGAAGGAGGAAGAAGAGGAAGGAAGAGGAGAGGAGTGGGGGAACAGGAAGGAAAAAGAGGGGGAGGAGGAAGAGGAGGGAGCAGAAAGGGGGTGGAGGGTGAAAAGAAGGAGGGGAGGAGGAGGGGGAGCCCTGGCTGTCCTTGGGCTTTGTGAGCCAGGCCACACACAAGGCTTCATCAAGGAGAGCTTGCAGGCTGTGGCCCATCATGCCAGGTGAACCTGTCTGCCAACCTCCCTGCACAGGGCTGAGCTGGACACCAAGTTGGCATGGGAGTGGGTTAGAGACAGTTCTCAGATCTCTGAAGGAAGAAAAGTCTCCAGAGGCTGCTTTACATATACGGCCCCAGGCCCTGCCCTCCAAGATCCTGGTTCCACAGGGCAGGGTGGTGTCCAGAAGCCTGCATCTGCAAACTGGCTCTGCCCCAGGCAGCCCCGCGGACACACCTGAGCCACCTGGAGCTGGAAGTGACGGATCCCTTTTTACCCATAGAGCCTCCCCAGGAAGCTGTGTGGCCCTGACTCCAAGGATGGGGGCCTGTGTCCCTGGGCCAAGAGTAGAGGAGGGAGAGGTCTTGATCCTCCAGCTTCTAGGTGACCTGGTTCATTTTAGGAACCCAGCACACTGGTGCTTCTTGGTCCACTTCCTGTGGTATCTTCTGAGGTCACTTTTCGGTGACTACTGCCAGTGGCCCACACATTTTTTTTCTTTCTATTTTTTTGAGACAGGGTCTTTTGCTGTGACCTAGGCTGGAGTGCAGTGGTGCAATCATAGCTCACCGTAGCCTTGAACTCCTAGGCTCAGTGATCCCCCTGCCTCAGCCTCTGAGTAGCTGGGACTACAGGTGCACACCACCACACCCAGCTAATTTTTATTTTATTTTGCAGAGACAGGGTCTTGCTACGTTTTGAACTCCTGGTTTCAAACAGGCTGGTTTCAGACTCCTGGCCTCAAGTGATGCTCCTATCTCAGCTTCTCAGAGTGCTAGGATTATAAGTGTGAGCCACTGCACCTAGCCGGCCCAAGTGTTTTTGGAGTCTTCATGCATTTGTGGAGGAGCTGGGAGAAGATGCATGGTGGGGGCAGAAGCCACTCAGAACATGGGTGCTCCCAAATCTCACTGGGACTGTTCGCACCTGCTACAGCACCCTGAGGGGGAGACCCAGAGAGAGGGACCCAAGTGGGGCTCTGAGGCATGGAGAAAATCCTGTCCCCTGGAGAAGCCTCTAGCACACAGGCTGGAAGATAGACTTCTGCTGGGATCCAGCCAATGGCATCTCCGGCTTCCACCCTGACACTGGTCCCAGGCAACAGCGCCTCTGTCTGGACCATTATCCACTCCGAATGGGTTTATATGGGAGAATTAAGACAGGCTCAATTAGATCAACAGCTCTCCAGAAAGCCTCAATTACACCATGTGCATATCTTAGGAAGTTTTCAGTGTAATTCCATAATTATTTCATTGCCTGTATATAATTACATGTTTTTGTCCATTATCATGTAATTATAAAACCAAGATGCAGTCTTGGCTTTGGCTAAATAGCTTTTATATCAAAAACATGAAAAAGGGGGTGGGTCAAGACCACGTACCTTTCATCCACATCCTGGAACAAACAATTTGGTGTATGGGTGGTTGTAAAAATTCTCTTTTCAGGAGGAATTCTAGGGGCTGAAAGAACAGAATATTGCACACATTTGTGATCCTAAGAAATGCATATTTGATGTTATATTAAAACTACCAGAAAACACCCTGTAGATTCAGAGTAATGAGCAGCTAAAGAAAAAAATTAAAACATGGACTCTGAACAACAGAGACTGCCACACTGAGAACCTTATGCTGGTTGTGGGATCGTTGGCCAGCCTTCTTAGCTTCTTTATATGCTAGTTTTAGTCTAGTAAATCGAAACTGCCGTGTTAACAAAACCACACGGACCACGTAAAGACTACTCTTAGCAAAATAAAGCTGGAAGGCCATCTTTACGATTTTTTTTTTTTTTTTTGAGACAGAGTCTTGCTGCGTTGCCCAGGCTGCAGTGCAGTGGCACGATCTCGGCTCATTGCAACCTCCGCCTCCGAGGTTCAAGCGATTCTCCTGCTTCAGCCTCTCCAGTAGTTGGGACTACAGGCGTGTGCCACCACGCCCAGCTAATTTTTTGTATTTTTAGTTGAGGTGGGGTTTCACCGTGTTGGCCAGGATGGTCTCGATCTCCTGACCTCGTGATCCGCCCACCTTGGCCTCCCAAAGTGCTGGGACTACAGGCGTGAGCCACTGCGCCCGGCCCCATCTTTATGATGTTTAAGATGAAACTACAGTGATCTGACACATTATTTTTAGGAAAATGAGTTACATACTTGGATTCAAATTTCTTTTTTTTTTTTTTAATGAGACAGGGTCTCACTATGTTGCCCAGGATGGTCTCAAATGCCCAGGCTCAAGAGATCCTCCTACCTCAGCCTCCCAAAGTGCCAGACCACAGGCATGAGCCACTGCACCTGGTCTGGATTCAGATTTCTTAGCAAATGTCACTATACTGGAGAACTTCACAGTTTAGAAACTAGACAAAGGTGGACAAAGCTGATAGAGTAATTTGCATAAAGTGAGTCATATATCCAAAATTTTCCTCAATTCATGGACAAAACATTCAAAATTCCAACATTTTCATTCTTGAAGGAGACTGGTAATTTGGGGGAATAACTTGTTGAACTCTAAGTACCCTCTCTAAACCTTACTATTTGGAAAAGAACATTCTGTAATACACGCAGGAACACAAAAAACATTGCAGAGAAAGTCACATACTTAAAATATTTCTATCACTTTTAAGAGGCTGTCATTTGGCCGGGCGCGGTGGCTCGCGCCTGTAATCCCAGCACTTTGGGAGGCCGAGACAGGTGGATTGTCTGAGCTCAGGAGTTCGAGACCAGCCTGGGCAACACAGTGAAACCCCGTCTCTACTAAAATACAAAAAAAAAGAAAAAAATTAGTTGGGTGTGGCAGCATCCACCTGTAGTCCCAGGTACTTGGGAGGCTGAGGCAGGAGAATTGTAGAATCCAGGAGGCGGAGGTTGCAGTGAGCCAAGATAGCACCACTGCACTCCAGCCTGGGCAAAAGAGCAAGACTCCATCTCTTAAAAAAAAAAAAAAAAAAAAAAGCTGTCATTCACCACAGAGAAGGTGGTGAACACAGCACAGCAGACTCAGCTGGCTTCCCCGGGTTCAGCAGTTGCAGAATGCACCTGCCTTCAGAGAATCTGGAGATCATGTGACTCGCTCAGCAGCCAAGGTGAGCACCTACAGTTCCTGGCCAGGGATTTCGGCCAATACAAGGACCAAGGTGCCACAAAGCAGGCTCTTAAGAGGGACCACAGGAAGGACCCATCAAGGTGGCACAATGCCTTGTAACCTCTGAGCTTCAAGAGAAGAGCCCAGATATTATTTTGGGGGTGGGGTAGCCAGAAGAGCTAATGGACCAAGAGGGTCAAGGTGAGGTGAGCTGGATTCTGTGAGTGAGGTGGCAGCAGGAGCAGAGACTGTGGTCCAGAATGCTGGGCATACAGAGGCACAGCAAGCCTTGTATGGAGGCTGACTCACCTGGAGAGTCATGTCAGTGCATGTCTGTCTGAGAGGAAGGGAAATTCCAGGAAAAGTTAGGATGGGCCAAGGTGGGGAGGGAGGGATGCCCAGCACTTCATTTCTTGGGGACTGAGGAACTGTTTGGGGTTCTGGAGCAGGCAGCGACATCAGTGCCCTTCACAGGGGCCCATGAGGCTGAGGCATGGGGCAGGGGATGAGGATGGGAAGGATGTAGGGCCCCAGACTTGTCAGAGCTGTTCCCACTTTGTGGACAAAAGGCAGAGCAGCCAGGGAAAGGGGAGAAGGGGTCACAGCACTGGTGTGGATAGGGGTGAGAGATGCTGGCACCCAGATGCCGTGATCTGCCATGGGCAGGGCCGGATGACAAGCAGGGTGTGCTGAGTCTCCAGAAAGATGGAGACCCTGCCCAAGGTGAGGTGGAGAGGCCAAGGCTGGGGAACTGCAGCGGGGAGTCCATCGTACAGATGTTATGTGTGAACCACAGGAGTAACTGAGGGGGAGCCAGAGACAACATCTGCCCTCGCCCTGGGCTTGGCTGTTACCTTCATAACCAGAGTGCACTCTCTCTGCCAGCAGAAGGCAGCAAAGCTGACTCTCAGCACCTTGTTGGTCCCGCACCTTGACCAGGTAGGGCGTCATGCGGAAGGGGTGGTAGCGGATTTCATTCTCGTGGCTTTTCCGGACACTGCGGAGAAGAGCCACGCTCTAAGTTGGGAACTGTGACACAGGAACAGTCCCCTGTTCTGTTCCCTCCTCACCTGGGCCCCATGCCATGCTGCAGGTGATGTGTACCTCTGCTCTGCCTGAGGAGCTGGGCCTGCCCCCTGCCCTCTTCGGTCCCTCCCTCAGTCCCATCATACTGAAGGGCAAATCAGAGTTAACACCCCCACCAGTGGGGCAGCCTGGAGCAGCCTGCACCCTGGGTTGGTAAAGCAGACAGAAAAGGGGTGCTGCTCCCGCCAGGGGTCCTCGGCCCTGACTCCTGAGGGTGCCAGGGTCTGGCTCGGGGTCACTCCTGACAGTGCAGCTGGATGCTCAATCAGTCACCCTGGTTTGGACCAAGACCCTTGTCGGGAAAGCTACGGGTCTCTCCCCAGAAAAACGCACAGACAACCAAAAGACGCAGTGCTTTCAGAAACTCTGTCGACCCTGGGGTACAGGCCTTTGCAAGACACAGAGAGAAAGTGCAGGTCCATGAGGGGCAGGTTAAAGCACTCCACTGCTGGCCGCATTCTTAGCGACCTGTACACATTTAAAATGTAACTGACTGTGTTTTCTGGTAGACTTCAGAAACAGGCGTGCTGAGTCCCTGCAGGCAGGGATCACGCCCCCCAGCCTCAAGCGGAGCAGTGCTGGGGTGAAATGTTTATACGGTTTTCTAATTTAAGAAAACTGGGAACCAGGCTTACCTGACACGGCAAAAGAAAGATTTCTCCTCCATGCATTCTTGAGTAAAAGAATCTAAAAGAGAGAGCCCAAAGTCATTCATCCAAACCAACAACTAAATACAGTGTTCCTCATTTCTCACAAACAAAAGAGGAGCAGCAGAATCAAGCAAGATTCAAGGTGAAAACTGAAAATTTATGGAAGCACAAAGTAAATCCTTTATGTGAGAAACCTTCTATTACATTTTTGACTAAAATTACATAGACTTCATGAGTGTGGTGCATTACAAATTATGCAGTGCTAAAATTTTAGCACCAGGAGGCTTACATTTTCAAAATGGCACATGATGTTGCTGCAAACACACCAATTAATTAACCACTGAACACACTCACGGTGCACTGCTGCAAACACACCAACTAACCTGCAACTGAACACACTCACGGTGCACTGCTGCAAACACACCAACTAACCTGCAACTGAACACACTCACGGTGCACTGCTGCAAACACACCAACTAACCTGCAACTGAACACACTCACGGTGCACTGCTGCAAACACACCAACCTGCAACTGAACACACTCACGGTGCACTGCTGCAAACACACCAACCTGCAACTGAACACACTCACGGTGCACTGCTGCAAACACACCAACCTGCAACTGAACACACTCACAGTGCACTGCTGCAAACACACCAACTAACCTGCAACTGAACACACTCACGGTGCACTGCTGCAAACACACCAACTAACCTACAACTGAACACACGGTGCACTGCTGCAAACACACCAACTAACCTACAACTGAGCACACTCATGGTGCACTGCTGCAAACACACCAACTAACCGACAACTGAGCACAGTCACGGATGTCCAGAACATTGACAAAGAAAGCTGTGGAGGCCACAGCAGCTATATCTTGGAAGCTAAGCCTCCATGCTGATTTTTGATTAACCCCACTTCTGGGAAGGCCTCGGAGATTTCATCTACCTACTGTCCCTGAGTAAGAGCAGGTACTTAAGGTAAATCCTGCCCTCAGGGCAAATTCCTACTGGTTCCCTCTGAAGCCGGTGTGCCAGTCCCACAGAAGCCCTGGGTCTGGGGGAATGGCAAGACTGGGATCCAGTCTTGTCTCATCGCCACCCACAACATGCATGGCCTCTGTTCTTAAGTCCCTGTTAAATATTTCTTTCTAAGAAACCGAATTTGTCAGCCTCTTTCTTTGGCCTCTCAGCTGCCTCAGACTTTGGGGTAGGTGTGCAGAGGCCTGGCCACAGTGAAACAGAAGCCCCAAACATTTCATGCTACATATTTTTGGGATAGTCAGTTCTAACAGAAACAACTTGGCATTCAAGGCTTACATCGGTATTTTGGTAAAATAGTAACTTCCTTTAAAATGTGAAATGTCTAGTGAAAATATGAAATCAATTGGGCAACCTCATCAGAAATGAAGGAAGAGGTGTTTCCCTAATAGTTGAAAGGGATTTAAAAAACAGAAATCTCTGCTTTCGTGGGAATCTAAACTAAAAAAAAAAAAAATCTTAGATCTAGGTCTTTCATACATTTCATCTACTCAAAAGAAATTAGGAAAGTAGAAGCAATGGCTAGTTACGGAAAATGATATAAAATCAGCAGCTTGGAAAGGCCCCTGAGAATTCACCTGGTCCTTGACTTAGCTGGGCAGGGAGGAGAGCTGGGGCACAGGAGGCCCTGAGGAGAGTGGGGGTCAGAGGCACCGGCAGAGGCCCAGAGGCAGGCACACCCCCAGCTGGCTCCAGGGACTAGACCAGACCCGGCTGGGAGGGCCTGGCTGGGGAGCGGAGCCTGGAAATGAGGCAGGGTAGACGGTGGCTACAGGGGCAGGCCCAGCAGCCAAGAAGGCTGCCATCCACAGTGCAGCACACTTGGCCTGCAGTGCCTCGGGGGCCAGCGGCATCTGCCCAGGGATCTCACAGTCTGTATACCCAAAGCCAGCCCTGGTCAAGGCAAAGAACCCTCAGGAAGTCACTCTGGGATATGACCCACTCACTGGTTGCAGCTGCTAAGGTGGCAGGGGGACGCCTGCGTGCAGGGAGCAGGGTGCCTTGCTCACGCTCCCCACTGCCCCCACGACCCGGCCTCCCACGACTGCAATCACAGCAAGATTCCAGCTTTTCCAAACAACTTCATTTCTAAAATGCCTAACGGTTTTCTCTCTCTGAAATGTATGGAAAGACTATTTTTTTCTCTAAATTTATTCTGAAGGGACGAACAACTGCTTATCCTTTACCTTTGCCAGAGCAGGCAGCTGGCGGCCCCCACAGGTGGGCTCTGAAAGGTGAGGCAGGGCGCCTGCACCACATCTGGGTTGGGCCCAGCTCCTGGCCCCTTTCCCGACCCCAGAGGGAACAAGGCACTACCTCGATAACCTCACCTGCTCCACTGCACATGCTCCACAAGGGAAGCTTGTACGGGGAGGTGAAACTGTGGAACACGCCCACATCGTGAGGCGCCAGGAACTCCACAAACTTGGCATCGCTGAAGGCATCTCTTTTACAGTGAAATATGGATGCAACCTGGTCAGAGATGTACAGGATCTTCCCAGACACCAGGGACACGGCCACCGCAAACATATCCTGAAAAGGAAGAGTAGGGCTCTGATGACAAGGTCAGATGGTGTCGGACGCCACATCCGACTCAGGCAGGCAGGCTGGAGGGAGCCGCCCACCAGGAGCGTTGGAGGTGGGGGGCTCTCTGACTCCCTTGCCTAGCCCTCACCAAAAAATCCTATCTTGCCTGTTGACAGAGCAGGAGCATCGCCATCTTGGACAAGCCCCTCATTCTAAAGTTCACCTTAATAAAAAACAGCCTACATCCAAAGGGCATCAGCCTAATGGCTAAGGTCAACATGACCATAAACCACAAATAACATCTCCAACCAGAAACATTCCAAACTCCTCCCGGACCAGAGACATACTAGCCCCGAGATGACCCCAATCCGGGCCGGAAAGATGCCTGCCCCAAGATAACCTCCCCTCCTCCCAGAGAGATTCCAGCCCCGCCATAAACTTCTCCACACACAGAAACATTCCAAGCTTGTGATAAGCCCCCTCACCCTAAAACCAACATATACTCTCAGTCTGTAAGAGAAAGCGCTCCTGACCAAAATCGGCCAGGAGTACCTCTCAGGTTTTAACTAAAGAAAACCTGTCTTTGACTGCCAAGCTGCGTTTCATGTTTCTTTCCTCTTTAACTCTTACACCTGTTACAGATACTGGGAGGTCCAGCATGATATTATTTGAAACAACACATCAGGGTTCTATGGCTGGAAGAAACCCCAGCTGTCTCCACCCCCTGGGAGGCGCCACTCACCCCGCTGTCTTGGACATGGCACCTGGTGTCCAGGCTGGGTGACTGGGAGGTGGGGGACCCTCTGCTCACTTGGCCTGCCCTAACAACCTCCACCAGCCTTGCTGTCTCCCAGGGTTCTAGGGGCTTCCTGGGGAGGAGAGGCCTCTGGTTGGGCCCCTCCAGCCCACCATGGGCGCTCTACCTGCTGGCTGGCCCTCTGGGCTCAGGGTTGGGGGCTGCCTGGGGGTTACGCTGGAGGAAGAAGATGGGAAGGATTAGGGAGCCCTGTTATGAGGCCAGCTTCATGATGGTCCCAGCACATGTGGGATCCCCACTAGCCCTCACATCTGTTCTCACCGGCTGAGAACTCAGAGTGGTAGAGTAGGTGTGTGTGTATGTGGCCCATGTGCCCTCCAAGGGGCCCACCTTTGGGTGTGCTTAAGAATGCACGGGCTTTGGAGTCTCAAATCCCAGCTCCCCCTCATGACCGCAAAGCCCTGGACAAGTGAACTGACTGTCACCAAGTGTGTCTCCTCACCTCGAGGACATGAAAACCCAGAGCCCCCCAGTTCAGTCACACTGGGTTTGCCCTTGCACCCATGAGCTACAGGACAAAGTTGGTCAGGGACGAGGAAGACAGTCTCACAGAAGGCAGAAGTCCAGAACATGAATGCCACTTCCAGAATCACTGACTTCACATTCTTCCTTTTAAAGGTAGGAACTTATCTGCTGAAACCCCAAACACTCCTGCCTTACAGCCACCGGCCGCAGTGCTGAGCTAGCTCGCCTGCAGGAGGAACTCCTGCCATTTTAGAAAGAAACTTTGCGGAAAGAGGCTTACGGCATTCTTCACAATGTGCTCAGAGGTAACGCTCTCCATCTCCTCCACGGTGTAGGAGGGCACGTCTGCTCCACAGGGGTGACCCTCGCTGGACATCAGCAGCTGGTAATACTCTTCATTGGCTGCAGGAGAGACAGTGTTCACTCAGTGGGCAGAACCCAGCGCTTGGCCGGAGACAGTCACTAGCTCTTACAAACTGAGGGCTCTACTTTTCTCAAATGAAAAGGTAGGATATAAATCTCGTCTTCCTGGGACACAGAACATACGGAAACGTGAAGGCAAAACAAACTCACAGACAGAAATCGGGATATTTTTCCCTGAAACATCAGAAGGACTTTGATTATAAAATGTTTTAAAAGTGGCAACTACATTATTTAAGGTAATACGGTCGCAGAGTTCCAGCTGCCTCTCATGTTCTCCAGAAGGGGCTTTTTTTTTTTTTTGAGATGGAGTTTTGCTTTTGTTACCCAGGCTAGAGTGCAATGGCGCAATCTCGGCTCACTGTAACTTCCGCCTCCCAGGTTCAAGCAATTCTCTTGCCTCAGCCTTCCAAGTAGCTGGGATTACAGGAACCCGCCACCACACCCAGCTAATTATTCTTTTTTGTTTTGTTTAGAGATGGAGGCTTGCTCTGTCACCAGGCTGGAGTGCAGTGGCACGATCTCAGCTCACGGCAACCTCCACCTCCCAGGGGTTCAAGCAATTCTCCTGCCTCAGCCTTCCTAGTAGCTGGGACTACAGGCACGTGCCACCACGCCCAGCTAATTTTTGTATTTTTAGTAGAGATGGGGTTTCACCATGTTGGCCAGGATGGTCTCGATCTCTTGACCTCATGATCTGCCCGCCTCGGCCTCCCAAAGTGCTGGGATTACAGGCGTGAGCCACCGCGCCCGGCCCCTAGAAAGTCTTTAATCATGATGGTATATTCACTTTTCCACACAGGACCACATGGCAACCCCTGCACATCTGACTCCCTGGGTGATGCCATCAGACACCCCCATCCAGGCAGAACTGACTGCTTAAAAAAATAACAGGCACAAGAAACATTTGAAAGAAAGTTTTCAAAATAGAATCTGAAGAGGAGGGCCACTCCATCTGAGTTCCCACGTCATCCTGGGTGTATCCGGCGGGCTCTGGGGTGACAAGCCTGTCTCTGGGTGTCGGTGCTCATGGCCACAGCGGCCCTCACTCCAGGCGGGAGCAAAGGGGCCAGCTCGAGGCTGCCACTTGCCCTCAGGGCTCAACAGGCCCCGGACACATGAAACCTGGGGCTGCGTTACGAGTCTGACCCAGGATTCTGCCACGCGTGTGCTTCCTGCAATGTGGTGAGGAGACCTTTGGACCCACAGCTGGGTCTCATATGCTTTCAGTTTTGCCACCTTCAGTAATTTCAGAAACAGGCACATTTCTGAGTATGCTCTGAAATCAAGATATAAACTGCTGGAAAGTGTGGAAAATGTCCATGTGGCAGAGCTTCTGAGCTGTGAAGTTACTGTAGAGGCCAACAGGGAAACACCTTAAATGGACATAATCACTGGAGAACAGAGCAGCCCAACTGATCAGAACGAACTTTCCCTTTGGCTCCTCCTTCCGGAAAAGGGGGCCTCCACAGGCACGCAGGCCCAGAGCGGTGCCCTCCATGGTGGGGTGCTCATCCCAGGGGCACCGGATTTCCATGCGGTATCTTTAGACCTGACCAGCACCGACGAGTAGCCCAGGCACCTTGTTCTGTCTGTATCAACCCTCACAAAATGGACAGTGGGATTAGGGAGGAGCCTGCAGAGAAACTTAGAGGACACCCAAAGCCAACACCCAAAAATGCAAGAGTCCAAGCTAGCACATGGCAGAGCAACCCTTCCACACCTGGCTCAAGGGACCCCAGAGATGAGTGCTGATGACCTGCTCACTGCTGATGAAAAACTACCCAAACATTTAAAAATATGAAGACTGCTTCAAATACGAGTTTATACCCATGATTACTAGTGAAGAACTTTGCCCTAACTGTACACTGTGCTTTGAAACGACTGATAATAGAATACAGCTACTGCTTCACCTTTAAGCCTCTCAGATTTTTCTATTTTTATGCATGTTTTTAATGTACAAGATCCACCAGCCCCTTAGTGCATGTGCGCAACACATGAAAAGGCACAGCTCCACAGTCGGGAGGTGCTCACACACCAACTGGCAGGAGGTGTGAAGATGCTCTGCAGGGCACCTTCCTTTCCCACCCTGGCTGACACTGATGGTCTCTGCCTGCTCGTCACAACAGACCAACACAGCTAAGGAATTCTTCAAAGTTCTGGAGGTGGTAGTTTCCACTCTAAAGAAAAAAGGCCAGGCCAGGCACAGTGGCTCACACCTATAATCCCAGAACTTTGGGAGGCTGAAGTGGGAGGACTGCTTGGGTCCAGGAGTTCGAGACCAGCCTGGGCAACATAGTGAGACCCCATCTCTACAAAAAATACAAGAATTAGCTGGGCGTGGTGGTACACGTCTGTGGTCCCAGCTACTCAGGAGGCTGTGGCAGCGGAATCGCTTAAGCCCAGAAGTCAAGGCTGCAGTGAGCTGCGATGAGCCTCGAGTTTTAGAAAGTCAACACAATCCAAGCTATAATTTGGGGGGATTTAAAACATATTTCTATAGGTTTGGAGCAGATGTGCGAGGCCGACGTACCTTTCACCTGCTTCACGCTCCTGAGGGCGTACTTCAAGGTGGCCAGCGTACTGGCCTTGCCCTTGGCCTTCTTGTCTGCAGGGAGGTGGACCTTCAGCTCCTTTAGTGTTTTTATCAGTTCTTTGTGTGTGTCCACTTTCGAAGACTGGTCGCTACTGCAGGATTCAAGAAAGAGGCAGCCAAATGTTAGCTTCCTAGGTGTCCTTTCCTGAAGAAACGTGCCTCTTGCCCATTTTCTCAGCCTCGGCTCTAGAGATGTTCTGGTCTGGGTGGCCCTTTGTGGGGCTCTGTAGATTTTCTCAGCCTCGGCTCTAGAGATGTTCTGGTCTGGGTGGCCCTTTGTGGGGCTCTGTAGATTTTCTCAGCCTCGGCTCTAGAGATGTTCTGGTCTGGGTGGCCCTTTGTGGGGCTCTGTAGATTTTCTCAGCCTCGGCTCTAGAGATGTTCTGGTCTGGGTGGCCCTTGGTGGGGCTCTGTAGGACATCTAGCAGCATCCCTGGCCTCACCCACAATAGACCAGGGAGACCCTGGCCAAGTATGACAATCAGAGCTGTCAACAGACATTGCCAGATGTTTCTCGCTGGGAGACAAATTGTTCCTGGTCAAGAGTCACCGCTCTAACCCAACTGAATGCTGGAGAAGTCCCTCCAACTGTGTTCTTTTCCCTGAAGGGTTAGAGCTAGGCTTTGCTCAGGAAAGGATACTGGTCGACCCATAGTCTGGTGCAGTGGACTGTGCACTAAGCTGTGCCCTTCTTCCCTGCCCCAGGTAAAGAAGGACTGAGTGATGGGATTACAGAGGACAGCAAAGTGACTTCCTGGGACATAAAAGTGAGCCATGAACACAGAGAAAAGGGGATTGTGGAAAAGGGTCTTCAAACATTAATTGAGGATACAGAGATGTTAGAGAGACAGGACAGCGGGGCACTGGCTGATGAAGATGGGCCTGTGTGGAACAGAGGGTGCAGAAGGAATGATGGAAATCAAGGTTTCTCAGGCAATGCAAAGTGCCCACATGCCCTGGACAAGGAGCCGGGTTCTGCTCCCGAGGTGACATGAAAATTGACATAGGGTAAGTTTGTTACAAACACCTACGAAGGGTGAAGAATGTTCCAGATGAAAATGCCCAAGACTCAGGCAAAGTCGGCTTCGAGTAGAGCTGGGAGGAGCTACAGGTACTGGAGCGACATCCCGGGGGCTCTGGACGGTGAGGGGACACAGTCAGTGTCTGAAAGGCCAGAGTGAGGCTGGGTTCGTACCCACATAGCCACACAGATGGGTTTTAGCACAGCTTAAAAAAAGCCACGTCACTCCCAGAAAACTAACCTCCAATAAGAAGTCTTTCAATTTCTCTAAAACCTCTATGTATGAAGTTCTAATTGGCCTTACCTGCAGCCACTTGTAGATGGGTTGTGTTCAGATTTTGCCATCATCAGGCTAAAGGTATCTGGACTATGAAAACAAAAAATAAAAGCAAAATTTAGACAATTGTATGCTCCAGACACATCTTCCCCTGCCATCCTACCAGTGATAACAGGCTAGATAATACCATGGTAAGACAATTTTTTAAAAATACAAGGTTAAGATAAAACTGGAATATAAAACCTTCAGACATCAGAAAAACTAAGTACCAGGACACAGAAACACATGATAACAGGAGCCAGTTCCTTTTCTATAAACTGCCCAGTGTTGTATAAGCAGCCACTGGCTGGGTTACCCACCACTGCTACCTCCCAAGATCTCCTTACACTACCCAGTACCTGTCTGTTGGCAACTGGATCTGCGAACTCGACAGGGCCTCGTTATGAGGAAGGACAGACACTGGCACATTTTAGGTATTTTCAAAAATCTTGAAAAACTTGGTAATCATGATTTAAAGATTGCAAAAGCAATCAAATCACAGCAGAAATGAGCCACTGAGAAAACAACCTGCCCAGCCTCCATCTGGCCAGAGGCTGAACTCACCTCTGGCGGGCATCCGGTGGCTCCACCAGCATCCCCAGCTCCTTCCCACTGTCGTCACAGTCACTGCCCTGCGAGTCCCGCCCCGTGGAGCAGTTTTCGTTGGTCTCATGTCCACTGGAGCCACTGCTCATGTCCACATCTTCCTGCAGTGGGACCTGGCTGGGCTGGGGCTCCACGGGCTCCTTGGTGGGGTTACTGGGGCTGGGCGGAAATTCCGCGTATCCATTCATGCTGGGCTCTGGAACGAAGCTGGCAAACAGAGGGATGCTGTCACGCATTAACAAGCACACGCACAAGGGGCGCTGCAGCCATCAGGTAGAGCACCCATTTGACTCTTTCTGTTACTAATGAAACTGCAGTCTCTTTCTTTCTTCTCTCTGTCTCTCTCTCTCTCTCTTTCTTTCTTTCTACTTTGGAGACAGGGTCTGGCTCTGTTGCCCAGGGAATGCAGTGCCTGGGCTCAAGCGATCCTCCCACCTCAGCCTCCAGGGTAGCTGGAACCACAGGCACTCACCACCATGCCTGGTTAATTTTTTGTATTTTTGGTAGAGACAGGGTTTTGCCATGTTGCCCAGACTGGTCTCGAACTCCTGAAGTCAAGCGATCTGCCCGCCTCAGCCTCCCAAAATGTTGAGATTACAGGCCAACCACACGCAGCCAAAACTGCCCTTTCATCGGGATCAATCACACGCACGTTAGTTCATCACATTACTTATTTGTTCTTATTGACAAGAGCTCCTATCTGCCATGGATTAGGAAGATGGTTGAATGAGGCAGCCTCAGCCCGACATAGAGCTGCTGACGGCCTCATCAGAAGGCAGACAAGAGCACTGATAATCAACACCCGGCCTGTGGGGTGCTGGGAAAAACACATGGTCCCTCTGAATAGGTGATCTGCCTTTTATAAATTTCCCCAGATGATGGTGGGGTGGGGGAGCCGGGTTCAGAAATCTTGGCCATTACAGCACGGCACAGTTACAGGAGGAGGAGCCAAGGCTAGCAGGAGACATGGGGACAGACAGGGCTTGCCGGGTAAAGAGGGCAGAGGGGCCTGGCAGGTGTGGAACCCTCCCAGCAGCTCGGGGATCCCAGGCCCCACAAGCATGTACAAGTGGGATGGAGAGGGGCCAGGACAATGTGGCTTCACATTTACTGGGAATGGTTGGGAGCTGCTGAGGCACTCTGAGTGCCAGGCCCACGGAACTCAGCTTGCATTTGGACAGGCTTGCACTGCTGTGCTGGTCAGAAACTTAACCTCTGCACTTTGGGGTAGGTGGGTGGAGTGGCTGAAATTAGAGACAGACCAGCGATCATCCTGGACACAAACTGAGGGGGGGTGAACAGAGACAGGGAGTAGGGAGGGGTGGGACTGATTAGCAGGTGAGAGGCCAAAATGCCATCCCGGGTCCTCCCTTCTTCACCCAGTGATGTCTCCCCATCCCCAGGACAGCGTTTTCAGCAGAGTCCCAGCAGGAAGCAGGCACCCACTCAAGCGGGGCACTGGAGAGAGCCAGATGAAGGCCCTGCTTGACACAAGTGGTCATGCTTAATGAACACAGCTGTGAGGCTCTGGGGTGATGCTGCTGACTACAGACATGATGCTAAGCACCCAACACACAGCTTCCCAGCAACTCTGGATCACGGTCTACATGGTGCGCAGGAGATCGTTCTACGGAGCAGCCAACAGGGGTGGGTAGCTCACCCCAGGCCACACAGTAGCAGATGACAGCCCTGGATTCCAGGCCTGCCGGCATCTGAAGATGGGACCCCCACCCTACACCCAGGCTCAGCTGTGTGGGGGCCTCCTGCTTCCTGCCACTGCACTGTGCTCAGCCCCAACTCTGGCCCAGTGTGGCATTCCACTTCTGCATGGCATCCGTTTGGCCCTTCCCAGGGCAGCTGGAACAAAGGGAGAGAAGGGTTTCTGGATTCCACACCCCAAATCTTGTGAAACATCTTATGCTCCAGTTCCCATCTAGCTCTGGGAGAGCCTCCCCTTCCACCTCCTTCCCACCAGTACCCACGTGAAATGACCAAGGATCATACAATTGGTCGGGGGGAGGGATCATTTTCAGCAGCCCTAGAAGTCCCGAAGGGTCCCAATCATTTGCCACAAAGTGAAGGTGCGTCCGGCTGCTTGTCGCTGAGATGGAAGGAGCATGAAGAGTGCACTGGAGTCCAAATACCCCTGAGGAAGTGGCTAGTGCTGAGATCCCTGCTACCCCCGGCCA
This sequence comes from Homo sapiens, assembly GCF_000001405.40. Classification (NCBI taxonomy): domain Eukaryota; kingdom Metazoa; phylum Chordata; class Mammalia; order Primates; family Hominidae; genus Homo; species Homo sapiens. The sequence goes on from NC_000002.12 coordinate 238,279,938, forward strand.
TGGAAGGCCCAAGCCATGGCCAAGGCTGGACAGTCAAGAGCTCTACCACCAGGAAGATGCTTCGTGAGGAAGCTGTGGGAGAAGAACGGACACAGGAACAGAAATCCTGTGGGAAGGAGAGGTTCTCCTGGAGACGCTTCACCCACTGAACACCCCCAGGTGCCCTCCCCAACAGGGCAACTCTAAGAAAGGGCTAGAAACCAGCCAGCAATACTGAGGGCTACACATACAGGGTGCCGGATTCCAACAGCTGGCCCCAGGAACTGAATGGCTAAGCTCCAACAAGAGCCTTCAGCATCCCCTTCCCCAGGTCGAGCCCATTCGCCGGTGAGCCACTCCAGGACAGCCTGGTGAGAGGCGGGGCTCATGGAGAATCCACCCACATCAGTGTCTGGAGAACAGCAGGGCCGACTAGACCTCGCCTTGTTCACAAACTAATAAACAGAAGAAAGCCAACACGGGGCTGTGGAAAACACACACAGCAAAGACAACTGAACACAACCCTCATGCCACAGAGGAAGCAGCAAATTAAGACACCATCTACTTTTCATCCTAAGAATTCAAGAAATGATGGATTCAATGAAACAAGTAATGAGGGATGAGATAAGGCCACTGACTGAGATGAAAATGCCACATTAGAATGGAAAACTAGAAAGGACAAAGTTCAGAATCAATAAAAAGAAAATGGCTTCAGTGATAGGAGATGCGTGACAGACTTTTAAAATGCAAAGGGAAAGGAGAAGAGAAGAGAGATGGAGGACAGCCGGGTTTTACCTGTGGATTACAGCTCTTTCTGAAAGAGACGAGAACAATAAAACAGAAACCATAATGAGCGAGACACATAAAGAGAACCATCCTGAACCAGAGACAGATCTGAATCTGCCAATCAAAGGACAAGAGTCCAACGCCTAAGTGCATCCAGATGACAAACGGTATCTTCAAGGATAAAGAAAGTCCTACCAACATCCACAGAGAACAAACAAGTTACCCATAAAGGATGAAAAAAAAATCACACTAGTCTTGGATATCTCTTCAGCAATATTACATTTCCAGAAGACAATGTTTACACTTTTTTTTTTTTTTTTGAGAGGGAGTCTTGCTCTGTCACCAGGCTGGAGTGCAGTGGCGCAATCTCGGCTCATGGCAACCTCCGCCTCCTGGGTTCAAGCAATTCTCCTGCCTCAGCCTCCCAAGTAGCTGGGATTACAGGTGTCCGCCACCACGCCCAGCTAATTTTTGTATTTTTAGTAGAGATGGGGTTTCACCATGCTGGCCAGGATGGTCTTGATCTCTTGACCTCGTGATCTGCCCACCTCGGCCTCCCAAAGTGCTGGGATTACAGGCGTGAGCCACCAGGCCCGGCCGTCTACATATATTAATAGCTTTGAGAGGAAAAGCTTATGGTCAAAGGGAGGAAATCTCAATTACAGGATACTTGATTGTGGGTTACATAGCTGGTTTTATCAACATCCTGAGTCACATAAAACCCAAAATGCCAGCATCATTCCCCTTAAAGTCAGGAACAAAATAAGCAAATCTGTTATTCTAGTCTTTTTTCTTTATTTTACATTTAATGGCAGTTCTAGCAAATTCAATGAAAGATGAATGGTAATACCTTTTGGGAACAGAGAGACTAAGCAAGAAGACTGCCTAGGCCATTCCCACAAAGAGAGACACCAAAAGATTTGTGAACTTGTAGAAAGAGGCTCAACCTCATTAGCATCAGGAAAATGCAAAGGACGAGGTTATCTTGCCCATCAGGTTGCCAAAAATTAACAGGACTGATCACACTCAGCGTTGCTCAGGTGGAGAAGAGTGGCTCTTGTGTGTGGTGGTGTAGTAATAGGGTATTTCTGGAGAGAAATTTGAGTTCCCAGCAACATTTATAATCTGCATACTCTTCCCACCTCCAGGAATCCATTGCAGAGAAGTGCTTATTTATGTGCTCAGAGATGTGTGAGCACTGAATATAAAAACCTGGGAAGAACCATCAACAGGGAGGCTACGCATCCTGTCCACGATCATCCTGGCCAGGAGCCAGCCTCCAATTCCAGACTGGTCCCCTGCCTCCACCTGGCCCTGCTATGGTTAACACAGCATCTAGAGCGATCCTGGTGAAGGGGCTTAGCTTACGCCCGGCCCGTGCTCAGACCCTTGCTCAGAGCACAATTCTAGTGTGCACAAGGGCCAAAGGCTCTGCAAGTCTAGCTCCTGCAATCTCCTGGGCATGTCCTGTTAACTGCCCACCCCTCAGCCCCAGCCCTGTGTGCTCTGACCACAGAGACTCTGCACTTGCTGCTCCCTCGTGCCCACAGCCCTCTTCTTGCAGATGCCTGGGCAGCCTGCATGAACAGCACCGTCTCCCCACCAGCTCCTTCTCTGTGCCTCCACCGCCGCTCTGTGGGCTTTCCTCGCCAGCACTGAGGGGCTGGGCTGTTTACTGCCTGCCTCCCCTCTGGGACCTAAGCTCCATGGGGGCAGGGGTTTGCGTTGGTCAATGCTGGATCCCCAGGGCCTGGCACGTACTGTTGAAGACACAAACCTGGGACATCCATACTATGAATACTATACACCCACTAAAAGGATAGAGGCCAGAAAGACTGATGTGGGGAGAGTCTCAGACATAGATGAACAAGTCCAAGAACAATAAATAACAACAACAATAAAAAGGACAGATGGCACTCAGGCAGGGCCTGCCCGGTGCCAGCAGTTTCCCACTGACTGACTTGCCCTTATTCGCTTAGCACTGAGGGCTGGCACTGGGGCAGACAACAGAGCAGACATCTTTCCTGCCCTCAGGGAGCTTACATTAGGGGGAAACAGACAATAAACAAGAAACTAGAATATACAGTAGAGTAGGCAACTAGCAAGTGGGAATTGAGGGGCTGGGAGTGACATTTCAATGAGGGTGGCCCCAGGTGTAGGTGGCATTTGACAAGGACCTTGCGCACGAGCCCTCGTGTGTGAACTGACTCAGGGTCCCTGGGCTTCGCTCTCTCAGGCTTGCAGCCACGTGCTTCAGCAGGTCTTTCTGGCTTCACACCTGAGGCTGGCACTGGGCATCTCTGGCTCTGCCTGCCCTGTGTGGACTCGGATGACGTGCCACACCACTGTGGGGGCCCTTGCTGCTCCTCACTGTCCTGCCTGCTGCCAAAGGGTCTGATGAGGCAGCTGGATAGGAGGGAGAGCTCGCTTGCTGGACAGGAGGCAAGGAGGAGCTGGCAGAAAATGCCCCCTCCCTCTCTCCCTCAAATGGACCTTTCTGAAGTTGTCTTTCTTTCCTTCCTTCCTGTTTTGGCACAGCCTTTCTGAAGAGGTCCCAAGGGGGTGAGCACCCAGCTGGATGTCTCTGTAAGGCAGAGCCTCATCTCAGCAGGGTGTCGTCTTGTGTGTGCTTTCCAGACTTTTCTTCCTTACCTCCCTTTTCCTTTTCTACTGCTACCCTGGGACTGCAATTCCCAGTAAAGTGCTCACCTCAGACTCCATTCTCAAGAGAGCCTGAAGGCAGACCTGAAGAGAGTGGAGAGTGAGCTACCAGAGGAAGAACATTCTAGGCAGGGGGACAGCACACACAAAGGCCCTGCGGCAGGCAAGCACCTGACCTGTCTGAGGAAGGTGCACGAGGCTGGAGCAGAGCGGGCAGCGGTAGGAGGGCGGCAGCAAGGCCAGATCACGGAGTGCCTTGCGGGGGCAGTCAGAACTCCGATAGGGAACTGTGGAGAGTTCTGTGCAACAAGATCTCACTTACACTTCAATGGAGTTGCAGGGTTGAGGCAAGGTGGAAGCAAGGAGACCTCTCAGGGTGCTCTTGCCATGGTTCAGTGGAGCTGCCAAGGGGCCGCCCAGGGTACCAAGGGCATTCTCTCACTCCTGACCCCTCAACACCCTGGACACCACCCATCTCATCCCCACAGCCCTCCCCCAGATAAGCAGCTGGTCCTTTCTGCTCTGAGTGAGTCATTAAGGTGATCAGAGGCAGCAGCAGAGTGGTTAAGGGCACAGGTCCTGGGTGGCCTGGGTTTCAGCTGGGTTCCACCACCTCCTATGTGATCTCGGACAAGTTCCTTAACCTCCCTGAGCCTTGTGTCCTCATTTGTGAGATGGGGTAACAGTAGTTCCTGCCTCCTACTGGTTGTTAGAAGGATTAAATGACACAACCCATGCAAGATATCTGGAATGTAATATTAGCTTATCACTGCTAATCACTACAGAAAAACAGACGGCGGCTGGGCGCGGTGGCTCACACCTGTAATCCCAGCATTTTGGGAGGCTGAGGCGGTGGATCACCCGAGGTCAGGAGTTCGCAACCAGCCAGACCAATATGGTGAAACCCGTCTCTACTAAAAATACAAAAATTAGCCAGGCGTCATGGTGTGTGCCTGTAGTCCCAGCTACCTGGGAGGCTGAGACAGGAGAATTGCTTGAACCCAGGAGGTGGAGGCTGCAGTAAGCCAAGATTGCACCACTGCACTCCAACCTGGGCAACAGAGCAAGACTCTATCTCAAAAAAAAAAAAAAAAGAGAGAGAAAACGAAAAAGAAAAACAGATGGGCAACAAACGTAATTTTGGAAGAGAGAGAATGAATTGTCATGGCAGCTGTCTCTGGCTTGTATTCTTATATTTAAAGGACTAAGAACTCAGTGCCACCTCCAGCCCAGGCAGTCCTTAGAGGAGCATCAGGTATCTGAAGCCACCATGCTGTCTGGGCCCCGGGTGCTTTGCACGTAGCTCTCCTGGTTTTCACCCCTAAGTCCATCCCCTGTAAGCCTGTCTAAATACGATTCACTGGTGCCCCGACATTACCTTAGGTGGAAGATAAGTATTTTTGCAAAGAGGGTAGAGTAAGCTTGGCAGAAATGTGAAAGCCAAATTATCAGAAACTTCGTCATTCCAGAAAATGCGTCTCTCAGCCTCAGCGGCTCTAATAGACCAGCCTCATTTTGAGAAGCTGGCAAAACCAACGTCCCTGTCAAAGTGGACTTTGCCTCCTGCCCTCCACAGATGTGTGCCCATAGCCAGCTGGACCAGCTGTTCCTGGGGAGCTCCTAGGAAACCTGTTTCCACCTCAAGGCGGGTAGGGGGAGGGAGGGTGGGCATGCACTTATGTGCTCAGGGTACCAAAGCCCAGGAGGGAAAATGGCAGCCTGGTTGAAAAGGGGCTGCCAAAAGCCAACATGAGCCTCTGGGCGTGAACCTGCCCTTGAGGCCCTCTTTGCATGTCCGCCTACTGGCTCTGCCCCTAAGAACAGTCAGACTCAAAGAAAGAGGTTAAGCTCGGACCCCTGACCAGGTCACCTGGCCACATTTTTGGTAGCTGGGTTGCCTCAACTTGACAGAGCACCATTCAGAAAGTGCAGTCCACCACAAGAACAGAGAGCCTGGGATCAGGAGGAAAAGCAGCTGGTGGGGGTGGGGAAGGAGTGGGGCCAGGAGCAGAGACTACTGGCTGGTGGGGTCGCATGGGTTCGTTACCCTATCCTCCCCACTTTCAGAGATACTCATACTTTCCATAATAGTGTTTAAAAATTAGGAACGAAAGCAAGCCTGGGACCCAGTTCCAGCCTCCACTGCCACTGCCAGGACTGGTAAAGTCTTACTGTACTCAATACCTGCAAACCTAAGGCGGAAAAGCATTTTTTGTGGAAATCAGAAATCAGTGTTCAATCACCAGAGGAGTCCCACCTCATGAGGTCACAGCTTGATGTATATCCACAAACAACATGCCATGTCACATGTCACCAGAGGCAGGACAGTGCCAGCCCCCCAGAGGCTCCTGGTGGCCCTCCCAGCCACCATCTACCCCGCGGGGACTCACTAGCTTGGCTTCTTGCAGCCTAGTGAATTCTGCCTGTTTTCGAACTTTACATAATAGGGCTCATACAGCATGTACTGTCTCTGCAAGCCCTGCAGGATTTTACAACCCCAAATATTCTAACATGTTTTCTACTTCCTGGTAGGAGCCAACTCCCTGAGGCCAGCCTGCTGTAATCCTGAGAAAATGTTTGTCCTGCTAAATAAACAGCCGCACTCTCCATGGCAACGGTTGGGTAACTGAGGAAAATGTGACCGCAGCCATCCAAATATGGAGGGAAGGAGGTGCACCGGGGAGGCATTGTCTTGGCCTCACTAGGACACCTTCAATGATCTCAATTCAGACTTTTAAATCCCTACATTTTTAGAACTACAAGACTTTAAAGCAAATAAAGGCAAAAGTGTCAGCCTCCTAGCTCCCCGGTGGTCAGGGACTGAGCTACTCCGAATTGCAGGAAGCTCAGGCATCTGCTCCTCCTGTACCTGGTTTCTTAAAGAGTGGATTCTGATTCCTCTATGTCACCCCAGGAAGAGCACGAGGAACCCTTCGAGGCCGGTGAGGGTTCAGCACGGCAGCTCACTCTGTCTTGGGAACTACCAGTCTCTGAAAACCAAGTGGCCTTGACTCCTGTCACCAGTCACTGCTATTCATTTACTGCTTCTAATTTGCTCTAGACTTGGAGATATGGTAACAAACTTGTTACAAATGTGTACACGATGAGCATAATGAGTTGAAAGGAGGGCCTGGTCCCTAGGGGGGAGTGCGTGGGCTGGGGGAGGGGTCCATCAGAGGCCCCCTCTAGACTAATTCTCCCTTGGTTCCCAAGGTGGGCCAGCTTTCCAGAAGTGTGGCGACAGTCTCTGCCAAGCTTATGGAATTGTGTGTTTCTGGCTCCCTCTGCCAAACAGAGTAGTTTTCAAAAGGTAAAAGCACACCCAGAGCCTGTCTTTCTTCTGACTAAACGCCAAGTGGCCCTGCCAGCTGTTCAATGACCTGACAGAGCCGTGGTTTGCCGAGTCCTGGTGAAGTTACATCATCGCTTAAAAACAGCAGTGTGACTACCAGTATTTTTGAGAAAGTTCAGTGGGTACGAGAAGTAGTGCACAGGAGAGGAATCTTTCCTTTTTCCTTGTAAGCACTGCAGACGTGGCTCACAGGAGAACATTACTTGGCCCAAAGGCAAGAGCATATCAGAAGCCTCTGTCTCCTGCGAGAAACCTGGGAAAAATCATCTGTAGGGTAACAGAAAACCAAAAACCTGGGAATTAAAGTAGACCTCTGAGACTGCCCAATCTGAGCCCCTCCAAACAAACAAGGAAACTGAGGCCCAGACTGGGAGCCAGCAGCAGCCAGCTGGCTGACACAGGGCTCCCCCTTCCCACCTGGCACTCCAGTCTCCACAGAAAGCCAGGGCTGCGTTAGTTCTGTACCAATGAATCATACCAAGGCGACAGTGACAGATAACTGCAAACACCCACGGTGCCATCCCCGCGCTGGCACACCACACAGCTTCCACTCAAAAAAAACGGAGTCCCTTTCTTCATTATAGTCATATAGCACACAAAAATCAATTCACCTTGTATTTTAAAACTCAATTTCCAAATAAAGCCTTCAGGTAGAGTCCTGTTTTCTTCTCAGGCACACCCAGCCTGGGACCAGAAGCCCCAGGTGGGGGTAGAGGGTGGGCCAAGAAGTCTAGCAGTCCTGCTGTGCCATATACAGGTGAGAGGCGTCCATGTGGGGCTTTAGCCACCGTGTGGGGTTCTTAACACATTTCCCGGACTTAAGGCCCTTCCTCCCAAATTCCAGCCCACCCAGGATTCAGCACGCAAGTGGAGGCCATCACTGAACCTCTGAAGCTCATCCTGCCCCAGGACGATGGGAAGATCCTGCAGACAGCCTGGGCCTGGGCCTCAGTTTGCTCATCTGTCAGGCTGAGGGGTTACTCTGGGTGATTTTCAGGGTGCCTTCTGGCTCTGTTGTTCTGTATGAATCAGCTTTCCAAACGGGTTCCTTCTGTGTAGGTTACAGAAACCCTGGCAACCAACTCGTCATCCCTTACCCTGGCCTTCCTGAAGGGGGAAGCAGGCCACCTCCCACCCCCTGGTCTATGTCTGGGACTTGGCAGCCAAAGTACATCCCAGAAGGTAGGCGCGACTGCTGCACCAAAGAGTGGACACCCCCATTCCCTTCTATCCAGTCCGGGGAAAGGGAATTAATACAGGGTGGTCCAGGGGAGGCAAAGGGGCGAACATTAGAGGGTCTCCCCGCCCTCAGGTTCCCAGGCCTGGCTTGGCACCGGGACTTCCTTGTCCCTCTGATCACCCATTCCAGGAGACCCGTGGGTGTCCAGGAAAAGCTCCTAGATCAGCGCCCCTCCATGGCCCTTCCCCAGCCCAGGACTTAGCCCTGTGGCCTCAGAAGAGGCAGTCAGCTCCCCGAGGGTCCTCCAGATCCCAGGGCCGGCTGCGCTGACCCTTGGTTTCCTTGGCCTTCCCCATGCGAGGGGAGGGAGGGTTCCCAAAAGAGAATCGCCCACGGAACCGCAGCCCGCGCGCAGTCACTCGGTAGCTCGGTGCCCTACACACGCTGCCTCACCTTTCGGACCTCAGGCTCCTGAGCTGCGAAGCGGGGGTTCGAGTCCCCAACCCTCGGTGTCACCGCAGTTCAAACGAGCGCACCCTGCGCGCGGCTCGACCACTCTCCACCTGGGACAGGGCCAAGGGCACACGCCCCCACGCCGGCGCCGTTTCAAGCCGAGGAGTCCAGCAGCCCAAGGAACTTCCGGCGGCGCCTCCGCTGCCCGAGCCGGCGCTGGGACCCCGACCTGCCCGAGGCCCGCGCGCCGGCGGCGGTTACGTAAGCCGCAGCGGGGCCGCGCCGCGCCACTTACCGCCGGCCGCGCCCGCGTCAGCCCGTCCGCCGGTCCCTCCGCCGACTCGCGGCTCTGTCCGCCCGGCCCCGCGCCCGCCGCCGCCGCCCACAGCTGCACGTATCCCCTCAGCGCCGCCGCCTCCGCCGCGGCCGAGTCGCCGCTGTCACATAGTGGAAAACGTGACCGCGCGCGCCGCGCCCGCCCCCGGCCTCCGCCATTGGCCGCGACTCCGTCTCATCTGCATACATGAGGGGCGGGGCCTACGAACGCCGCGCGCCCATTGGTGGCCGCGCCCGTCGCTCTTTTTACATAAGACGCACATGGAACTCCATGTTCACCTCGTCGGTTCCTCAATGGAGACGCGGCGCGTTCGTGCTACCCGTCGTCCTCCCTAGTGGTCTCATCCACTTCCGGCGTCGGCGCCTTCCATTCACTACGCCCTCAAGCCCGCCAGCTCGGGGAGCGCGGAGTGGCGCGTACCATTGCGGGCGGGGGAGCTGGGCGCGGGGCTCCTGCGCACCTCCGGCCGGCCTGGCAGACCCGGCGCGCCGAAGCCGGACGAGGGAGACCTCCACCTCCGGCCACCGGCCAGAGGCGCGCCCCCAGCGGCCAGGGCCGCGGGAAAGTCCGCGCGGCATGCTTCATTCACGCATTCACATTCATTCATTTACTCATTCACTCACTCATTCATCGCGGGGCCCCGGAGCAGCCCAGGAGAAGGTGGCAGCACCGCCCTGCAGCAGCTCCGGGGGCACGCCCACCCGGGCCTCTGAGGTGCCTGTGGTCGACACTTGTCCCGGCAGCTACCAAGTGACCTTTCTTATTTTTGAGACCACGTGTTGCAATTTTTGGTTCAGGAAATAGAGTCATTGTTACTCTGGGGAGGTACAAAAGAAAGAAATGATGTTGTCCCTGCCCCCAAGCGCATCACTAGGGAGAAAGGACTATCTCATAAAAAGGAAACTTAATCAAATGCTAAATTGGGCGATGTGGGCTATAAATTAACCAGAGCTATCCCCACAGGCTCCGTGAGAAAGGCAGCACTTCCAAGGCGGGTAAGATGGGCCCTGAGAAAGGGACGCCTTACAACGGTGCAAGCCGTAGAGACGCAGGAGCCAGGGGTAGGAGGTTGTCCTGGGAGACAGCGCGGGACCCTGCATCACCTTGTTTCGGTAAGCATTGTGTGGGGCATGTGGAGCCTCTAAACTTCCATTTAAAGTGTCAGGAGAAAGAGTACAATTTCCCCGGGTCTGGGTAGAAGCCTGAGACTTACAGGACAGGAAGGAGCTTTCAGGCTCCCACGCAGCAGGCTCTGAATGTGTAGGCTCTCATGGGGAAGGCGAGACTGTCCAAGAAGCTGGAGCCCGCAGCATCTCTCTTTACTCTTCTTGTTCTTCTTTACCTGGACTCACCTGGGGACCAGGGATGGGACAGAAGGAAAAGTTATGAACCCACATCAGGAATTCCTGAGTGTGATAACTCCTTCTCTTCTACTTGACAAGGTGTGTGTGCAACTTCTCAGATGCAAACCAGGGCAAATACCAAGTTCATCGGGGCAGCCCTTCCCACAGAAGCCCCGGGAGGCCTGCATGCTGTTCACACACTCAGTCAGGTGGCCCCTCCTCCTGTTCCTCTGACATTGACACCTCGACACACTCCCCGCCCCCTCTCCCTAACACATACACACACAAATGCCAAGCAAACCCAGGCCCGGCTGCTGCGCCCTGCACACACCCAAAGGCTCTTTTGTTTCTTCCCTCCCATTGACGTCAATGGGGAGCTCCATTGTTCTGGAAACAAGAGTAAACAGACAGCTCATCCACACCTTACCGAGATTCTTCTTCATGCTTTTGCTGGGTCTTGCTCCATATTCAGCCTGCTACCTGATGTCACATTTCCTCCCTAAATGTAGCCTTTTTTATTTCCACCAATAAATCTGGTAGAAATATATTGAAATCAATTCTTTTAGAAATTATCAAGTGCTTTGGGCTCTAGGACTCTTCAGAATCTCATCTATTTTCAGTGATTCACAGCCAGTTTCTTCTTTCCTATTATTGGAAATTTGTGTACACTCCACAAATACTTGTTGACACCTGAGTGTTGAGGGGCATGCAAAAATACATCTCACTGCATCCCTGCTTGTAAGGAGTTGGTGATGTAGAAGGGGGGAGGAGGCAGATTCAGAGGCAATTTTGTCTAAGTTGTGGTGTGTAGGTCCTGAGGGAATAGGACAGCCATGGACAGAAGCCTCCATCCCAGCTCCAACAGAGGACAGCGCTCAGGGGATGAGCTCCTACAATCAGGCCAAGTGCATGGATGCCATTCTTGCTGAACCAAGATGGTGACAGAGAGAGAGCGCAAATTGGGGCAGTCAGATTGGAGAAGGAAGGGGGATGAACCCTTTCCTAGCCAGCCCACACTGGCCAGCTGTCACCTCCAGCACGGAGCTCAGAGCTCTTGGATAGGGGAATTGCTGTTGGCACTGTGGGAGGCAGGCTGGCTAGGAGACAGCTAGTCCTTTAGTTGGGGGTGGAGGTGGAGTGGTAAGCCAGGGTCCCCACCTACCTTGGGAATGCTGCCAGTGGGAGGAGCTGGCCTCCCAGCTAAAGGCTGCTTGGCCCCTGCTCCACCCACTCCCACCAGCCTGTTTCCACCAGTAAGCCTGGCCCAAGTTGGCCCACCCATCTATGTCTGGGCCTGCCTGTAGGGCCTCTCTGCACCCAGGCCTCCATGCCCTTGCCAGTCCACTCACTGGCCCTCTCATTCACTCATGCACCCAGCCAATTGTTTACTGAGCAACTACTATGTACCAGGCAACTGTGCTGATCACTGCTTCCTCTCATTGTAGGTGGCATGGTTTGCGGGTTGGCTAGCTGGAGGGCCAAAGGACAGGCGGCTAGGAAGAGAATTCCCTCTGCAAATGGAGGAGGTGGTGGCCAGCAAAGTCTCTCTAAAGAGATGGAGGGGACACTGTCAAGCTTTCTGGCCCCCTAGTGCTGGAGCCCCTTTCTTGGGCCTAGGGACATTGGAGATGATAATGCCCAACCCTTACTCTCCAGCCTCCCTTGAACCCAGCGCTGACCTACGGCTGACCCCAGCTTGGCATGGTGGCAGCTCCTGGCAGGGAGACCCTCAGCCAGCTCACAGAGGTGACCTCAAGGGCGCGGGCACCTGTGTCCAGGGTCTCAGGGTGAGACAAGGACAACTTGCCTCTAGTGACCCGAGGGCAGGTGCCTGTCCCTGGACATGAGGTGGTTTGCGGACCGGTATAAAGAAAGTATCTTCCAGCTCTTTGGGAGGCCAAGGTGGGAGGATTTCTTGAACCCAGGAGTTTGAGAACAGCCTGGGCAACATAGTGAGACACTGTCTCTACAAAAAACAAGAAAGCCAGGCATGATGGCATGTTCCTGTGGTCCCAGCCACTTGGGAGGCTGAGGCAGGAGGATCCCTTGAGGCCAGGAGTTCGAGGTTGCAGTGAACTGTGATTGCATCACTGCACTCCAGGCTGGGCAACAGAGCAAGACTGAGATCCTATCTTTTCAAAAAAAGAAGAAGGCATCTTTATCATGCTAGCTACCTACTGAGAAGGCTTTTTGATTTTTAAACTAAATATAGATCCAGGGAGGCTGTTCTTTGTTTAGGGGAGACATGTGGGTGTGATGTGCACACACGTGTTCTCATATGTCTTCCCCAAGGAAGTCACAAGATTGAGCCATCCACGATGGGTGTGCAGTCCCCATCTTTCTTCGCCTCACCCTGGAGAAGAGCCTGGGGAAAGGAGCTTGCTTGGAGCCTGGAATGTAAGCATCCATGTCCCAATGGCTCCTTTGCAAAGGATGCCCTAGAGATCACAGAGCTGGTGGCACAAGCTAGGACCCGCATTTGATGTGGAATAGAATGGTGAGAGTGGGCATCCTTGGCCCGTTCCACCCTGGGGGAGGAAGTGTTCAGTATTTCACCACCAGGTATGATGAGCCTTAGATGTTTGTTTTTTTATAAATGTCCATTGCCATATATTCTAATTCGCTAAGATTTTTGTTTTTCTTTTTTATAGATGTCCATTGCCATATATTCTAATTCGCTAAGATTTTTGTTTGTTTTTCTTTTTCTTTCTCTTTTTTTTTTTTTTTAAGACAGAGTCTCACTCTTTCGCCCAGACTGGAGTGCAGTGGCATGATCTCGGCTCACTGCAACCTCCGCTTCCTGGGTTCAAGAGATTCTCCTGCCTCAGCCTCCTGAGTAGCTTGGATTACAGGCGCACGTAACCACACCCAGCTAATTTTTGTATTTTCAGCAGAGACAGGGTTTCATCATGTTGGTCAGGCTGGTCTCGAACTCCTGACCTCGTGATCCGCCCGCCTCGGCCTCCCAAAGTGCTGGGATTACAGATGTGAGACACCCCTCCCAGCCTTGTTTTGCTTTTTTTTTTTCATCATACATAGGTGCAGTGGGCTTTTAATCCATGGCAATAGTTATTACTTCAAAAATACCTCTCCAAAATACATCTAATCTTTTCTTTTTTGCAGATCTGCAAATAATTTAAATTGCCATAGCTTTGTCTCTGCTATACAATACTCTGTATAGACTTGTTTACTTCATTATTGTATCCTAAGACAAAAAATATAAATGAATAAAATAATTAGTACCTGAAGATTCTGTCTTTTTAATGTTATACATATCCTCTTTATTGCTACAGGAATTCAGTGATTAAATGTGTACCCAACTGACTTCTCTTATTATCAGTTTTGCAAATAAAAGGCATGCTTTTAACCAAAGCCAAGAAAAAATTTGCTATCATGTCACTTGAGAAAGGATTAAAACCTCAAACTTTCTGGTCATTAAGGCCATTAAGAAAAACCAAGGACTTGGGAGGCTGAGGCAGGCAGATCACCTGAGGTCAGGAGTTCGAGACCAGCCTGGCCAACATGGTGAAACTCCGTCTCTACTAAAAATACAAAAATTAGCCGGGCGTGGTGGCACATGTCTATAATCCCAGCTACTCGGGAGGCTAAGGCAGGAGAATTGCTGGAACCCAGGAGGCAGAGGCTGCAGTGAGCCAAGATCATGCCACTGTACTTCAGCCTGGGTGACACAGCAAGACTCTGTCTCAAAAAAAAAAAAAAGAAAGAAAAAGAAAAAAAAGAAAGAAAAACCAAGGATTTCACTGAGACGAAAGCTGTGCCCTTTGGTGGGGAGGGGGTAGCAGTGGGTAGGTGATGCTGTATGGCGCTCCTGGTTTGAGTTGCAGGTCAACTCTCTGCCTCAGGAACTTGTGGACTAATCTGTGGATCAGGTTTTCTGGTCTCAGGCAGCTTGAGTTTCTTTCCAGGGCTTCTGGGCAGCCAGTACCCCTCACTGTCCTGAAGGAGCCCAAGGAGAGGTAACTTGTCAAAAATGCCTGCCCTGTCTGAGCTGATCCCCCCCACACCCAAGGTGATGCCCCCTGTCTGAGGTGATACCCGTGTTCAAGGTGATCCTCCACGTCCGAGGCATCTCTTCCTTCCCAGGTGGAGGGTCTCTCATCGGTCAGGGTGTCATCCTGCTGGCCTTCTGGGCCACGGACCTTACCCGGGCAGGCCCCTGCAGCAGGCTCCCTGGCTCTGTCCCTCTCTGTCTAGTGTGCGTCCTGCAAGGCTGTTGCCTCAGTGTGGTTCTGCCAGCATTCCTGGGGGCGTCACTGAGGGGTAGCCCAGTTGGCACCTCCAACCATGGACATCTTGGAGTCAGGAACGGGGGCCTTGCATGCTCTGGGGACCAACAAGGCCTGCTGTCATTAGGGTCCCTGATCCTGGGTGACACTAACAAGAATGCAGGAGCCCGAGTTTGGGGCTTCACATTCATACTTGAGTATGGCTGTCGGGCCCCCCGTGGCCTGTAAACAAGCTGTGATGGAGCACGTGCTTGCTGTGTTTAGGCATCACGCTTGGCGCTTGGCACACATTCTCTTCTTTCATCCTCACCACTCTATAGGACATGCGCCTGCATTCCATTGTCCCTTTGCAAAAGACATTCTCAACACCACGACGCCAAAGGAATCCTGTGTGTCTGTGTTGTATGTCATCAAGGAGAAACCACCTTTGTCTGCAGAAAGATCTCATGGCTACCCTCACCACCCTGCCCCTATGAAGCCTGAGAACCAGCTGGCTCAGCAGGGAAGGCCGCAAAGTCAGGAGCGACCAAAGTCCAAGCTCCAACGTGCCTCTCGTTCTCCAAACATTCTCCCCACCCAAAAGCTCCTCTGTGACTTGGCGAATGCAGGTGCTCCCTGCGTTCCATTAATATAACTCCGCTCTGAGTCCACAAGGACTCACAGGTGGGGATGGCTGGGGTGCAGGTCCATCTTGGGGATCACCAGCCCACCAGCGATGCCAGCTCACAGTGCCCTCCTTGGGAGGGTGAAGGCTCAGGCCTGTGCACCTGCCTTGCCCTCTGCCTGCAACAAGCACTGCTTCTGTGGCTCACAGAGTGTTTCCTTTGGTGTTTGGGTGTCTGTTTTCTCCTGCTGGCTTCTCCCTGGTGCCCAACATGGAAAAACATCACTTGTCCCTAAACGGAGTCTTGTTGGTTGGAAGCAACAAAGTTGTTGTTGTTGTTGTTGTTCTTCTTCTTCTTTCTTGTTCTTCTTCTCCTTCTCCTTCTTTCTTCTTCTTCTCCTTCTTCTTCTTCTTTCTCCTTCTCCTTCTCCTTCTTCTTCTTCTTCCTCTCTTTCTCCTCCTTCTCCTTCCCCTCCTTCTTCTACTTCTTCTCTTTCTCCTCCTTCTTCTTCTTCTTTTAGAGATGAGGTCTTGCTGGAGTGCATTGGTGCAATCATAGCTCAGTGAAGCCTCAAGTCCCTGGCCTCAAATCGTCCCCCTGCCTCAGCGTCCCAAAGCTCTGGGATTACAGGCATGAGACAGGCAAAGGGGTCTGATTGGGTTACCTCAGGGTGGAGGCATCCCCTCGAGCGGTGAGTGACCGCTTTCCTGGCTGAGGGCAGAGGCAGGAGCCCGAGTGACTTAGACCTGCGACGGCAGTGATTGTGGGGCCTGAACTGTGGTGGTTCCATTGTGAAGAGCAGCTGGGAGCGAAGACTGCCCGTGTACTCATCTTCTCGCTCCTCCTCAACAGATGGAGTCCTGCGATGAGGAGGAAGGGAAATTGGGAGACACCCTACCCACTCCCCAGGCCACCACTGAAGCTGGGGAGCTTTGCTACAGGGAGGAAGCCATGTGTAGGTGGACTGTTGGGGTGCACAGAGGAAAAACGGGCTCCCTCTGGCCCTGCTGCCACCCACACCCGGGGAACTCTTTGCAAGCACGGATGGTTTGTTTGCATGATGAGGGGTGACACGTGCTGCTGAATGAAGCAAATGGTAGGTCAGGGGATCCACACAGCCCTCCTGCTGCAGAGTCAGTCGTGTGCCCTCCTGCTGCAGAGTCAGTCGTGTGCCCTCCTGCTGCAGAGTCAGTCGTGTGCCCTCCTGCTGCAGAGTCAGTCGTGTGCCCTCCTGCTGCAGAGTCAGTCGTGTGCCCTCCTGCTGCAGAGTCAGTCGTGTGCCCTCCTGCTGCAGAGTCAGTCGTGTGCCCTCCTGCTGCAGAGTCAGTCGTGTGCCCTCCTGCTGCAGAGTCAGTCGTGTGCCCTCCTGCTGCAGAGTCAGTCGTGTGCCCTCCTGCTGCAGAGTCAGTCGTGTGCCCTCCTGCTGCAGAGTCAGTCGTGTGCCCTCCTGCTGCAGAGTCAGTCGTGTGCCCTCCTGCTGCAGAGTCAGTCGTGTGCCCTCCTGCTGCAGAGTCAGTCGTGTGCCCTCCTGCTGCAGAGTCAGTCGTGTGCCCTCCTGCTGCAGAGTCAGTCGTGTGCCCTCCTGCTGCAGAGTCAGTCGTGTGCCCTCCTGCTGCAGAGTCAGTCGTGTGCCCTCCTGCTGCAGAGTCAGTCGTGTGCCCTCCTGCTGCAGAGTCAGTCGTGTGCCCTCCTGCTGCAGAGTCAGTCGTGTGCCCTCCTGCTGCAGAGTCAGTCGTGTGCCCTCCTGCTGCAGAGTCAGTCGTGTGCCCTCCTGCTGCAGAGTCAGTCGTGTGCCCTCCTGCTGCAGAGTCAGTTGTGTGCCCTGTGACCACGGACACGGGCAGACATTCCCGGGCACTTCTCGCAGTGGGTGCTTGATGACCACGGTGTGGCGGCCCCAGGGGGGGTTCCCTGAGACCTTGAGCATAAACCCAGGCATCCCCACCAAGGCTGCAGCCACCGTGGAAGAGCTTGCTGGGCTCACGTGGTTGATGAGAACGCAGAGAGAATCCCTGCCAGCACCACGCTCTGGGCTCAGAAAGTGCTGAGCGGTTCATGGCAGGCAGGGCCCTCCTCGCGGGGGACATCTTCAGCTCGATTCCTCTGGGCACTGCCGGGCTGGAGCAGTTTTTCCAGGCTGGTGTGTGACTGGCCTCAAAGGAAGAGTCACAAATAACCCCCAAAAGGGGTTCAGATCTCTACTTGAGACAGGAACGAGGAGCAAAGAACAGGGAGGACCTGAGGCTGCACTGCCAATGCAGACCTTCCACCACATCCACCCCGCACATCCACCCCCCACGCTCTGCGGCTGGCCAAACCCTAAACCAAAGAAGGCGAGAGGACCAGGAGAAATGACAAAGGAAAGGGGCTCTCGGGAGGAAAGGCATTGTATGGAGAAGGTGCTGGAAGAATAGTGTGAAAACTGGAGAAGCTATCAAGAGGAGGAGCACAGGCAGGAGCCTGGGGCCAGGAGTCCCCCAGGCAGGGAGCTTTGAGACCAGAGCCTTGCATTGTCACCTCCTGGTCCACCCGGCAGGGCCTCTGAATCCTCTGAGAAGGGACTCAGAGAGTGAGTGAAGACACGATTGAAATGAGATTCCTAAAGAGCACTCTTGTAACGCTAGGGTCCACCCTGTGAGGTTCGCCTGGATCTGGGCTTCCCCACACCCTGTTTGAGTCTTTCAAACCACAGGAAGATGAGGAATGGGACCCTGTTCCCCGAGCTCCCTGCAGGGCAGTGGCAGACTGTGTGCCCTGGACCACATATGCTGGAAACAGAAGGGGGCCCAGATAGTCCCGGGCTTGCTAGACACGGTAGCCTGGGTGGCTGTCACTGCTGGCCCAAGAAAGGCCACTGCCATAGGTGCTGCCAGGGCTCTTCCCAAAACCTTTCAGTGGGAGGCAGGAGAGAGCCAGTGGATAATACCCTTACCCTTTGCCCTCTGTTGGGCCAAAATCCAAGGCATGGTTTCCCAATGGACCAGGGCATTGGCGTTCACAAGCTGCATGAGGACATGCCGCGTGTCTGGCTTGCCTCGTGTGGCTCATCAGGAAGCAGCAGCCAGCATGGGGATGCCTCACCTTGCCTTTTCTTCCTTTTTTCTCCACTCTCCCTGCCCTGGGATTGTGCCTCCCAATAAAGCTTTTGTTCTTTTTTTTTTTTTTTTTGTGATACGGAGTCTCGCTCTGTCCCCCAGGCTCTAGAGTGCAGTGGCATGATCTCGGCTCACTGCAAGCTCCGCCTCCCGGGTTCACCCCATTCTCCTGCCTCAGCCTCCAGAGTAGCTGGGACTACAGGCGCCCGCCACCACGCCCGGCTAATTTTTTGTATTTTTAGTAGAGATGGGGTTTCACCGTGTTAGCCAGGATGGTCTCGATCTCCTGACCTCGTGATCTGCCTGACTCATCCCCCCAGAGTGCTGGGATTACAGGCGTGAGCCACCGCGCCCGGCCAAAGCTTTTGTTCTTAAGCCTGTTCCCTGGCTCTGTTTTCTAGGGAACCTAAACTAAGACACTGGATACTGAAAATGGTTTGACAAAGCCGACCCTCACTCAAGGCTTCACGTTGGAATCTATCTTCCCACCTGTTTCAGAGTCACAGGGTCTCCATACCTCT
Organism: Homo sapiens; assembly: GCF_000001405.40. NCBI lineage: Eukaryota > Metazoa > Chordata > Mammalia > Primates > Hominidae > Homo > Homo sapiens. Next base: position 238,298,497 of record NC_000002.12, read on the forward strand.
GGTAAGTGGGATTGTAATGACCAGGGGTCAGCAAACTATGGCCTGTTCTTCCATGGCTTGTGGGCTAGAGGGAAAGGGAGGGGGAAAAGTCAGAGAATACGCTGCAGATATCACACGAGGCCCACAAAGCCTGAATTACTTACTATCTGTCCTTTTACAGAAAAAGTTTGCTGACCGCTGGTGACCGTTCATCACACAGTGGCGTTATGATTACTGGAGTTTTCACCTGTGGTCAGTTATGATGGGTGCAGCCAGAGAGCAAGGCATTGGGTGGTGCTTCCTGAGTGGGAGACAATGATAATGATCATGATTATGCAGAAGGGTGGTGCCTTCTTATGTTGGAGCTGAACACTCAGAAGAAAGGAAACGGTGGGCTTGGGAGAGTTCCTTGCCAACCTAAGACAAACTTTGAATGCCCAAGGGCCTCACTGGCAGCTCAGGAGATTTACATCTCCTACAGCCACTGGGTAGGAGAAATCACTGTTGCAAATCGGCCAGGCACAGTGGCTCACGCCTGTAATCCCAGCACTTTGGGAGGCCAAGGCAGAGGGATTACCTGAGGTCAGGAGTTCGAGACCAGCCTGGCCAACATAGTGAAAATTAAAAATTAGCCATCTCTACTAAAAATACAAAAATTAGCCGGCCGTGGCAGCGTGCGCCTATAATCCCAGCTACTCGGGAGGCTGAGGCAGGAGAATCGCTTGAACGCGGGAGGCAGAGGTTGCAGTGAGCCAAAAAGAAAAAAGAAAATCAGACCTCGAGGCTGGGCGCAGTGGCTCACATCTGTAATCCCAGCACTTTGGGAGGCCGATGGGGGCAGATCACTTGAGGTCAGGAGTTCGAGACCAGCCTGGCTAACATGGGCAAAATCCCCCTCTCTACTAAAAATACAAAAGCTAGCCAGGCGTGGTAGTGCGTGCTTGTAATCCCAGCTACTCGGGACGCTGAGGCAGGAGAATCGCTTGAACCCAGGGGGCGGAGGTTGCAGTGAGTCGAGATCACGCCACTGCACTCCAGCCTGGGCAACAAAGTGAGACTCCGTCTCAAAAAAAAAGAAAAAAAAGAAAAGAAGACCTCAAATTTGATAAGGGTTGAAGGCTACAAACGAGACTAAAGTCACAGCCTTGACAGGCCTGCTGCATCAGTCAGGAGCCAGATAGTGAATGGTCCTGAGACCATGGCTATGGACAATTGAGTAGATAAGCTGAGAATCTCAAACCCCCAAATTCTCAGAAGCCTCCAAGCCAACAGAAGCAAATACTTCCTCCTTGCCGGAGAACAGGTTGTTCTTACGGAATACCTTACCTGTGGTAGGTGTCCTGCAAGGTGTTTGTTCTCAAGACCTGCCCTCACCACTGCTCCTTGATGCCAACATCCAGGGGCAGGCTTCACCGTAGCTAGAGCAGAGAGGCATATGCTCAGCTCTGGTCAGAACTGTCCTGTTCTCCAAAGGAATTGCAAAGCTAATGTGTGCCAGCAGGAGCTGAAGGAACACAGGTGACGCTGGTTCTTCGCAGTGTGGTGGCGAAGGAGCATAACGCTAGATGGGTGGCTGGAGAAGAATTCGTTGGCACAGGGGCAGTCATCTGTGATTTAAAACTCGATGCTTTGGCAAGGACACCAGGAACTGATTCCAATCATTTGTTGGGCTGACTCCAGTGGTGTGCTAGTTAATGTGTAACAGTTGGCTCTCTGGAAAAATAAAAAAAAAGAAAGAAAAAATATGTAGCATTTATCTATTTCTGTGACACAGATACGCCCACATGGCCAATTTCAAGCTCCCACCATGACCCCCAGTGAAAGTGGTGATGCATGTAGGGCCACATGCATGGAGGGAAGAAGCCTGCCCTGCTTGCCCTGGGTTCAGGCCAACGTGGCCAACCTAAGCGATTCCTTAGAAAATAGAGTTTTGATCTGCCCAGTTACAAGGAGAAATGGAGCTCCCAAAGTTCGACATCTAGAAGACTATTTTTCTAAACTCTTTGTTAGAGGATTTTAAAAGGGGCTGTTCTTACCAAATCTCAATAAAGTGTCCATTGTAAGATATTTCTCAAGGTTATTAAGGCTTCTTATAAACTCCTTTTGCTATAAGTCAGTTCATGTTGGAAGCCAGCCGCAAAAATGATAATTTTGGATTTGTAATCATTGCCATTGAGACATTGTTTGTGGTAGGGACTGGCCTTTCTGTGTTAAGCCACTCCTCCTCTTCGTGGCCTTAAAATCTACCATCAATACAAAGGAGGCTGTTGTCTGCTGAGTGAGGGCCTGGGTAGGGCAGCGTAGCTCTCCCACATATTGATGTAAATCATTAGGGTTCCAGTGGAAGATGCAGGTTCTGTCTGAGTGAGGAGAGCCAGAAGTCCGGGCTGACCTCAGCATTTTAGTCCCCAACTTATTCCAACTCTTGAGGTCAAAGGCCAAGAGGAGGTCCCAGGAAATCTGGGAAGAGTTTGCAGTGTTCCCAATTGTTTCCTGGATGCAGGAAGGGTGAGCGTTGTCAGCCATGGACTTGGTGGGCATGAGACCCTGCTGATCTTTGTGCCTCATGTTGGCCTGAGAAACCAAGATTTGCAATTTGGTTTGAAAAATATGAACTTACCAGCCAGGCACGGTGGCTCACGCCTGTAATCCCAGCACTTTCAGAGGCTGAGGTGGGCGGGTCACCTGGGGTCAGGAGTTCGAGAATAGCCTGGCTAACATGGTGAAACACCATGTCTACTAAAAATACAAAAAATTAGCCGGGCGTGGTGGTGCACACCTGTAATCCCAGCTACTTGGGAGGCTGAGGCAGGAGAATCACTTGAACTCGGGAGGCGGAGGTTGCAGTGAGCCAAGGTCGCGCCATTGCACTGCAGCTTGGGCAATAACAGTGAAACTCTGTCTTAAAAAAAAATGAACTTACCTTATAGAGGAGGTGTATGAATTAACAGATAGGTTTTTAGGGGTGTGCCTTCATGTCAGTGTATATCTGGAAGAAAAACCTGAAGGAATGCCCAAATTTTCATAGTGCTTTCCTCTGGGTGGTAGAATATGGGTGACATTAGTTTTCCTCTTTATATATTTCAGTATCCTTCATATTCTATAATAAGCATTTACAATAATTTACATAAATTATAAATTATATGTAATATACTTTATTATAAGCATTTGATAATTAGAAAGCATAAATATAGTAATGCTATAGACTATTAAATATAAAATAAGAAACCTATTTTGAGCAGGATATTTGGCTTAAAATGGCTTGCTTTGTTAATAGAGATGGAGAACCTGCATAGTAAAAAGCAAAAGCATTAAATTTTTTGTATTGTGAAGTTATTTTTATTTGACTTCTATTCATTTCCAATCTTTGTCTTCAGTAATTAGATATGAGTTTCATGCTATTTTGAACAACTGTTGCTGGAGGTTTACCAAGCTTATGTTTATCATCCAAACCTCTGTAGAGATTATAAACAAATAAAGTAGTCTATAGAGCAAAATTCAGATGATGAAAACAAATAAACCACAGAAAGCAATTCAACAGATACAGACCAGGAATGACTGTGAGGGCAACAAATAGCTAACATAGGAGCTGTGAGCACTCAGATGGGATTGAAGATATTCAATATTTGAGGGCTTTTCAGTCAAATCGGCACAAAAATGCTACAGAAAAGTAAAACATAAAATAATGGGCATGGGCATATCTGTGAAGCAAAAGAAGGCAGAGGTGGCAATGTTGCTAAAAGACAAAGCAAAACATGTGCTTTTCTCGGCCAATATCCTATTCTGACAGCCATAGGAAAGAATGTGCCAATGGAAAGCCCCAGAAGGGGAAATGTAAAAGTGTCTATTTCCATTGGGGTGGAAGGAGGAATGTGTCTTCCTTGCTTGTTTTCTCAGCTCTCCACATGGTCTTCCTGCTTTGCTCAGGTGGACTCCCGTGTTCTTTCTCACTTGGATTAAAAACAATAACAACAACAACTTTTTTTTTTTTTTTTTGAGATGGAGTCTTGCTCTGCTGCCAGGTTGGAGTGCAGTGGCATGATCTCAGCTCACTGCAACCTCCACCTCCCGGGTTCAAGTGATTCTCCTGCCTCAGCCTCTCAAATAGCTGGGACTACAGGTGTGTGCCAGCACATCCAGCTAATTTTTGTAGTTTTAGTAGAGACGGGGTTTCACTATGTTGGCCAGGATGGTCTTGATCTCTTGACCTGCCCACCTCGGCCTCCCAAAGTGCTGGGATTACAGGCGTGAGCCACTGCACCCGGTCACAACAACTTTCTAGGAGTGTCTGCTTAAAGGCCATGTATCTCTGAGATGTGGCGGTGAGGGTCTTCCCAGAACCGTTGGGGCAGTGTGTGGAGGGGTGGAGGGGTCCCTGCTCCTGCTCAGGACTCTGGATGTCGCCCCCAGCCAGGTCACTGTGCCCTTTGGGGCAAGCACTTGTTCAGGTGGTTTGGGCCCTTCCTCCTCTGATGCCCAGAGGCGCCCAGGTTTGAATGTGGGGCTGCCCTACCAGAGCTCATGTTTTCCTATTGATGAAGATGAGGCTGGGCCCTGTGTGTCACCCGGTGCAGACACTGAGTCCTGCCACCAGGACGTCCATCTGTGCTGGACTCATTAGAGTCCTGGCCCTCATGGGATGAGAAACGACGTCCCCTGTCCCCAGCGTTCACTTCCTGCGTCCCCAGCATTCACTTCCTGCTAGCACCTGAGACCAGCGACTTGGGTCTCATGGTGCCTCCCACTCCGGTTTTCCAGCTCCCATTCTTCTTTGTCGTCTCCATGCGCCCGCTCAGGACTCCTGAGTTCTCGAAAACTCAAAACTCATCACACAACTGTCCCTCCCAGGCAACTTTTGATGGCATCCCATGACAGGGATAGTGGAGGCTTTTTTATTTCTAGGAATTAAGTTCTTGTCATCTTGGGCTACAGGTTTAGGGCTTCTCCCCAAGGCAGTTCGGAACTCACTCAAAGTAAGAATCATTTCCCCCTTCTCCCAAGGATGCACTTCACCTGATCCTGTCCAAGGCTTCTCATGGTTGTTTTTACTCTTTTCTCCCCATTTCTCCTCCCTCTCCCCAATATTCAGGACATAAAGGTTTCAGGCCATATTTATCTAACTCCAGAGATGACTTTCCTTTAGGACATCTTATGTCGGCCAACAGAGTGCAGTGGCGTTTGCTGCCTCATCTGAGGAGGGCTCCCTGCAGACCTGTGGGCGGAGCTTCTCCTACTGGGAATTGCCCCTCCAGGGCATTGGAGGGGAGGCCAAGGCCTATGACACCCAGAAAAGCCGTTTCTAGCCCTGGCAGCTCTGTACCAACAGCTGCATGGCCCAGTGTGGGGGGTGTGTGTGTGTGTGTGTGTGTGTGTGTGTGTGTGTGCTATCAGCAGGGACCAGCGTCTTTCACTGGCATCAAAAGACTGACCCATTTTCAGCAACAATATTTTTGCAGCCGACGAAGCCTTTGTTAGGTTTGTATAGGCGACCAGTTGAGCCGGGTTTGTGTTTTAGAGAAGTGGTGAAGTCTTAGCAGGTGGGAAGGAAGCTCGGCCATGGCTCTCCAGTGAACTCCCCCGTCCTTTCTTCCTGGAAAATTTCCAGGACCCCATCTGAAGCGTCCCCTCCCAGGACTGACTCTGGTTTGTCTCTTTGCTGGGTTAGGTAGGAGGAAGGCTAGTGGGATGACCATAGCTGATTTTTGTCATCTACTGCTCAGTCTGGATTCCCCACTTCCTCTGCTAGCACCTCTGCTGCGCTTGGGCACCCACCTGGCAGGAGGACACAAACCCTCATCCCAGCCACTACACGCTCTTCAGGCTGCAACTGCTGTGCTTGTCCATTTCCCACCAAAACTGGGCAGGAGCGTGCCAAGTGATGCCCCAGAAGCCAGCTGTGTGCCAGGGTGATTCTCCTCCACCCCGGTTCCAGCAGCCCTTCCTGCTCTTGAGGATCAGAGCCAGTCACCCCTGCTGGGACACCGACTCCTTTCCTTGCTTGCTCGTCTTTTGGCACAGAGCCTGAGTGACCAGTGACAGCCATCGCTTATTGTCCACTGGATCCCCTGGTGGCAGTGTTCCCCCTCTAGAGAACAGGCCTCTAGACCTGCAAAGCACAACATGGAGGGGACGAGAAGTTCAAATTCACCAACTGGATCCCTGGAGGTCATGGTTGGGGGCTGTTCCTGCTTCTGCTCCTGGGTTCCCAGACCCATGCCTTTCATCAGCTGGAGACAGCAATTTATGATGGTCACTGATTTAGGGTATATTTTGTGTCTTAAAGGATGGAATCCCATCCTCAAAGGGTATTTTCTCCTCAGCAGAGCTAACAAGAGGACCACTCCATCACTCACCCAGATTGGCAGCATCTGAACGGCATGGTAAGGAATGGGCCCAGTGGAGCCCACGGTCATGTACCCAACACCATAGATCCTTTGCTGTAAAGTGAGTCTTTTTGGTCCAAAGCAATGTTATGTGGTATTCTATATCCATCGATCAAACATTTTATAAACCTCCAGATAGTGTTCGTAAGGGCAGGAAAGACAAATCCACACTTGGGATATCCAAATCCACACTTTGGGTCAGTCAAAATGAATCACTGCCTCACCTTTAGGGCAATATAATTGAGTTTAAGTCCAATGTAATCAACCTTCCACCTAGTGGCCAGTTGAGTTCCTCCCGGTGGCACTCTGCTGGGAGCTCAGCTTTGGTGTCTTGCTGTTAAGCTGGATGTTTAGCAGTTGCTGGAACTAACTCAGCCTTGGCGAGTTGGAGGCCATACTGTCAGGCCCACACCATCCTGCAACCCTGCCACCACTGCTACTCACTGAATGGCCTATGACAGAGGCAGGCTGACTCCGAACGGCCAAAGCATCTTCCTACATGGCTGCTGGGTGCCTTTTCCATGGTGGTGCTCTCTGGTGGCTGTTAGCAGGGATACAGAGACCTTCACATGCCTGTCCACTCCCATGGTCCTAGCTGCATGCATGACCCTTCCACTAAACTCCTGGTCCCCAACCTTTGAATTTTCCAGGCCCAGAGCAGCAACAGCCGTCTTTTGCCGCTGTCCATGGGTCTGAACATATTCTTATGCCAAGCCACTTCTCTTTCTACACAAAATGGAGAGCTACGTGTACTGCCTAAGCATGGTGGGCAGAACGGTGGGCCCCCACACACGCCCATGTCTGGAACCTGTACATCTGTTTTGGTACAGGGTAAAAGGGACTTTGCAGATGTCATTACATTGAGGATCTTGAGATGGGAACATTATCCTGGATTATCTGGGTGGCCCAATGTAATCATAAATGTCCTTATAAGTGAAAGAGGGAGGCCGGGTGTGGTGGCTCACGCCTGTAACCCTAGCACTTTCAGAGGCTGAGGCGGGTGGATCACCTGAGGTCAGGAGTTCGAGACCAGCCTGACCAACATGGTGAAACCCTCTCTCTACTAAAAATACAAAAAAAATTAGCTGGGCCTGGTGGCGGGCACCTGTAATCCCAGCTGCTCGGGAGGCTGAGGCAAGAGAATCACTTGAACCCAGGAGGTGGAGGTTGCAGTGAGCCAAGATCGCACAATCGCACTCCAGCCTGGGCAACAGAGCGAAATTCCATCTCAAAAAAAAAAAAAAAAAAAAAAGTGGAAGAGGGAGCCAGGAGGGCCAAAGTCCGAGAAGAAGGCGTGGCCATAGAAACAGACGTTAAAATGATGTCGTTTCTGGAAAGGGTGCATGAGCCAGAGAATGCAGGTAGCTTCTAGAAGCTGAAAAAGGAGAAGAAATGGATTCTCCCCTAGAGCCTCCAGAAGGATTACAGCCCTGACCACACCTTGACTTCAGCCCAGTAACACCCAGTTTCAGCTCTGACCTCCAGAATTGTAAGAGATTCCATTTGTGTTGTTTTAAACTCCCAAGTTTTTGGAAATTGGTTACAGCAGCAACAATGAACTAATACACCAAGTTTCTGTCCATGGGGAGATTGGGAGAGGCAGTCTGTCAGCACTGCCTTTCAGGGAGGCCCCGGAGTGAGGCTGCAGTGCAGCAGCTATCTATTTTTAGGCATTTTTTGCATCCCACACTGAGCCAACCCATGCATGAACCAAGCTCGGCCTATTTCTTCCTCCACTAGGTGGTCATAAGTGACACCGCCACCCAACACAGCAGTGATGAAGGTGAGGGACCTCCAGTGGTGCAACAGAGGCAGATGATAGGAGGGTCTTGTGCAGTTTATCTGTGGCTCTGGCCCTGCATAAGCCCAGTGCTGGATGTGCCCTTTCATCTTATCATAGATTTCTGTCGAGCATGCCTGACCTATGCCCTGGAGGCCCTGGCAGAGCCCGGCTCAAGGCAGGCAGCTCTAGTGGTGTGATCACCGCTTGGTGTCTTCCGCTCTGCTAGGGTGCAGAGGCATACCAGCATCTGTCTTCCTTTGCTGCAGATAGCGTGGCCTTACTCCAGAACCCCCAGGGTCCAGGTTGTGATTCTCCCACTGGGGGTTTGCCATGAAGTTATCACACACTCAGAGATTTAAAGCAACAAGGCATCTTTTCCACCATAGGTATCTCTAGAACCATAGCATCTTCCAGATCATTTGGCCTAATTTGCTGGATTGCTAGCACCATAGCCTGTGCCCACTGCAGCGTTCTTCCCCATGCTGGCAGCCTTTCACACCACCTGGTAAATGTGACCACGCAGTATTCCCAAGTGTGGCACGTGCTGCCTCCAGAACCCACAGAGGCGACCAGTCCTCGTGGTCCTTCTTAGTGGTGGGAAGTACACAATGTAGTCCTTCCTTCACTGTGGAGATGCCTGTTAAGCTCCAACCACTGGGCCCCTAAAAACTTCACCGATGCAGCAGACGCCTGGAACTTCACAGGGTTTCTCTCCCACCCTCTGCAGCACACGCACCTTAATAAGGCCTCTGAGGTTTCTCCTCGTCAATCTGGTCATCCAGTTTAATTAATAGGATATCAGTATACTGAACCAGTGCAGCATTGTGCAGAGTGTCTGGTCCATCCAGACTATATTAGGAAAGAGGGAAAAGAGTTAATATGGCCCTGGGGTGAGACAATCAGTGTGTATTCTTCTTCTTCTTCTTCTTTTTTGTTTTCTTAAGACGGAGTCTCAATCTGTTGCCCAGGCTGGAGTGCAGTGGTGCAATCTCGGCTCACTGCAACCTCCACCTCCCAGGTTCAAGCGATTCTCCTGCCTCGGCCTCCTGAATAGCTGGGATTACAAGCGCCCACCGCACCCGGCTAATTTTGTGTATTTTTAGTAGAGATGGGGTTTCACCATGTTGGCCAGGCTGGTCTCAAACTCATGACCTCAGGTGATCTGATGATCTGCCCACCTCAGATCCAAAGTGCTGGGATTATTGGTGTGAGCCACCGTGCCCAGCCAATGTGTACTCTTATCCATCCTAAATGAATGTAAGCGGCTTCTGGTTCTCCTCTTAAGTAGGGATGGAAATGAATGTATTGGCTTCCTACCATGGACTTGAGATTGTGTTGACCTGCTATAGCAAAGATACCACAATTGGGGCTCCTATTTGTTTGGGTTTGCAGTATTCCACTGTCAATCCCCAGGATCCATGTGGTTTTTGCAGGGGTTTGGCTAATTAAATGACTCTATAATGGGGAGAAAGTATACCTGCATCCTTCAGGTTTTAACAGTGGAATCTATTCGTCCCTTATAATTGCTGTAACTCTCTTCAGCATGCAATATTGGTTTTTATTTACTGTCTTGGCTGGGGGAGGGGCAGTGTCAGGGATTCCCACTCAGCTTCCCAGGTCTATAGCTCTTATTCCACAATCCCAAGTATCTGGCCAACATGGGGTTACCCCATATGCCAAGTGTGTCCACTTCAATCATTGCATTTGAGGGCTCGGGAAATGACCACCAGGTGGCTCCATGGACCCTGTGGACCTACCAAAATCCAAAGTGGGGCTAGGGCTCTATCACCTGACCCCGTATGCCCTCCCTTTAACAGGAGTCAAGATGATGCTCCATGTCCCCAGGATTCTGTGTGCAATAGTCCTTGAAATGGTTCTGTATTCCCCCTCCCTGTGTATAGTTACTTGAATGAGTGGCCTTAGGTTTCTTTGGGGAAGGACTGTGGGGGAGATTTTGGCTCCCTGCACCGGCAGTGATGTTGGGAACCTGGCCTTTCAATGAGTTCTAGGTCCAAAACCAGGCAAGGGATTGTAGCGGGGGACTGGGGCAGCCACTCTCAGCCTCCTGCTCATCCATGTTTGATTTATTTTAGTTTCGAAAGCTCGGCCACACCCTTGCTGACTGCTCATTCCCCTGGTCCCTAGGAACATTTTGTTGTATTATCCGGCCGCATAGCTCTCTGCATGTCAGGTCTTCCTGGCTACCACTCTGACCTTGCCACTCTTGGCTATAAAAACCAATATTACATGCCAAATATTGTCACTTTGGTAAATGAAGTGACCTCCGAGCCCTCTCACAGGACACAGTGGGCTGGTAGGTTTGCTGGCCCAACATCACGTATGTGCTCTAGTAGGCTCATTTCCCTACCATCCTCCATGGTGGGGCTGGAAGTTTTCCTTCACTTAGTGAAGGCCATAGCTCTTTGCAGGTGTCCAAGAGCCATTCTAACAGCCCATTAGCACTGTCTCCCTGGGACCCAGCCAGGGTCACAAGCTTCTATCACGGAAAGTCCTCCCACATTCATCAACTCTTGTCTTATCCGTCTTTATATTCTGTCCCCTGCTGGGTCCAGCACTCTTGGGATGCAGTCCTGGATGTGCTCTCCTGGATCTTGCTGGTCCATGCTAGGCAGATCCTGCAGTTCCTTCGGAATAGAGTCCCTCCCTCCCTTAGCAGGCCAGCATGTCCTAGCTAGGTTATGTTGTTGTTTGACCCTCATGATTGGTCTGGTGTCAGGAGGGGGATATTGGCATAGATCCTGAAAAACGCATGCATTGTCTTGCAAGGCAGACATCTCTCTCTCTCTCTCCCCCCGCCCCCCAACTATAACACACACATTCTCTCTATATAAAACACTTCAAGAAAGGGGGTGCTAGCCTTTAACAGGAGCAGTGGGCCTCCTCTGTAGGTCCAGATGATTCAGGAGAATCTGGGGATTCTAGTTTGTTTGTTTGTTTGTTTGTTTGTTTTTGAGACAGTGGTCTCTCACGCCCACCCTGGGGGCTTCAGTTGAGCCGGTCAGTGGTGATTCAGCTCCGAAATCTCAATTTAGGGTCCATTTCCTCTGACCACTTCTGAGAGCAACTCTCTTGGGTAGAGATCTCTGGGAAACTGGGTTTGCACCCCCAACTCCATCAGCCCTTGAATGCGGGTGCCCATAGGGAGCAGGAGGCACAGTAGGCCCCTTTGGCTAAGTCTCCCCAGAAGGGAACCTGGCTGTGAGCCCACAGGGATCACTGCTTCTGGCAGCTGGGGCAGTGTGGGCCTCAGCCCTGAGTGGCACAGCACCCACCACAGGGCCAAGGCAGCCATAGCTGAGAGGGCCACGCCTTTTTTTTTTTGAGACGGAGTCTCGCTCTGTCACCCAGGCTGGAGTGCAGTGGCATGATCTCAGCTCACTGCAAGCTCCGCCTCCCGGGTTCATGCCCTTCTCCTGCCTCAGCCTCCTGCGTAGCTGGGACTACAAGCGCCCGCCACCACACCCGTCTAATTTTTTGTATTTTTAGTAGAGATGCGGTTTCACCGTGTTAGCCAGGATGGTCTCGATCTCCTGACCGCGTGATCTGCCCGCCTCGTCCCCCAAGAGTGCTGGGATTACAGGCGTAAGCCACTGCGCCTGGCCAGGTTTTGTTTCTGGCGCCCGGCTGCGCCACTCCTTTTTAAAGACTTCCTCCTTCCTCCTTCAGGCACCCACACGTTCATGCAGCCAGTATTCATGGGGTGCCCTGAGGAGACATATGGACCCTGTCCCAGCCTTCCTGGACCTTGTGCACTAGCTGGGGAAAGTCATGCCCTTGTTTAAGCATGGGCCAGGGGGAGCTGGACAGCACCGCCGGAGCTTGGAGGAGGACTCCTGGGGTCAGTGGGAGTCAACTGCAGGCTTTCAGGGAGTGGCAGGTGGGATATTTCAGGTTGGAGGGCTCAGTCAATTTACCTTCAACAAAAGTGCCAAGAGGCCAGAGGTAGTGGCTCACACCTGTAATTTTGGTATTTTAGGAGGCTGAGGTGGGAGGATAGCTTGACCCCAGGAGTTCAAGAGCAGCTTAGACAATATAGCAACATCCTATCTCTACAAAAAAAAATAAAAATTAGCTGATGGCCGGGCGCAGTGGCTCACGCTTGTAATCCCAGCATTTTGGGAGGCTGAGGCAGGTGGATCATTTGAGGTCAGGAGTTTGAGACCAGCTTGACCAATGTGGCGAAACCCCATCTCTACGAAAAACACAAAAAAATTAGCCGAGCGTGGTGGCACATGCCTGTAGTCCCAGCTACTCGGGGACGCTGAGGCAGGAGAATCGCTTGAACCCAGGAAGTGGAGGTTGCAGTGAGCCGAGATCGCACTACTGCACTCCAGCCTGTGCAACAGAGCGAGACTTCATCTCAAAAACAAACAGACAAAAAATTAGCTGAGCATGGTGGCACACGCCTGTAATCCCAGCTACTTCAGAGGCTGAGGTAGGAGGATTGCTTGAGCCCAGGAACTTGGGGTTACAGTGAACTATGGTTGTGTCATTGCACTCCAGTCTTGGACGCAGGGCAAGTGACACTCTGCCTCAAAAAAAAAAAATGCCAAGAACACACATTGGGGAAATGATGATTTCTTCAATAAACGGTGTTGGGAGAACTAGATCCATATGCAAAAGAATGAAACCAGACCCTCATCTTGCACCATATACAAAAATCAGCTCAAAATGGATTAAAGACTTAAATTTCAGACCCCAAACTATAAAACCATAGAAGAAAACATTGGGAAAAACCTTCTTGACAGTGGTCTGGGCAATGACTCTTTGAATAGGACCCCAAAAGTACAGGCTGTGGAAGCAGAAATAGGCAAATGGGATAATATCAAACTAAAACGCTTCTGTACAGCAAAGGATACAATCAGCAGAGTGAAGAGACAATGAGCAGAATGGGAGAAAATATTTGCAAATTATACATCTGATAAAGGGTTAATATCCAAAATATATAAAGAACTCAAACAAGTCCATGGCGAGGAGAACAAATAACCCAATTCAAAAATGGGTGAAGGACTCAAATAGGCATTTCTCAAAAGAAGGCACACAGATAAATGGCCAACAGGCATATGAAAAAATGCTCAATATTACCAATCATCAGGAAAAGGCAAATTAAAACCACAAGTCATTATCATCTCACATGTGGGAGAAAGTTATGATCAAAGAGACAAAGGATAACAATGTCAGTGAGGATATGGAGAAAGGGAACCCCATACACTGTTGGTGGGGATGGGAATTAGCGCAGCCATTATTGAAAACAATATAAAAGTTCCTCAAAGAACTACCAATAGAACTACCTTATTTTATTTATGTATTTATTTACTTTTGAGACTGAGTCTCACTCTGTTGCCCAGGCTAGAATGCAGTGGCATGATCTCAGATCACTGCAACCTCCACCTCCTGAGTTCGAGTGATTCTCGTGCCTCAGCCTCCCGAGTAGCTGGGACTACAGGCGCATGCCACCACGGCTGGCTAATTTTTGTATTTTTAGTAGAGACGGGGTTTCACTCCATTGGCCAGGCTGGTCTCGAACTCCTGATCTCAAGTGATCCGCCTGCCTTGGCCTCCCAAAGTGCTGGGATTATAGGCATGAGCCACTGTGCCTGGCCAAAAAATAGAACTACCTTATGATCCAGCAGTCCTACTTCTGGGTAGATGCCTGAAGGATATGAAATCAGTATGTCAAAGAGGTAATTGTACTCCCATGGTCATCCCAGCATTATACACAATGGCCAAGACATGGTATGAACCTAAGTGTCCATTAGCAAATAAATGGAATACAGAAAATGTGGGATTTACACACCATGGAATACGAGTCAGCCTTAAAGAGGGAAATTCTGTCCTTTTCTTGGATGGATGAACATAGAGGACATTATGTTAAATGAAATAAGCTGGCCAGGTGCAGTGGCTCACGCCTGTAATCCCAGCACTTTGGGAGGCTGAGGCAGGCAGATCACTTGAGGTCAGGAGTTCAAGACCAGCCTGGCCAACATGGTGAAACCCCGTCTCTACTAAAAATACAAAGATTAGCCAGGCGTGGTGGCGGGCACCTGTAATCCAAGCTACTTGGGAGGCTGAGGCAGGAGAATCACTTAAACCCAGGAGGCAGAAGTTGCAGTGAACTGAGATCACACCACTGTACTCCAGCCTGGGCGACAGAGCGAGACTCCATGTCAAAAAAAAAAAAAAAAGAAAGAAAGAAAGAAAGAAAGAAGCCAGAAACAAAAAGACAAATATTGCATGATCTCAACTCATATGTGGAATCCAAAGTTGAACTCATAGAAGCAGAGAGTAGAATGGTGGTTGTCAGGGACTGGGGAGTGTTTGTGTGTATGAAATGCGGGTATGTTGGTTAAAGGGTACAACATTTCAGTTGGACAGGCTGAGTAAATCCTGGAGATTAATGTATAGCATGGTAACTGTAGTTAGTAATAATGTATTAATTATATACTTGAAAATTCCTGAGAGAGATCTTACACGGTCTCACTGCAAAAAAAGATGAGAGGAAATGGATATATGAATTTGCTTATTTTAATCATTTCCCAATATATACATAAATCAAAACATCATTTTGTACACTGTAAATATATACAATTTTTATTTGCCAATTATACCTTTGTAAAGCTGCAGGGAAGGGGAAGAAAAAATAAATGACATGGCAAAAATATAAAACTAAATTACAAAAATAATAAAACGTGCTCTGTGTAACTTAATCAGAGTGGAGAGTATCTGCCAGGAGTATAAGTAGGGGCTCCCTTGAGACACCTGAAAACTTCTTACTCATGGTGGTCTCTCTTCTCAGATGTGGTTGGGGCCTGTGGCGTGCAGGATTCCCCAGCTCCACCCTCCTGGTGTCATCTTTGCATTGACTGGGGCAAAGGAAGGGTGTCTTGGGCTGCCTGGGGAGGCAGAATCTTACACCCCTCACCCAAGAGTGGCTACTTACCAGCAGAGCTTAAGATTGTTGGGAAATTGGCATGGGTGGCTCAGAGGCCTTTGGTGGATGATGGGACCCAGGCCCCTGCCCCTTCAAAGTCATGGGACCCTCCTGGAAGGGCCTGAGGGCCTGTGAGAGGGAGGGTAGTGAATCTTTCCCTCGGACTGCCCATGGGGGAGAGCTCCAAGTATTATGGTCTGCTCGCTATGTATTGCACCCCCATACCCTTTGTGGGACCCAGAGGGCCGTCCAGCTTGCACAAGGCAGACATAAAGATTCAGTGACGGGGGTCGGGGGGTGAGAATATCTGAGCTGGATTTCAGAAAGGTGGGGGACCTTCTTTTGTACCCCAAGCTGGGGAAGCAGATGCGACAGTCACAGCAAACACTTCCTGCTTGTGATGGAACTCTGTTTCTGCTGGGCCTCTTGGGCCTAGTTCCCCTGTCTCTGCCCAGTGGACATGCATTTGCTCCATAGTGACCCCCCACCCCACTTCCTTGTGGATCCAGGGCTGGTGAGCCCATCTGCAGCTCTGCACTTCTCTGACCTGGTATCTGCTCCCCAGCCCTTCCCAAAGCCTGACCCACATCTTGGGCTCTTGGTAGAAATGGAGTTCAGGGTGGGGCCAAGTCAGCCTCCCCAGGCCTTTGTCTCTGGGAATGTCTGCCTCCCGGTGAGGGGAGGCAGGGCCTGGAAGACACATTGGAAGCTTTGTGGCTTCTCTCTCCTGGAGCGAGTCAGGGCCATGGTTATCATTCATTCAGAAACTGTTCATTTCAAAACATCTCCTGCCAGCCTTTTATGTTTCCAACACTTTCTTTGCTGTGATTTTCTATAGTTGTTTAATCAATTATCTTTTTTTTTTTTTTTATGAATGACTCTTTTTTATGTTCTCTGCCTTTCCCTCTGATGCTTTTAGGACTCTGAGAAGCTTAGGGGTAATTTAGGGTACATCGTCCCTCCTACCTTGTACCTGGCTTGGAGCCGTTAGAACTGGAGGCTTCAGGCTGCCCTCTGCACCCTCCTGCCCTGGGAGGCCCTGGTTGCAGGTCTCTTTCTTGGAGTCAGGAATCCTTAGCTGCCTCTTCTTAGGCCTGCTTTCCAAGCACCCCGGATGCCCATCCGCCCTCCCGCTCTGTGCAGAGGGTGAGGACTCACCTTGAGGCAGTGTTGGGGCCTCATGAGACACAGTGGGTGGCATGGAAGACAGTCCATGCTCCTCAAGCACTGCACTGTCCAGGGACGCATGTCCACTCCCTGGCCACCTCCCCGCCTCCGTAAGGATCTCGGTGGGACTGGGTGACTCTGCTCCCTTGTCCCAGATCTTCTCAGAGCTCCTGATGCCCAGGTGGGCAGGAGGGTCTCTGATGGCTCACAGTTCCAAACAGCCAGGCCCTGTGCCCTCAAGGCCTCCACAAGGCCTTGGCCCACACGGCTCCTGCTCTCCATAGGCTGGGGGAGAGATAGGAACCAGCTTCCCCTTTGAGCAGCACTGGTTCAGGGTCCGAACCTCAGGGGCCCAAGTGTTCTCCAGGCCACACCTACCTCTCCCACCACTCAGGCTGGCCACTGTCAGACAAGCGGGTTTCTGGCCATCAGGCCCAGAGGAGGATACTGCCCAGATGGGACTTTCTGGGGCGGGGGCCGGGGAGCTCTGCTCTTGGGAACATTGTTCCGAAGGCAGGGCGCTTGTGGTCTCTGTGCTCCTTCCACCGCTGCTCAGGCTGACCCCAGCCAGCTCAGAGCTCAGAGACGGATGGGCCCTTGCAGGAGCCTCTTGGCTCCCAGCTTGGCCATGGTGGGCAGATCAGGGAAGGCGGCCCAGCCGGGCTTCCTCCAGTTTGGGAAGACTCTCCCGCTTTCAGCCACCACAGCATCACCTGCATCTGGTGCAGCACCCCTGGAGGGCCCTGTCATCCTGTGAAGATGACCGCCCTCTCTCTAACACCTGGGAGCAGGAGGCTGCTGCAGTCTTGTCTAAGGGCTTCATCGTTTCAGAGCTTTAGGCCAGCCTCTGCGAAATGAGGGCCCAGCCACGAAGAAGTACAGTCTCACCATGCTCCTCCCCTATAAAAACTTTCAGGGAGGCCTGAGGAGAGGTTGGGTGGTGGGCAGGAAAGGTGAAATGCAGGAATGAAGGGAGCTAACAGCATTCTCCATGTTCATGGGAAGTGTTAGTTTCACTGGGTGGGGGATGTTGGCAAATGACAGGGCAGTATGGAAACTATTTATTTTTCTTTATGGGGTTTGATGAACTGTTTAATTAATGCTTGTTCTTGGGAAGGAGGTACGTGTGTGATAAGGACACGTGTGGACAATCAGGAGAAGAATGGGAATTTGGGAGCCCTAGAAGGAGCGTGATTCAGTGATTCAGTGTCCACCGTCATCCTGGACTGTTCCAAGGGACTGCAGTGCCAAATGTCACAGTGGACTGTCCTGCAGAGGTCCTTGGGATGGTGTGAGTCTGGACTGGAGACCATATACTCTGGGAAGTGTAGTGCTGAGAGAAAGGGGATGGATGGAAGATCACAAAAGCTTCTGTGGGTTGGGAGTGGAGTTTCCAGAGTCAGGAAGATTTCATGAGGCAGGAGTCAGAGGCTGGTGGTGCTCTGGCCAAGGAGTAGGGTTATAAACGGAGAGCAGCCAAGATGGAATCCCTCTGAGGGTGCAACTCTTTGGGGGCTTGTTTTCCCCACGGAGCATGGGATGGTTCTATATGGTGAGTGTCGTTAAATTCCCTCTATCATGGGCTGTCTCTCTCTTAGGTGTCTCCCAGCCTCTCGGCCGAGTCTCACACAGCCAGCCCACCTGCAAGGTGCAGTGTAGGAGGAAGCAAGGCCAACAGTTAGAAGGAGATGAGCCCTGGCCCCTTTCATCTGGCCTCTGTCTAGGTGACCAAAGCTCACTTGGTCCTGGATATAGTTAGCAGCATGAGGAGTGATGTTCCTAGGACCAGTGGACAGCATGGACGCTGCCTTCTAGAAGGTCTTAACTCCCCATTAAATCCCCAGCACTCAGACAGTAATCCATACATAGCAGTGATTCAGTAAATGCTTGAATGATACTTGATGTGGTATCTTCACTAGAGATATATGAATATTTAGCAAGGGCAGGGAAATATGCTCAAAATCACTAATCACTACAGAAATGTAAATAGGAACCATAACAAGACACCATTCCACACCCGTAGAAAGATGAACGTTAAAAAAGACTGACAGGGGCCGGGTGCGGTGGCTCACGCCTGTAATCCCAGCACTTTGGGAGGCTGAGGTGGGTAGATCTTGAGGTCAGGAGATTGAGACCATCCTGGCCGACATGGTGAAACCCTGTCTCTACTAAAAAATACAAAAAATATCTGGGCGTGGTGGCAGGCACCTGTAGTCCCAGCTACTCAGGAGGCTGAGGCAGGAGAATGGCATGAACACGGGAGGCGGAGCTTGCAGTGAGCCAAGACAGTGCCACTGCACTCCAGCCTGGGCGACAGAGCAAGACTCTGTCTGCGGGGTGGCGGGGGGGTGCAGGTGGGAAGACTGACAGGCTGGGCACAGTGGCTCACACCTGTAATCCCAGCACTTTGGGAGGCCAAGGCGGGCAGATCACCTGAGGTCAGGAGTTCGAGACCAGTCTGGCCAACATGGTGAAACCCCATCTCTACTGACAATACAAAAATTAGCTGGGTATGGTGGCGGGTGCCTGTAATCCCAGTTACTCAGGAGACTGAAGCAGGAGAATCACTTGAACCCAGGAAACAGAGGTTGCAGTAAGCTGAGAGCATGCCATTGCACTCCAGCCTGGGCAACAGAGCAACACTCCATCTCAAAAAAAAAAAAAAAAAAAAAAAACCCAAAAACAAAAAGAAGAAGAAAAACAAAAAGACTGACAATACCAGATGTTGGCAGGGATATGGAGTAACTTGGGATTCAATATATTGCTGGTGGGAATGAATGATGATGCAGCCACTTTAAAAACAGCATGGTAGTATTTGTAGAGTTAAACATATTCTTACCATACAACCCAACAATTCCAATACAAGAGAAATGAAAACTTTCACAAAGACTTGTAAGTGAATGGTTATAGCAGCATTTTTTTTTTTTTTGAGACAGAGTCTCACTCTGTCACCCAAGCTGGAGTTCAGTAACACGATCTCAGCTCACTGCAACCTCCGCCTCCCAGATTCAAACATTTCTTGTGCCTCAGCCTCCTGAGTAGCTGGAATTACAGATGCACCCCACCACGACTGGCTAATTTTTGTATTTTTAGTAGAGACAGGGTTTCACCACATTGGCCAGGCTGGTGCTGAATCCCTGACCTCAAGTGATCTGCCCACCTTAGCCTCCTGAAGTGCTGGGATTACAGGTGTGAGCCACCATGCCTGGCCAGCAGCATTATTCATAAAAAATAAAAAACTGAAAGCAACCCAAATGTCCATCAACTGATGAATAAACAAATTACACTATGAAATACCATTCAGCCACAAAAAGGAATGGCATATTAATATACGTGTAACAATATGAATGAATCTCAAAAATATAAGAGAAATAATGAAATACAAAAGACTGTGTACTGCATGATTCCATTTATATGAAACTCTAGAAGAGGCAAAATTATAATGACAGAAACCAGATTAGTGGCTGCCTGGGGCTGGGGTGGGGAAGGAGATGGGCTGCAAATAAGCAGCAAGAAATGTTTTAGGGTGCAGGGACTGTTCTGTATTCTGATTGTGGTGGTGGTAACATAATTGTATATAATTACCAAAATGTATCAACCTGCACACTTAAAATGTGTGAATTTTATTGTATGTAAATAATAAAATATAAATTTTAAGTAGAAGAGACCCCCACATCTAGATATACCATGTGCAAACTTCTGGCAAACCAATAATAAAAATAAAATCTTGAAGGCAGCCAGAAACAATAGACAGAAGAACAAAGAATTACGGAAGACTTTTATTCAGAAACTACGCAAGCCAGAAGTCAATGGAGTAACATCCTTAAAGTACTGAAAAACAAAAACAGTCAGTCTAGAATGCTACACTTTTCTTTTTGTTTGTTTTTGTTTTTTAAAGACAGAGTCTTGCTCTGTTGCCCAGGCAGGAGTGCAGTGGTGCCATCTTGGCTCACTGCAAGCTCCAACCCCCGGGTTCAAGCGATTCTTGTGCCTCAGCCTTCCAAGTAGCTGGGGTTACAGGCACACACCACTACGCCCAGCTAATTTTTATATTTTTAGTAGAGACAGGCTTTCACCATTTTGGCCAGGCTGGTCTCAAACTCCTGACCTTAAGTGATCTGCCTGCCTCAGGCTCCCAAAGTGCTGGGATTACAGGCGTGAGCCACTGTACCCCTAGAATTCTTTTTTTTTTTTTTTGAGACGGAGTCTCACTCTGTCACCCAGGCTGGATTGCAGTGGCATGACCTCGGCTCACTGCAAGCTCTGTCTCCTGGGTTCAGGTGATTCTCTTGCCTCAGCCTTCCTGGTAGCTGGGATTACAGGCGCCCGCCTCTGCACCCAGCTAATATTTTGTATTTTAAGTAGAGACGGGGTTTCACCATGTTGGTCAGGCTGGTCTCGAACTCCTGACCTCCCAACTCTAGAATTCTATACTTCTATGCTTAATAAATATTTGTGGCTGAATTTACTGGAGGTGGTTATAGGGGGACATGGAAGGAAAACTATAAAAATGCAATTTAGTATTTGTTGATAAACCATACAGCCTGACTGGCATTGAAATTGGTTGTCTGTATAACTTTTCCATTACCAACTGAACTGTGCTAGAAGAAATATTAAAGGAAGTTCTTCAGACAGGAGGGGTATGACACCAGATGGCGATTTAGATCTCCACAAAAAATGAGGAGGCCTGAAAATGGTAAAAATGAAGGTCAATTTAAAAGTTATAATGGGGGCGGTCGCGCACACCTGTAATACCAGCACTTTGGGAGGCCGATGCGGACGGATTGCCTGAAGTCAGGAGTTCCAGACCTGCCTGGCCAACATGGTGAAACCCCGTCTCTACTAATAATGCAAAAGCGAGGCTGGTGTGGTGTCGGGAGCCTGAAGTCGCAGCTACTCATGAGGCTGAGGCAGGAGAATCACTTGAACCTGGGAGGTGGAGGTTGCAGTGAGCCAAGATCGTGCCACTGCACTCCAGCCTGGGCGACAGAGTCAGACTTCGTCTCAAAAAAAAAAAAAGGTTATAATGGTGTTCTCATTAGAAGAACTACAGACCCCAGAGCTCTCAAATCGCCGGAAGGATTTCTGCGGTAGGCCTGTGCATGATGGACAGAGGACAGGTGGTAAAGAATCACGGACACCTAGTAGGACAACTAGGCATGGCTTTGTCCCGGTTTCAGAGCACCGACACAGCATTTAGTCACCATTTACCTTCTTGGGAGGTGGGTTAGGCAGCGGGCACACTAGTCCTGCTTTGTGGGAGCAGAAGTGAAGTCTCAGAGAAAACAGGTGACTTGCCCAAGAAGCCTTATTAATTACCAGCCAGGACAGCGTATTTTCTATTCCGTGTGTTTTGGGATAACTTAGTGCCGTCCCCTCCGATGAACCAGTGCCTTCGAAAGCCCTTGAGATTTGGGAAACAGGCGGCACAGATCTTGGAGGTTACCTTGTTCTTAATCAGTCCTCAGGCAGTCGCCTCTAACGCGAGCGAACACCGGCTTCCCGAGGCCGTCGCTCGGCAGAGGAGGGGCCAGGCGCCCGATCCCAGATCCCCTTTCCCCGCCCCGCCGCGCCCCGCCTGCTCTGGCACAGCCGCACTCCCGCAAATCCCTCCCGCGGAACCCCCACTCCTGCCTGCGCGGGCGCTGGAAGGCGGGCAGGGGGCGGGGCGCCGCGGCGCGTCCGTTGCTAAGGCCGCGCAGCCCTAGTGACCGAACGCCCTGCGGCGGCCGCGCAGGCGCTGTGGTGGGCTCCGGTGCACTGTGGGATGGAAACCGGAGCGGCGCGTCCTGGCAGGACCGGGCGGCGGCGGCGGCGGGGCCGGCGGCGGCCAGGGACCCGGGCTTAGGCTCGGCCAGGCCGGCTGAGGGGCGCGGGCGGCCAGCGGGCGGCGGACGCCGTCATGAACGCGGCGGTGGTGAGGCGGACGCAGGAGGCGCTGGGGAAAGTGATTCGGAGGCCGCCGCTGACCGAGAAGCTGCTGAGCAAGCCCCCGTTCCGCTACCTGCACGACATCATCACGGAGGTGGGCGCCGGGGACCGGGCCCGGCCAGGTGCGGGTCGGGATTCCGGTGGGCGCCGAGGTCAGGGCCCGGGCCGGGTGGCGCCGGGTGCGAGCCGGGCTCGGGCTCAGGTGCGGGTCGGGGGCCGGGGCTGGGCCGGAGTCGGGGCCCGGGCCGGGTGTGAACCGGGTGTGGGCCGGGCTCGGGGTGCAGGTCGGGGACCTGTTCAGGGCCGGGTGTGGGCCGGGCACAGGGTGCGGGTCGGGGGCCGGGGTCAGTTCCGGGGTCGGGGCGAGAGTTCTGTGCGGCCCCTGCCTGGGAGCCCGGCCTGTAGGCCCAATTCCGCGGCGCCCTCCGTGAGGAGGTCCTGCCCCTCCCCCGGCTCCGGGCCGCCGCTTACAAGGAGGCTCCGGGCCCTCAGGAGCATTCTTACTTCTTCCCTGCCTGCCCTTGTATTTCCTTAGAGTGCATCTTCCATTATTGCTGGCAGAGCTGCTTCTGTGACTCCTGCCTCGTCTAACCTTGCAGAACCCCTCTCGCTTGCCCTGAAGTATGTAGCACGTGGAAGGCACTCCCTAAATCCTGGGAGAATGGAAATAATATTTTTTATACAACCCTTCTGCCCCAAAGTTTCCCTCCATACCACATTTTGGGTGCTTAATAAATGCCTGCGGGTGGATTTAGTGGAGGCGGCTGTAGGGGGACTTGGCAGGAAAGACTGTAACAGAGCTGCACAGCCTGCCCTACGTTGAGATTGGTGGTCTCTGTAGCTTTTTCCACTTGCGGATGGTGTGCTCCTCCGTGACGGAGACCCTGGCTTGCTTATTAGCATGGCTCTGGTGATCTGCACTGGGTAAGGTACATAGAAATTGCACAACAAACATCCCCTGTTGAGTGGGACCTGTCAAGGCTCGTGGTAACTCCCTGGTAACTCTCAGGAGCGTCACTGCAGCGGGCGCAGCACCCATTTCCATGGTGGACCCAAGGGCACGTGGGAACTCAGAGGTGTGTTTTGGGATTTAGGATTCAGGTTGGACTTGCAGACTTCCAGGGCCTCATGACCTCACCTGGTGATGGTCCTCAAGCTCTGTTTCTCACTCTTTTCAACAGGTTGGGTGCCTTATTCTTGCACAGACTTTGCTTTACTGGTTCTGCCCTCCTACCTTAGCTTATAACGTGTGGTCTCCTGGAGCGTGTGCCTCTGTGTTAAAACAGTGCCTAAAAATGCTCTCGAATCCACCCACATCCCAGGGCCTCGCCAGCCCTGGTCATGTCCTCCCAGCTGGTGCAGCACTTACAGCCTGTCCTGGACAGTGTGTGGGGAGAGGACCTGCTGTGTGGATAGCCCGGTGGGAGGGGGACAATGTGCCGCATCACCACCGTCCCGTGAAGTAGGCGGGTACCCGTCCTCTGACCCAGAGGGAACAAGAGCCAGTGTGAGCCCAGCCCACTCTAGCTGTGGCTGCCAAAACCTTTATTCTCCCAGGCCTGTCTGTCCCACTGAAATGCAGAGCCCCAGGAGGGAGGTGCAGGGAGTGTGCCTTATCCTTGTGGGGCAGTGATGGCGCTCAGCTCACGGTGGCTGTCCAGTCACTACCGCATAGTTGGTCAGAGGAATCCTAATGGGAGAGGAGGAGGAACATGGGCTGGGTGCTGTGGCTCACGCCTGTAATCCCAGCACTCTGGGAGGCCAAGGCGGGCAGATCACTTGAGCCCAGATGTTCAAGACCAGCCTGGCCAACATGGTTAAAACTCCATCTCTACTGAAAATACAAAAATTAGCTGAGTGTGGTGGTGCACCTGTAATCCCAGCTACTCAGGAGGCTGAGTAGGGAAGATTGCTTGAGCCGGGAAGGTTGAGGATGCAGTGAGCTGTGATTGTAACACTGCACTCTAGCCTGGGTGACAGAGTAAGACCCTGTCTCAAAAAAAAAAAAAAAAAAAAAAAAAAAGAATTGCCTTCTTGGCCAGGTAGATAGGGTGTGTGGAACGAGTTGCATGTTCCCAATTAGGAACGACTGGTCTGCTCTTCTCCCATAGACTTCCTCATCTAATGCCAAAGTTGATTTCTCTCCCTGTGTAAAGATAAATAAATTATGACCTACTTGATAAAGTTGTTAGAATGACTGACATATTGGAAAGGATTTTCAGATAATAGGTGGAGAGCCTCTTATGAAAATGCTTTACTGTACTGAATATTATACACACATTGCTATATTAGTATTTTAGCTATAGCTACACTAACCACCCCGTTTCATTAAGCTAAGTGTGGATACTGTGACGTTAATGTCTCTTGTCACTTACAGTTATTGTTCACAATTTTTTTTTTTTTTTTAGAGGGATTCTTGCTCTGTCGCCCAGGCTGGAGTGCAGTGACACAGTCTCCACTCACTGCAACTTACGCCTCCCAGGTTCAAGCAATTCTCCTGTTTCAGCCTTCTGAGTAGCTGGGACTGCAGGCACATGCCACCATGTCCAGCTAATTTTTCTATTTTTAGTAGAGATGGGGTTTCGCCATGTTGTCCGGCCTGATCTCGAACTCCTGACCTCAGGTGATCCGCCTGCCTCGGCCTCCCAAAGTGCCGAGATTACAGGTGTGAGCTACTGTACCCAGCCTATTGCTCACAATTTTAACTGCCAGCATCCTGGGAAAACCTCAACAGGGACAAAATGAAAATGTTCCAGGAATGTTAAATGCAGGATGCTCTTAATATTCTACCTGTCATCTCAAGAAAAACAGTAGCATAGCTCTTACATAGTGTGGTGTGGAATGAAAACTCCTAGATTCATTAATACCTAACTTGATGCAAATTAAGGAGTTGTGGCTTGATTCCAGAGGAGGCTCTCATTAGGGTGGGACTGTCTTGTTTTTAAAACATGTCTTCCCGTAATAAATATGCTTTATTAGCTGACCTAGGATATGTGGCTATGAGCATACCTGTCCTTACCACATACCATGCAGCCTGCTGGTAAGGGTCCCAGCTATTCAAAATGCTTGTTGCTACAAATTGTATTGATTTTACAGTAACCTACCACATTTCAAAAAACTGCAGTCTGAGACAACCCAGGACCCTGGCTGGGTGTGGTGGTTGAGAGGAACAGGAAAAATAATTGCCCTAAAAGCTGGTTTTAGGGCTAATTAGGAGGTACAGGTTACCTGAGGGAAGGGATGATTAGGGAGAGAACCAAAGCAGTGAGGTGTGGAGCCTGCCACCATCTTAAGAAGTGAGTAGTGACACGTGGTGAGGAGAAAGACCCTTGCAGAACTTCTAGTCTTAGCAAACTAGGTTGAGAAATTCCTTTTCTTTTCTTTCTTTTTTTTTGAGGCAGAGTCTCACTGCGTTGCCCAGGCTGGAGTCCTGTGGCATGATTCTGACTCACTCCAACCTCCACCTCCCGGGTTCAAACAATTCTGTTGCCTCAGCCTCCTGAGTAGCTGGGATTACAGACGCCCACCACCATGCCTGGCTAATTTTTGTATTTTTAGTAGAGACGGGGTTTCACCTTGTTGGCCAGGCTGGTCTTGAACTGCTGACCTCAAGTGATCCACCCACCTCGGCCTCCCAAAGTGCTGGGATTACAGGTGTAAGCCACTGTGCCCAGCCAAAGTTCCTTTTCTTTTTGGAATCTGTTCCCTCCATTGCACCTGAAGGACTCTTGTAAAATGCCGTTCCAGGTCCTCCTCGTGGTCCTTCAGCTCAGTTCATGTCCCTGAGTGGCTTCACAGGGCCTCTGCACCAGGCCCCGAGTGTCTCTCTGGCCTCAGGCTCCTGCTGTCCTACATTTCTTTTGATCCCTTGCAGGGGACTCTGTGGGTCCTGGACCTTGTGTGGACTTTCATTTTCTTTTTTTCTTTTTTTTGAGACGGAGTCTGGCTCTGTCGCCAGGCTGGAGTGCAGTGGTACGATCTCGGCTCACTGCAATCTCTGTTTCCTGCTTCAAGTGATTCTCCTGCCTCAGCCTCCCCAGTAGTTGGGACTATAGGCGAGCACCACCACACCCAGCTAATTTTTGTATTTTTAGTGGAGACAGGGTTTCACCATGTTGGCCAGGATGGTCTCGATCTTCTGACCTTGTGATTTGTCCGCCTCAGCCTCCCAAAGTGCTGGGATTACAGGTGTGAGCCACCACACCCAGCCGTGTGGACTTTCTTATGTTTGGCATGTGCATCCGAAATGTCCCCTTGCCCAACTCTTCTGTAAGCCTGGTCCCCATCTAGGTATGATTCCTCCAGGAAGGGTTCCCTGCCACTCCTGCTCCCTCCCGGATTGTGGATTAGGTACCAAGCCTGAGTGCTTCCTTAGTACCTGCATGGTGTCATCTTTACCTGTCTGTCCACACAGCCAGACTAAGTTCTGAGAGGATCTGGCTGGCTTCTGCCCTGCACAGCACGTGTAGTAGACATCAAATATTTCTTAAGTGGATGATTCAAATCTGGGCTGCTAGTCAATTCTGACATCTCCCAAGTGTGGAGTTGAGTGGATGAGGCTGATGAGGAGGCTGTCTGTGAGGTGACATGGTGGCCTTTCTTTCTCTCTTGAAGGTGATTAGAATGACTGGTTTCATGAAGGGCCTCTACACAGACGCCGAGATGAAGTCTGATAATGTGAAGGTGGGTTTGAGTCGGGCTTCTCCTATTGACTCCTCGCCTTAACGGATGGGATTTTTTGTAGGCCTGGTAGTGTGGCTTGTGTCATTTCTCTGCTGCATGTGGTTGGAATACAAGGTCAGTGAATTCGTAAATTGATATATATACCCTTTCTCATTTCATTTTCTCATTGTGGCAACTGGATGTCATGCTAGTTTTATTCACTGAAAAATGGGATTAGTATTTCAAAGGTTAATGCTAGCCCATCAACTAAATTAAAGGCTTTAATGAATTGTTTTTGTTTTGTCAGTAAAAGGTCAGTATTTCTAGATTTGTTATATATCTAAAAACAGCTTTGTATGTAAACAGAAACTATCCTATGCCTGGTAAACATACAGAAGATAATGCACACTCTTCAAAGTATTGTAATATTTGTATTTTCAATGGAAATGTTTCAGGATAAAGATGCAAAAATTAGCTTCCTACAAAAGGCCATAGACGTGGTTGTAATGGTGTCGGGAGAGCCACTGTTGGCCAAACCAGCCCGAATCGTGGCGGGGCATGAGCCTGAAAGAACAAACGAGCTGCTCCAGATAATTGGAAAATGCTGTCTCAACAAGGTACTACTGCTGTCCTGGCATTTTGAACTTACTTAGTACTTGAGTAAAAAGTAGTCGGGGGTGAGGGACTCACATGTGCGGGCGGTTTAGGGAAGGAGTTTCAGTGGTGTCTGTCAAACACTGTGCTTTGAATCTGATCCCACCCCTTCTGGAGCCCCAGAGATACAGAAGGAGTAATTTAATACTGAATGATAAAACAAATAAGGGTATGTAATACGCAAGTTCTGCAAGCTTTCAGTAGAAAGTCGGGAACCCTGCAGGCACACTGTGCCTGGCTGGAGGCTGGAGGCTGCAGGCCCAGGCTTCCATGCCCTCTGGCTTTCTCCTTTCTGAGGCTCCCTTGAGGACAGGTGGCTGCTTCCAGCCAGGGCTGCAGTGGCTGCAGGAGCTGCTTTTCTTCTTCCCTGGGTCTTATGGGAGTCTCTGTTCTCTTCCTCCATCTCCAGCCTCTGGTGTCTGCTTGCCTGTTGCCCTTCCTCTCTCTCTTCCACCTTTTCTCTCTCTCTCGGTTGCTGTTTCAGTTGTACGGGGAGTAGATTTTTTCTTTCTTGAGCTTTTCACTGTGGGCTAGAAACTTGGGTGTCAAGGCCTCAGGCTTCTCTAGTTAGGTCCAGCCTGGGCCATGTTTGCCCAAATGTTGGAGAAGGTCTTTCCCCAGGGTCTTCCTTCTTTTGAGGGCCGAGTAGTGCCCTGTGGAGGAGCAGGTTGGACTTGTATTGAGAGTGTAATTAATACAGTTTTTCACATACCTAGTGGGTGGTTGGCTGGGGGCTAACCTTAAATGTGACCCAAATGGGAACAGGTAGGTTTCAGCCCCCTCAACAGCAGTGGGTAGTGGAGGTGCATAGTGGTATCAGGCCGACTCCTAGGAGGCCCCCCCAGTGCAGGTCCAGCATGCAAACTTAGAGACTTGGAAGCAGATCTTGCCAGTACACTGGCCTCTGTCCCTAGGCTCCCCAGCTCCCCTTCCCGGGTCCTTTATGTTTCTCATCTTTCTAAAAAGCACATCTGGCTCCTGTCTCCTCTGCTGAATCATCTCCGGCTTCCAGTAGCCTCGGGTCTGGGCCAGCTCCATGGCACAGCTTGTGAGGCTCCTAGAGACCTGCTGCTACTTCTCTCCCTTCAGATCCTTCTCTCGTTTCCCATATCTGAGCCCTCCATTCCAGTCGCCACGCACCCCTGCATTCGGCCCTGGCCGGCTGTCTCCCGTCGGCCTCTTGCCCTGGTGCCTGCTGGCTTCTTGGTACCTGAGCTGCCTTCCTCCTCCAGCCTCACCCAGCAACAATGTGGCGTCTGTGAGTGCTTCCTTGAGCCTGGGCCTCTCCTCCCTCCCAGGCTGACTTAGGTGCCCCTGTAGGCTTCCTATAGGCTGTTGTTTAATTGTTGTGTTTATCTGTGTCCCCAGTACACGGTGTGTCTTTGGCCTAAATGGAGCCTGGCACGCGGCAATCACGCAGCATGTGCTTGTGGAATGAGTGCGTGAGTCAGTGGGACTCCTGACTGAGGTGTCCTGCACTCTGGATGGCTGTCGGGGATGCTGGAGAAGGAATTTTTGCGTTTGATGGGGCTTGAATCAGATCAGTGGTTTTTTACCCATAATTTTATTATTGTGTTAAAGTCCATAAAACATAAAATTTGCCATCTTAACCATGTTGAAGTGTACACTTCAGTGCTGGTAAATTCATTCATCTGCAGCCATCACCACCTTCCATCTCCAGGACTCTTCTCCTTGCAAAACAGACTCTGTCCCCATGAAACACTAACTTCCTCTTCTCCCGTACCCCAGCCCCTGGCACCCTCCATTCTACTTTCTGTCTCTATGAATCTGACTACTCTAGGGACCTCGGATAAGTGGGGTCATAGAGTGTTTGTCATTTTTTTGACTGGCTTATTTCACTTAATATAATGTTCTCAAGGTTTATCCATGTTGTGGCATGTATCAGAATTTCATCGCTTTTTAGGGCTGAATAATATTCCATTGTAATGGATATACCATATTTTGTTTATCCACTCAACTGTCAATGGTACAGTTTGCTCCCACATTTTAGCTATTATGAATAATACTGCTATGAACATGGGTATACAAATATCTCTTCAAGACCCCGTTTTCTATTTTTTTGGATAAATACCCAGAAGGGGAATTATTGGGTCATATGGTAAATCTGTGCCTAATTTTTTGAGGAGCTGTTATACTATTTTCCATAATGGCTGCATCATTTTACATTTCCACCAACAGTGCATGAGAGCTTCAATTTCTCCTTATCCTTGCCAATGCTTGTGGTTTTGTGTGTTTTTTTTTAGGAGCAGCCATCCTAATGGGTGTGAGGTGGTTAGATAAAATCTTAAGGCACTTATGGCTGGGATTCTATGATCCCATTAGAAGTTTAAGGTATTTGTAGTAGAGTTGCATGGGTCAGCTTTATTAACCTTGAACACACACATTCACATTTGACAGCTTGGGTAGACTTGAACCAGGATTCATTTAGCTTGGGTGGACGCTACTGTTAGTGACCAAAGTGCTGAAAGTAATAGTTATCAAGATATGCTGTGCTTTGTATGTGATAATAACATGTTCAAAAAATATTTTATCCTTTGAATTTCATTGTAGACAGAGAATCTGTCTCATGAGCTATCTTTGAATGGCGATGTTCTATTTGTTACGTGTGCGGATCTCATTTCACCTAACACCTCATTTCCTTCCATTTGGACGACAAGCTCTCTAGTGACGATGCGGTGCGGAGGGTTTTAGCTGGAGAGAAGGGAGAAGTGAAAGGCCGGGCCTCACTGACCTCAAGATCTCAGGAATTGGATAATAAGAATGTGCGAGAAGAAGAGTCCAGAGTTCACAAAAATACAGAGGTGAATTCCAAGTCGCACATCTTTGAAAATGAAATAGTGAGTCTTTTTGTAGTTTAGGTAAAAATATTCATAAATGATTTTATTTTTATTTCGTAGGATAGAGGAGACGCTGAAATAAAAGAGAGAAGTACAAGCAGAGATCGAAAACAGAAGGAAGAATTGAAAGAAGACCGCAAGCCAAGAGAAAAGGACAAGGACAAGGAGAAGGCCAAGGAGAATGGCGGAAACAGACACAGAGAAGGGGAGAGAGAGAGAGCCAAAGCCCGGGCCAGGCCAGACAACGAGCGACAGAAAGACAGAGGCAACAGGGAGCGGGACAGAGACTCCGAGCGCAAGAAGGAGACAGAGAGAAAGAGTGAGGGGGGGAAAGAGAAGGAGAGACTGAGAGACAGGGACCGAGAGCGCGACCGGGACAAAGGGAAGGACAGGGACAGACGGAGAGTGAAAAACGGGGAGCACTCCTGGGACCTGGACAGGGAGAAGAACAGAGAGCATGACAAACCTGAGAAAAAGGTAAAGTCTTGCTGAGAACCTCGCCTTTTGCTTAGCAAGAGTTTGTGGTGGTCTCAAACATGATTTTTACCTTTCTTACAATATGACTAGGAAACTGGTTTTCTTTTATGCCTATTTAAAATGATGACAATCTTGGATTCTCAATAGAAACCCAAAGAGATACTTATTTCTTGTCAGTTGTGTTTTGGGTTTTTTTGTTCATCCCCTAATAGAAGTTTATTGTTCAGCCAATCATTTATTAAGGCATTATTCAGTGAGTTTTTAACCATTTCCTACTTCATGTCCAGGGAGAATTCTGCTGGATTATAAGCTCCCTAAGAGCAAAAGCTAGAGATTTCACTCATGTTCACTGTTGGATGCCCAGTCTGATAGAGTGTCTGACACATAGCAGCTTTGCAGTAAATATTTGGTGGTGGAATGGATTGAGCATCCAGGCAAGGGGTGATGGGCTTTTCAGATCATGAAACACTGGATGGAATTGATCAATTGATGGTGGTTTCTGAGGTCTCCCTTTATGGAATTTTGATCTGGGAGTGGTAGAAGATAATTTGAAGGGGGATGTCAGGAAAATATTAAATGCTTGCTCTTTTTAGGGTTTAATGATTCCCCACCAGGCATGTAGAGAAATCAACGTTTTTCAGAGTTTGAGCTGATTTGCCAAGTTGCTCTTGTCCTTGTCTTGCAGGTGTTTTAAGATGTGTTGCTTCTCCCGTGCGTGTCGTTTGTGTCATTTGTGTCACTCTCAGTATTGCTCTGAAGGCTTTGGAGCAGCCTCCACCTTAGCATTGCAAGCGGTGTTTATGCGCAGTCTGAGTTGTGCATGTGGTGTCTTTAGGAGCATGGACATTGCTCAGTTATTAAGGATTAGGGCTGCTTTCAAGGGCTTTTAGGCATCAGCAGATAAGTACAATAAGACCTGAGTTTACTGTAATTATTGTTTAATTAAATTTTCAGGTAAATTTAGGGTTTGCCAGGAAGTCCTGTTGGTTTCAAACTGTTTTCTCAATGTGTGAATTCTTTCTGGACCCACCATGTGTGTTGGGGACGTTTTCCCAGACACCCAGACACGCATTCTTTGGGGGATGTCAAATTGTAAAGCATCCCGCGAAGATGTTGGAAATCATCTTGTCTCCAGCTGCTAGGAAGGAGGACACTGAGGTCGGGAAGGGATCCAGATCTGCCCAGTTGATCCGGCCGGGCAGTGAGGGGCAGGGCCTGAGCTGGTGCCATGGCCTCTTCCTCCCGGGACAGCCATCTTGTCTTGTGGCACTGCGTCTCAGGGTGTGCCTGCCCAGGGGAGGTGGGTGGGCGCCACAGGACTGACCCTGAGGGAATCCTGTAAACCAGGCTTTCCTGTGGGGGTCAGTATAAGCCCATTTTGTGATCTGTGGGTCACAGTGGGATGGGGGGTGCCTACTGGCAAGACTGTGGTTTTGTTAGTAATTGAACGTAGTGTTCTACAAGGCACTTTGGAGTTTTACTATTTAAAATGTCACTCTTTCCCCCTCCACTGCACATCCTGGAGTAATGTACCCTATGATATGTGTCATACCTGGCTTTCCTTATGAGTCTTAGGAATTACAAAGACATTCCCCATCTTTTGCTCCTTTTTAGAGGTGTAAGAAAAAATATTTTTCATGGACCTGATTTTTCTGAGGCACTAGTATATTCGGGTGTATTTTGCTGTGCATGAGGCATCCTAGGAAGGGGTTAACCTTCCTCAGCTCACAAAGCCTTCGGATTGAGGGTCCCCACGTTATGTTCCCTAAAACTGCTAATGAGGTGACTGGCTTTTTAAGTAGAGAGAAACCATTCCAAAGAAATTCTTAGAGGCTCGGCCGGGCATGGTGGCTCACGCTTGTAATCCCAGCACTTTGGGAGGCCGAGGCAGGTGGATCATGAGGTCAAGAGATCGAGACCATCCTGGCCAACACGGTGATGAAACCCCATCTCTACTAAAAAAAAAAAAAAAAAAAATACAAAAATTAGCTGGGTGTGGTGGCACGTGCCTGTAGTCCCAGCTACTCAGGAGGCTGAGGCAGGAGAATCGTTTGAACTCGGGAGGCGGAGGTTGCAGTGAGCTGACATCACGCCACTGCACTCCAGCCTGGGTGACAGAGCGAGACTCCGTCTCAAACAACAACAACAACAAAAAGAAATTTTTAGAGGCTGATATTTGGGAACATATCAGAGCCAAGTATAATGGTGGTTTTGTTTAAAAGCGTCTGAGACCATGGCGAAGTGATTTTTTCCTACTCGAGGCTGTTGCTTACTTGGCTGCCGTGAGATTTGCGTGGATCTCGCATGGTGGTTGTGCTTGCCAGGCTCTTCTGTGGACGATCTGG
This sequence comes from Homo sapiens, assembly GCF_000001405.40. Taxonomy (NCBI): domain Eukaryota; kingdom Metazoa; phylum Chordata; class Mammalia; order Primates; family Hominidae; genus Homo; species Homo sapiens. The sequence goes on from NC_000002.12 coordinate 238,331,688, forward strand.
GGGCTTCTTCATTGAGCCGCGTAGGTCTGGGAGGCAGCTGCGTCCTTTCCTCTGGTAAAAAGCGCCAGGCAGGTGTGAGCTGCTGTGAGGCGCCTCCCGAGGAACCCCTGTTCCCAGGGACCTTACTCACATCTACGCTGGGGAGGCAAGAGACTCAAGTTCTAACCCCGGTTCTGCCTCAGTCATTCTTTGTCCTCTTCCCCATTTTATTTCTGTCTAGTAGAGAGGCTGATGAGATCCTAGGCTACCTCATGGGCTTTTGCGAAGAAGAGGTGAAATAGTAGATATGAAAACACTTGGAAAATTAAGAGTGCAGTTGAGAGGCCAGGTGCTAAGTTAGACTGGCCATGTGGGGGTCCCAGGCCCCTGCTTAACTGCCTCTTTTATGGGTAGCACGTGTGCAGTGCCCAGCTTGCAGTCATGGGTAATTACTGCTGATACAATCTGATACCTTCATAATTAACTTATGAGGACATTGAATTGTTGAAATATCGAACAGGCATTCTTTGCTTTTCAGTCTTCCTAGAGGAAAATCTCAATGAAGATAATCATTCTACTCCTTCTACTCTGAGATATGTCTTCTGGAAAAGTGATTTAAGGCGTGAGATAAGATGGTGTTTACGGTTTTCATGCAGTTTATGTTATGAGAGTGCTTTCCTCACTTAAAGTCTGAAGCCTTTGCGTAAAAAGAATTGCCCCATTCTATTAATAAAGTTAGCCTGTGATCAGCAGAGGCGGCTAGGAGCAGTTTCTCCGTGGGTGTTGGAGGTTTATATTGTTCATTCCCTCCCTCACTTCCAGATCCCTGGGTTTCATTGCGATATGTTTCCAGGAAGTTCGGTGTGGCGTAGGGATTCGTGTTCTGTGTAGCTTCCTGAGAGTCAGGAGTATTTGAAGTCCTTGCCCACCTACTCTGCCCTTATGGGAAGAGATCTCCCTGCCATTGGCTCGGAAGACTCTTGGGGAACGCAGGCAGCAGTAACAATTGTGGCGATCAGAGCTGGACTGGCGATGTGGTGTTCTCATGGGAAGAATGATTTCACTGTTGGTCAGTGTTATAGAAAATATCTTGGCATATTTTTAGATATTATGGATTGGAATAATTCTAAAGTTTGAATTTTTTTTTTTTTTAATAGTCAGCAAGCTCAGGGGAGATGTCTAAAAAGTTATCAGATGGAACTTTTAAAGACTCCAAGGCTGAAACAGAGGTAAACTTTAAAAAATAACTTTTAAGAGATGTCAACTTGTAGCTGTGTTGAAATAGTGAATGCTGTGCGCTCCCCGGGTCCACTGAGGCATGGAAGGAGCACATGGTCTGGGCCTATCTGTAATAGGTCCATTTTATTTGGTTGTAAAAGTAATCAGTTAAATGCTTTACCTCCTGGTAAAATAGATGGGTGTGTGTATTCTCTGATTTTCTGTGGGGCACTCCTGGGTTTACTTATGCCTTTATATGACAAGTGTGATATGTGGTGTGATAGGGCTGTCATTTTGGGGAGAAGGGGGAGGTGGCACTCAGGATGAGTCTGGAAGAGGCAGGCGTAAGTCACCAGACAGACGGGGCCAGTGGGAGGGACCCCTCCAACCTCTGGTTGGCCTGTTCAGGACTCCGCGATGCATTTCCTGGGGCTGGGTATGGTAGAAGCTCATCATCTCCACGTGGGCCGTCTTGTGGAGGTTACACTCATCCCAAGCAGTAGGGGCCACTGAGAGGTTGAAGCCAACTTTCGTAATCCAATTTGCATTTCAGGAGGTCTTCAGGAGGTTGCAGGGAGATGGGTTAGGCATAGAGTAGAGGCTGGGAGGCCAGTTAGGGGAGAGAGGTGGTGAGACTGGAACTGTGCCAGTGGAGGGAGGAATAGGATGTGCTGTTTCCTTTGATTTGTGTTCTGTTTAAATATATGTAAATTTTTACCTTCTGAGTTGCTTACAAGTGCATTTAAGTAATTAAGTATATAGCAACAGAAGTGGAGTCCTCATAAGCACATCCAATAAGACAGTGTTTCTCAAAGTGTGGGGAGCAGATTGTTGACCTTTTTAGGGCTGTACAGAATGATGGAATTCTAAATATAGTGTGAAAAGGGTTTTGGCCTCCGTGTAATTCACAGTCTCAGGTCTTGAGTCCTTAGTAGTATTGAGTTTTTAAAGCATATGGGCACTATTGCTGGATTTCATACTTGTTCTTCCTCAAGAAGAGCTTGAAAAATAAACCTGCTTATGATACTGCTGTGTAATACATCAATTAATTTCTTTTCATTCTTTTTTCTTTAAGACTGAGATTTCCACTAGAGCTTCCAAGTCATTGACAACAAAAACATCAAAACGGCGATCCAAAAATTCAGTGGAAGGTACTGCAAAACTTATATATGTAGCTGAAAATATGGATATTAGTTTTTTTTTTTTTTGTCTTAATCTCAATGTCTAGTAGGAAAGAACTCCTATGGCTGGAAAACAGACTTGCTGTGTCTGGGAATGAACAGCGTGTGGAAATAATGAAGATTTGTGGCTGTTACATACACATGCGTGTGTGCACAAGTGTGTGAACTGATGACATCAGGGCAGAGTAGCCCCTCTTTGCTGGAGATCTGTGTTGAAATCTAAAAGTTGTGATCAAATTTTCATTTTCCAGAAATACTTATCAGCCATCTTCATTTCAGTAGTTCTGTCCTTTGCGTTGGCAGTCTGCATTTAATCCTGATGCAGGTTGGATATAGAGCATGTAGGCAGATAATGTTTATGTGTTTAAAAACTGCAGAAATTATGATTGGAAGCCATGCTAAAAGCCGAATGTACAGGCCTGGCCTGCGGTCCGCTGAAGGATAGTACCTTATCATCTTGCCTAACATAAGAGTGTCAGGCAAATGCAGGGAAGCCCTGTTGGAGGCCACTGGCATTGGAGGCTTATTTTTCATTGAAGTATGAAGTTACTTTGAATGAGCAGTGCTAGTTTCTGAAAAATCATCCTTTTCCTAAAGTGTGTAAGTTAAAGAAGGGTGGCAAGATGTAGTAGTGGGAATTTTCGCCTTAGAAAGGAGGCTTAGATGGTAGGTTCCACATGTGCACAATAATTAGTAATGCGTTTGTGACCAGCTTAGTGCCAGAAGCCTTTGCTGTCTTTTGGTTGACCGCTGTGGGGTAGGTTTCCAGAAGCGCAGTGGCTGGCACAAAGGGTGTGGCATTATGGCTACTGCGTGCCCTTAATGACCCTTCACCCCACACCTTCTCCAGTGTTGTTAAGGCATGCTGATTTTGATGGACGAAAAACAAAAACGTTGATGACCAGTGAAATGGTCCTTGTCATCGCGTGTGAGTGTTTTGGGCGTCTCTGACCTGCCTGTTCTTTGGTTTCTCTGGGTTCTTACTGATTTGCTTGCACGTGCTGTATGTTAAGGACATCTGCCAATTTGCCAGTTTTTGCATGAGTGTTTCTTTTTCAGTTTGTTTCTACTAATTATATTTGGTTTGGTTTCTGATTTGCCTAAGTGTTAAACTGTTATGTGCTTGAGGCCTCTAATCTTTTTTTTGGTAATCTGTCCAGAGATTTGAGAGGTGAAGATTTGTGCTTTATCATACATTTTTTTTTACTTAATTTCTTATGTTATCTCTTACTTTAATTCATGGTATAAGGTGAGGCTCTGAATCTATTTTGTCAGAATAATCCATCCGTGGTTCCAGGATCACTTATTCATTGAATGCTTCTCTCCTGCTCTGTGAAGCCTTTTGTAGTCTGGGTTACGGGCTTTTTTGTGTGTGGTGTTTTTTACTTCCACTTTTTTATTTTTACTATTAGTTTTCTATCATTGTTCTTTTCCAAAAAGTTTTAAGCCATCTTATTTGCTTATTCTTCCGGATGAATTTTAAAAACTCTTCATGACTCAAGAATTCCACTCTTGCAAAATAAACTAACGTCTCAGAATTTAACTGGACTTGTGTTAAATATATGCTTTCATTAGTTTAGGAAGTTTAGGCACCTCTAACTTCAGCTTAGTGAAGGTGTCCCCCTCTTCTGAGAACACGTTGCGTGTACTTGGTTGCGTATGTTGGTCACAGTGGTTGCTCGCTGGTTTATTTTATTTTATTTTATTTATTTATTTATTTATTTATTTATTTATTTATTTATTTATTTATTTTGAGACGGAGTCTCACTCTGTTGCCAGACTGGAGTGCAGTGGCGCAATCATGGCTCACTGCAACCTCACTGCAAGTGATTCTTCTGCCTCAGCCTCCTGAGTAGCTGGGATTACATGTGTATGCCACCACGCCCAGCTAATTTTTTGTATTTTTAGTAGAGACAGGGTTTTACCATGTTGGCCAGGCTGGTCTCGAACTCTTGACCTCAAGTGATCTGCCCGCCTCAGCCTCCCAAAGTGCTGGGATTACAGCTGTAAGCCACTGTGCCTGGCCTGTTGTTGCCTCTTAATCCAGTAGTTCTTCTGTTGATTCTTTTGGCTTTCCTAAGCAGACAGTTGTATCATCTGCTCTTCTTTTCTAATTGCTTCTGATATGTGCATCTGTGTTTACTGGTGAGCTTGTGCTCTAGGGTTCTTTTGTATGGTCTTAAGAGATTTTATTAGCAGACATTTATGGGCTTTTTGACACTGAGCTTCCCTGAGCTATCAACAGCTCAGTGGACTCCTGTCTTCCCCTCCTGCTAGCCGGGCACTGACCTCCCTGTGGGTTCCCCAGCAAAGCTGGCACTCTGCCTGAACATTCTGCCTCGCTTAAGTAGGTTCTCATTTGGGCAAATGCTCAGTACCCAGAGGTGTGTGACACACTGGACCTCTGTGTCTTGCTCAAGGGGATGAATGAGACTTTACTACAGGGTGTGAGGGTATCACATTGTTAAACATATTTAGACTCTTAAAGTCATTCTGGAATCCCTGCAGAATCCAGAAAGCATTCTGCCTGAGAATATTATAATTTTTGCTTATTTCTAAGTAGTGCATACAGAGCTGATCACTTTGACTTAATGAGTACATTTTAATTTCATTTGTTTGTTAACTGCTTTACATTACATTACAGATTAAGTTTAATATATATTTTCATTGTGCAATTTTATGTCAGGAAGAAGGGACCCTAAAACCAGTGAAAATAGTCTTTCCCCTGAAAAGGAACATAACTTTTCCTACTGTAAAGCTAAGAAGGAACATAGCATGAAACAGCTTGGTAAGCTAAGTGAACCATAGTGGAGGCTGTGAGTGAATGTTGAGAGTTGAAAGCTTTACTGCCTGGTCCTGTGCTTCTGCTTGGTCATTGAACATGTGGAAGTCTGTGGGGGTGGTTGGCATAGGTGTGGCCCTGCTTGACCTGGGGCCTGCGCTCTAGAACACTGCCTTCTGGCCAGGGTGGAGAGGGGGCAGAGGGACATGTTGGCCCCATGCAGGGCTGCCCCTGGCCAGGTGAGGATTTCCTACCCTGAGTCAATCACAGGCTTAAATTGTCCATTTGAGCCTTCCTTCACTGATTCTGCAGACATTTATGATAATAAAGAGAACACAGGGGTACATATGTGCATGTTAGTTTGTGATGAATCTTCAAGGAAAATGAAGCCAAGAGGAGCAGGAATGAGGGGCGTGAGCAGGGAGGGCCTCTCTGAGGGAGGACATCTGGACAGAGAGCTGACTTGGGTGAAGGAGGACATGCAGGTGTGTGAGTGGTGAGGTGGGTGGAGAGAGGAACAGTGATAGGGGAAAGGGCCGGGCCAGGAAGCAGGGCCTGGAGCTGCTGGTCCCGGAGCTGCTGTTCCCGGTCCACAGCAGCTGTGTGGTTTACAGTGAGTGCACACAGAAGTCCTTGAAGAGTTTTAAGCAGCACCGAGGCAAGATTTGACTTAGGTTGTAGAAGGCCTCCTTTTAAAACTGTGGAGTGGCAGGAGTAAAGGCTGCAGCGCAGCGAGGAGGGGGCCATGGCATCTGGATGAGAGGAGGTGATGGTTTGGACCAGAGTGCCAGTGGTGACAGCAGAGTGGGTTTACTGTGCTGGCAGGTTGGATGCCACTTGTTTGAACGGAAAGGAATCAAAGATGAGATTCATTGTGGGAGGGGTCTGGGCTCCTAGGGGGTGGCCTTTATTGACATAGACGGTTCTGGGAGACACTGGTTGGTGGAATGGGTGGCAGTGTTAGGAATTCTGTGTTGGACAACAAATTTGAGATGGCTATGGACCAACCAAGTAGAAACATCTAGTCGACAGCTGGATATATTGACTTGGAGATCAGGAGAGAGCTGGAGAAACCAAAGGGAAAAACAAAAAATGGAGAGTTCTAGCATACAAGTGATGTTTACGGACATGGACCTTTGCGCAGTAATTAGTCCAGGGGCGTGTGTAGGTAGGAAAGGACGTGGTGAACTCCAGAGCTTGCTGTGGTCCCCCAGGTCAGAAGAGGAAGAGGAGGAGGAGGAAGAGGAGGAGGGAGGATCATCCTTGCAAAGGAAACAGAAGGCCAACAAGTTGGAGGAAAACTTGGAGAGGAAGAAAGTGTTAGGGAAGGAGAGGGGGCTTCTTGTCAAGCTCTAAGGAGGGGAATCATGTGGAGGCTGAGAATTGACCATTTAGTTGACAAGACAGTTTGCTGGTGACCTTGGTGTAATGTAACCCTTATAAATCCCAGCTAAAACAACCAAACACAAAATCTTTTATAATATTTTAATCTGTTGTTAACTATTTTATGTCAGGAAGGAAGGAGGATAATATTTCAGCTAAAAGTTTAGACTCCATAGTGTCTGGAATAAATAATGAGCCAAATCAGGAAACGACAACATCAGAAATAGGTAAGAAAAATATATTCTTTAGTTTAAATTCCTCACCACTTTAATGTGAATGGTTATATCTCAATGTAGTTATACATTGTTAAAAAATTATTCTAACTACTTTAATGTTCATGAGACTTTTTCATGATGTATTGAAGACTGGACATAACTTGAGGTTTTATTTGCTTTAATATGCTAAGTTATGTAACTTTATTAACTCAGCTTTTAGTTAATTATATGCCTTTTTATACATAGATTATTTTTACATTTCAGTCAAAATGCTTTCTTAATCTTGCTGTCGGGATCTCACAGTGGTGTGGCTGATGACATAGAGAAACGGTTTTTATGTCTTCGTCCTGCTCTGCTTTATTCTACTCAGAAAATGCTCGCAGTAGAGATGTTTAAAGTGCTAGTTAGGCACGTTGGGGAAGTTGGCCTGTCACAGCCAATCACATTCAGTCCAGCCGTGTGGTGGGTGTGCCCAGCCCTCGTCCTGCTGCCTCAGAGGGGGTGGTCCTTGGTTCAGTATCAGTAACCACTGTCATCTGTGACTTCAGACGGAATTCTTCAAGATGCTAGAATTCTTCAGTTTCACTTAAGGTAAAAATAGTGTAAAATTAGACTTTAGGGGAAGAGGAAATTTTTGCTGGGCCCAACTTGCCTTGTATCTGTCTGACTTTTACACGTTCTGGAGCGTAGCTGGAATACCGATCAGCACATCCTTCTCTCTCTGTGTGCGTTCCCCTGAGAGCTGGCATTTCCAGGAGTGGGCGCACTTGGTACAGCAGCCGCAGTGTGAAAGATGATCTGTGGTTATTTTATTCCAAGTAGGGTGACTATATGGGAGTTGTCTGGGTCTTCAGTAGCATGGGATGGCGGAGGAAAAGGTGACTGAGCTGGAGCAGGGTGTTTCCACTGAAGAGAGCCCCTGCCATACAGGCATGCATGTTACCATTCAACCACATCTTGGTGATGTATGTTTTCTTTTTGTGGGAGCTTTCCTCATCTCCAGGCGCCTGGGGGGAAACACCCAGGCACACTGCAATCCTGCACTGCAGGAGAGGGCAGCAGGCAGTGGCGAAAGCCTGAGGGGTGGACTCCTGGTAGCCCCCACCCAGCTAGCTAGGACCTCATCTCTGAGGCCACAGGGATGACTCCCCACTTCCTGCTTACCTGCCTCATGGCCTTGAGCCAGCCACGTGAGTGGGTTCTCTGAGCCACAGTTTCCTCGTCATAAATGGGCGTAAAGATACCTGCCTTGAGGGTGAACGAGGTGTCCATTAAGTGGTGGCTTGCCCCAGGCACGCCGCGGTCTAACCCGCTTTATCACGGATCACCTCTGCTGAGCTGCCAGCCCCAGATCAGGGCGAGACAGCGCTCATCCTGAGATGGGCAATGGATTTAGAACAAATTGAAATCATTCTCCAGACACGTAGTGAGGACTGTGTAGGTAATATCAACAAGTGTGAAGATAACACAAACCCAGGCAGTAAGAAGCACAAACTGCAAACGTGGTTTCTGGGTTGAACTTTTTGCAGAGATTGGGATGGAGCCTGATGCCACCTGCTGGGGAGCAGAGTCTCCCGCTGTCCTTGGGTGGCAGTGTGCGGTGGGTGGCGGGGCGGGGGGGTTGGGAACAGTGGCCAGGAGCAGAGTCTGGGCTCTGGAGAGACTCCCGGTCCCTTGTCTTTCTCCTCCCCCCGACCCTGGCCCTGCTCCCCTAGGGTCCTGCCACAGCGCGGACCTGGGGTCTCTGTCCTCGCAGTTGCAGGTGTTACCTTGCACTGGTCATGGTTTAACATTTGGAATTCAGAGTTTGCTGGCAGTTGTTACAGTTCCTTAATTTCTTCATTGAGGGTGCACTGCTATTGGGTCTGGTTAATGAGCTGGTCCTCACAGTACCTTTCCTTCTTAGTGCTTCGAAGAAAAGTCCATGTTGTCAAAGCCGGCCTTTGTTGCACTGACTGACCCGGCCCTCGTGAGCCCTGTGCCCATAGCCTGGGTCATCATCAGAGAATTTGTGGGTTTTATTGTTACCATTTTGATTTTTTGGGTGGATTAAAGAGTTCAACAAGGAATTTATCCATTTCTTTTTCAAAACATGAACAATTTCTTCCTGTACTCCAGTTGTTATGCAAGCTGTAAGGCATGCTTTGTTCGCTTTACAATTGTGTGACAGTTCCAGGTTTTTCTGGAACATTAAGTCAGGTCTTTATTTTGCTTAGTTTCCCTCATTTCATTTTTGCTTACTTCTCTAACTGTTTCTATTGTGAAAAATATGGAAAAGTAGAAAGAATAGTACAACTAGTGCCCATATACCTCTCACCCAGATTCACTAGTTTTACGTTTGCCATTTTGCTTAATGTACAGTTATGCGTGTGTGTGTGTGTGTGTGTGTATATATATATATAGAGAGAGAGAGACAGAGAGACAGAGACAGAGACAGAGTCTCACTCTGTTGCTCAGGCTCGGGTACAGTGGCATGATCTCAGCTCACTGCAACCTCCGCCTCCCGGGTTCAAGCGATTCTTCTGCCTCAGCCTCCTGAGTAGCTGGGACTACAGGTGTGTGCCACGATACCCGGCTTCTTATGTGTATTTTTGAGACAGGGCTTTGCTCTGTCACTCAGCCTGGAGTGCAGTGGTATGATCATAGCTCACTGCAGTCTTGAACTCCTTGGCTCAAGTGATCCTCCTGCCTCAGCCTCTTGACTAGCTAGGACTACAGGCATGTGTCACCATGCCTAGCTAATTTTTTTTTTTTTTTTGTAGAGAGAGCATCTCACTTTGTTGCCTAGGCTGGTTTGAACTCCTGGGCTCAAGTGATCCTTTCACCTCAGACTCCCAAAGTGCTGGGATTACAGGCATAAGCCAGCAGACCCAGCATATAGTTACATATTTTAATGAACTGTTTCAAAGTATGTTAAAAAAACATCCTAACACTTTATCTCTAAATACTTCGACATGCAGCTTTAAAAAAAAGTACATTTTCCTACATAGCCAGAAAAGTATTGTCTAACTGAACTCAGTTATTGCTTCCTGATAGCATCTAAAACCCAAGCTGTATTCTAATTGTCCCAGAAATGTTTTTCTATTCTTTTTTTTTTTTTTAAAAAAAAAACACTGGCTATTTGATGACATTTAACTTAGTGTAGCTAAAATTTGCGCAGAACACTGGCCGAATGATGGACCTCTTTCAATTGTATTTATGGGCCGTACGTCTGATTAGTTTCAATAACAGTGACTGATAGGGACTGGCCCCTCCCAGCCGGGCACAGTGCTCCTTGCTGTATGCACAAGATCTCATTTGACTCAGGATGGCTCTGTGAGGCGGGGCAAACTGGGCAAACTGCGGCTCAGGAAGGCTGAGGGACCTGACCAAAGCATAGCCCATGGAGAGAGGAAGCGCCAGTGTTCCACCCTAGGGCGTCTTGAGCCAGGGCTCACATTCTCACCTACAAGGTTCATTGGTTACCAGGTAGCTCTAGAAAACAGATTGTGCTTATGCTGTGACTCTTTTTTTTTTATTTTGCCAATTCATAGTCATTTTTATTTTATTTTATTTCTTTTTTGAGATGGAGTCTCACTCTATTGCCAGGTTGGAGTGCAGTAGTGTGATCTTGGCTCACTGCAACCTCCACCTCCTAGGTTCAGGGGATTCTCATGTCTCAGCCTCCTGAGTAGCTGGGATTACAGGCGTGTGCCACTAGGTTCAGCTAATTTTTGTGTTTTCAGTAGAGATGGGGTTTCACCATGTTGGCCAGACTGGTCTCAAACTCCTGAGCTCAGGTGATCCACCTGTCTGGGCCTCTCAAAGTGCTGGGATTACAGGTGTGAGCCACCGCTCCTGGCCGTCATTTTCATTTTATAAGTGCATTATTTATTTGTTTAAAACTATTATTTGACAAATTGGTTAGTCCCTTCTCTGTGATTATGAATTGATTCTACAGTGTGGTATAATTAGTGAGCTATAGTCTGTTTTCATGTTCTTTCTCTCGGTGTGAACTTGGGGTTTAGTAAAGCTTACATAAGAATACCACTAGAACTTTGAAAAGGTAAAATTGTGAAAGTGTCATTGGTCTCTGAACTACAGAATGAAGATAATGCATTTATAATTTGCTTACTGTGATGGTGAATATGGTAGAGTATGGAAAACATTTGACACTTTGAAATCAAGTACACAACTTAAAATTATTAGAGTGTTTTCTTCTAAAGTTGAGCATCTACAACCGCCAAACTTATGTTTATTTTTAGATTTTTTTTTGTTAAGAACTTAATATTTCATGTTTATTCTCTGGTTACCCTGAGTAAAATATAAATAACTGTTTGAATCAGACTATTTAAGTCAGTATCATTTTCACAGATTGATAAAAATGTCTTTGCAAAATTATGTGTCATCTATTTTATGTAGTTCTATTACATTATAAATAAAACAGTTATATGATAGTTAATGTCAGGTTGATTCTGATGTAAGCTGTTTTGAATAGTTTTAAGAATTATAAGATTGTGTTTCAGGAAAGGGAACATTTTACAATTTTATTTTTGTCTCTCAGTTTCTTTTTAGAGTGGTAGGTCCTTTGACTGAAGCTAGTTTTCCAGCTCTGGGTCCTGCTGTAATATAGAACCTATTCCTCTAGCCCCTCATCTGGGCCCCCTATTTTTTTTTTTTTGAGACAGAGTCTGGCTCTGTCACCAGGCTGGAGTGCAGTGGCACGATCTCGCTCACTGCAACCTCTGCTTCCCGGGTCCAAGAGATTCTCCTGCCTTAGCCTCCCGAGTGGCTGGGACTACAGGCATGTGCCACCACACCCGGCTAATTTTTCTATTTTTAGTAGAGATGGGGTTTCACCATGTTGGCCAGGATGGTCTCGCTCTCTTGAGCTCATGATCCACCGGCCTCAGCCTCCCAAAGTGCTGGGATTATAGGCGTGAGCCACCACACCTGGCTCCTACCCTTTTTTTTTCAGACATGATCTCGCTCTTACATGCAGGCTGGAGAGTGGTGGCATGATCATGGCTCACTGCAGCCTCGACCTCCTGGGCTCACGTGATTCTCTTGCCTCAGCCTCCTGGGTAGCTGGGACTACAGGCACCTGCCACCATGCCTAGCTAATTTTTGTAGATATGAGGTTTCGCTATGTTGCCCAGGCTGGTGCCTGCCTTGGCCTCCTAAAGTGTTGAGACTTCAGGCATGAGCCACTGTGCTTGGCCTTTTTTTTTTTTTTTTTTTTCCCCGAGATAGGGTCTTACTCTTTGCCCTGGGCTGGAGTGCAGTGGCGTGATCACAGCTTATTGCAGCCTAAACTCCTGGACTCAAGTGATCCTACCATCTCAGCCTCCTGAGTAGCTGGGACTACGGGTGTGTGTAACCATGCTTGGCTAGCTTTTTAAATTTTATATTTTTTTGTGTAGACGAGTTCTCTCTGTGTTACCTAGGTTGTCTTTACTCCTGGGTTCAAGTGATCCTCCCACCTAGGCCTCCCAAAATGCGGGGATTATAGGTGTGAGCCACTGTGCCCAGCCTGTTTTTTTTTTCACAGCAAAAATATTTTCTCAGGTATTTGATATTTTTTCTATCTTCATAAACTTTGGAACATCAGTCAGTAATTAGTAGACAATATGTGGAAGTTTTCAATATGGCCAGGACTGTGCACTGTGTCCAAAATATTTTTCTTTTCTTCCTGCATTCCTGAAACAGCCGCCTACTTGCAGCCTCTCAGCTGCTGGGTCTGGCTCTACTGGGGAGGTGAGTGGAGACTGGCAGTGTCAGGTAGCTCCAGAAATGGGGGGCGGGGGCAGTCTGCTCCTCCTGGCCTGAGTAGACCAAGGATCCACTCATAGTCTGGGGTGTCCTTTCCCTTTCACCCCAGAGCCGCCCATGGGGGAGGAACATTCTAGATGCATGTTTTCTAAAAGCTGCCTTTGGTCAGTCCTTTGTCAGTCCTAACTTGCAGTGTGGGAAAACATAGATAAGTAAGTGTGCTCTATGTTAATGAAGCCGCTGATCACCGGCCCTTTGGTGTACAGTCTTAATGACTAATTTTAAACTGTTTTATGTCAGGAACAAAAGAAGCTAATATTAACTCAACTAGTATTTCAGATGATAATTCAGCTAGTCTGCGGTGTGAGAATATTCAGCCCAACCCCACAGAGAAGCAGAAAGGTAAGAATGGTCCAGTTTCGCCCTTTCCTGGCGAGAGCAGAGTGAGCCCTCCAGAACCTTCTTCTCAAAGGGCCGCAGCCCAGAGCCCGAGGTTTTCCTCTTGGGTCTGAACGTGGCAAGTGATTCACAGTGATTCACTTCTGCCTTTTTGCATAAACTAGAATCGAACATGGTGGTTTCTTGATAGCATGGGACCCACTCGTGTGCTCCCCCGTGCTCTGTAAGTGAGAGGAGGTGGCATGTTTCATCACTTGGGGGGTGTCATGAGTGGTCCCTGAAAAGTTTCGGGGTCACTACTTGGAGAGCCCCACCAGTCAAGAGGTGTACCCCCCAGACTTCATGGTCACAGTGCTGTGGCCACCATGATTTTTCTGTCTGTCATTTTCTTTGAGTGTTGAATTATACCTCAGTGGGATTTTACTTTCACCATAAATTTTCTCAGCCTTTAAAAAAACTTTGGTAAAATAGCCATTCAATGTTTGTGTTTTGAGGCCTTGGAGCTCCTAACAGGCCTGCAAGGGTACCAGTGCCCAGGTAACCAAGGCTTGTGCAGGTGGCAGCGGCAGGGTGGGGTGTGGCCAGGGGAGGGCTGATGTTTGTTGATTTGTTCAAACAGAAAATTATCTGTTGAAGGCCTACTGCATGTCAGCCCTGAGGCTGGGAGCGCATGAGCCAGTGAAGTCAGGCTGGCCTCCTGCCTTCCTGGTGCAGATGAGGCTCGAAGATCAACCGAAATCGTTTGATGGGGTGGCAGTCTGGGACGGGAGGGGCCTTGGTTGGTGAGGGTGGCCCAGAAAGCCTGCAGGGCAGAAGGGGCTGTATAAACCAAGATCCCGGCTGGGATGCGACTGCAGCAGGGCTGGCTCAGCCCAGAGGAAGGGCCAGAGCCAGGTCCCTGTGCCAGCTTATGGAGTTTAGCCTTTATTGGAAGAGCAGCGGGAGGCTAATTATATCTTTAGGAGGAGCAGTATAATGATATTTAGATTTTAAAGAGTGGCCATGTTAATTAGGGAGGGTTAAAGATTGTGCAGAGAAGAGAGAGAGGCCTGGACTGTGGAGGCGCCCTGGGAGGGGAGAAGTGGTAGGATTCCAGGGCTGCTGGCACGTGCTGGGGGAGCTGGCCTGGAGCGTAGAGGGAAGGCCCAGGCTAGAGAGGAGCTGTGAGAGTTGCTGGCGCTGGGTGATGGCAGGAGCCTGGGTGGGGACTGGGTCACCTAGGACGAGATTGTGAGTGCAGGAGCTGGCAGAGCACTGGCGCTGTGGAAGCACAGGCGTCGGGGAGGATGGTGTGGGCCATGTGGCAGGTGCCTTGGGTTCTGGGTAACGGGGACTGGAAGTATCCATTGAAAGGTAGAGAGTTCACTGTGCTGACTTTCCTTCTGGGTATCGGCCTTGTGGTTGAATAACTGCACCTCTCAGGCACCTTTTTGAGTGCTGTGTTAATCCAGGGTCTGTTCCTAACACCCTGGTGTTTTGAAGAAAGAGCCGGGGATTTGAAACTGTGTCTGCTGCCTGCCCCCAGGTCGCACGAGGACTCTCAGTGCTGGTTTCTGCTAAGCACACGCTCCAGGCCGCACAGCCATGAGGAAAAGATCTTCTGCCACCTGCTCTTGGTCCCCAGCAGTCCCATCCCAGGGTTGAGCTGAGTCCTCTGCCCCCATTGGCCCAAAGTGCTGGGGTCTCTGAAACTGCCCTTGTAGTGGCACTATCTGGAACCACATTCTCCAGCCCCCTGCTAACCACTGTGCCCTCCAGTCCCCTAGGCCCTGGTGGGTGCCAGGCTACCCCCTGTGCTGTGGCACTTTGTGGGGTGTGACCTCTGGAGGTTCTCAGGCCCATACTAATAGAGTCCTCTAGAGCCTCCCGGTTCCCCTTGATCCACAAGCTTGGCCCCCTCTCTCCCTGCCAGAGCCACCCTCTTAAGGCAGCATTTATGAGCTCGTGGCTGTTATGCTCACAGAAAGTCCTCCTGTGAATAAACGAGCTAGAGGTGTCTGTAGAGTGCTCCTCACTCTGCTCGGTGTGGACCCTCACAATAACCCAGGCTGATTTCTCGAGGCTGCATGAACTGTTCCTGTCTGAGGCGGGGCCGTGTTAAACGAGGCGCTGCATCAGGCCCTGCTGCCTCCTCTCTGCCGTATAGTGTGCTGGGCTGTCATGTGAATCCATGCGCTTTCTGCTCTTCTGCAAATGCGTTCGTGCATCTTAAGAGTGTGAAACAGAGATTTCCCACCTGTGGTTTTGAATCACCCCACCCCTGTGGTGCCACTGCTCATTTACTTTGACCGTTTAGGTCACATTTGTCCTCAAGACAACACTTGAAGAAAAAGGATCCTGGGTGAAGGTGCAGAGGTGGGCCTCTGTTGAGCTGGAAGATTTTCTTCTGCTTTCAGGAGCTGATGGAAAAATGCTTACCAATCATGTCTATAAGATGGGCTGTTGTTGACTGTCTCCCAGTCTTTGGAACGGCCCGGGATTTGGTTGGCCGGGTTCAGACTGTTGCATCGTTCCCTCACATTTGGATGCACTTTTTCTGTGGCTCTGGCTTTGTCGATTCTTGTCTCATGAACTTGTTAACTTCCTCTCCGATGTGCTTTCTCCACATCCCTGTGTCCTGTTTCTATTTAGTACCATTTTATGATGCACAGTTTGTTTGCTCTTTGTTTTTCTATCTTTGAAAATAAAACAAAATGGCAATAGGGACATTAGAAAAGCGGCTATGAGGAAATGATCTTTTTTTCTTAGCAGACATCCAAAATTATGTACAGTGTGTTTTTTCTCCAATTCTGTTCTCATCATTTAATGTATTGAGGTTGACTACACGAAAGCTAATTTTCTGATGTGCTTTTTCTTTAGGTGACTCCACCAGTGATGCAGGTGAGGAATGGCCTTAGATACCTGTGTGTCATATCAATTGTATGCATGTGTGTGAATGTGAATGTGGACTCTCAGATTCATGCTTTATAAAGTGCATTAGTGAAAGTAACTTATTTTATGGAAAAAGATCATAACTACCCTAATGTATTTATTTATTTATTTATTTTTTGAGATGGAGTTTCACTCTTGTTGCCCAGGCTGGAGTGCAATGGCATGATCTCGGTTCACCGCAACCTCTGCCTCCCGGGTTCAAGCAATTCTCCTGCCTCAGCCTCCTGAGTAGCTGGGATTACAGGCATGCACCACCACGCCCGGCTAATTTTGTATTTTTAGTAGAGACGGGGTTTCTCCATGTTGGTCAAGCTGGTCTCGAACTCCTGACCTCAGGTGATCCACCTGCCTCGGCCTCCCAAAGTTCTGGGATTACAGGTGTGAGTTACTGCGCCTGGCCAACTACCCTAATTTAATTTGAAATTTAATTTATATGTTTTAAGTTTGAAAACAATACATTTCAGGATTTTTTTCCAGAATATAAAGTATATTTCTAATATTCAAATTCTGACTATTTTCTGAAGTGTTAATTCCTTTTACTTTAAATAGTGGAGTAAACTTGTCTTAATAGTTTAGGCCTTGTTATTTACTGATTAATTCTTTTTATCAAAATGAAGAAAACTTTGTTCAGATTATAAACATAATATGGTATACCAATGTAGAAAAATTTAAAAATGCAAAAAAAAAAGAACAAAAATTAAAAGCACTGGTAATTCTACTGCTTATAACTTAAATGAATATTCTTCTAGAACCCTGTATATATATATATGCATATGTATATAATTGTTAGATATATTACTGTACTGGATTGTTTCACACAAAAGGGAGCTGACATGTGACTGTACCATAATTTACTTAGTTACTGATTGATTGTCAGTATTACCAGTGACGATGGGTGAACATCTTGACATGTGTCCATTTCTCCTCTTGGGTTGTATTTCCTTTAAGTGCTCAGTTGATCAGCCTGCCTTTTGAATTTTATTTCTGAAGTAGTTGAACCAGTTTGTATTCCCTGGGTTTGAGTGTGCCCATTTTCCCAAATCTTCACTGAGTTTAGATATCAGACATCGATTTTCTCTTCATCAACATGATTGATGGAAAAATTGCTCATTTGTATTTGCAATTACAAATGTATTTGATTGCAAATAACTGCAAATACAGATGCAAATAGTATTTTCAAATAGTTATCTATGTGTGTTTTCCTTTGTGAATTGCTAATTGATTGTCATTTGTTTAGAAGGAGATGCTGGACCTGCTGGCCAAGATAAGTCTGAGGTGCCAGAGACTCCAGAAATTCCTAATGAGCTTTCATCCAACATCAGGTCTGTGTGCTTTGAATCCCTTTCCCTCAGCAGAGTGATCACACCTAGGACACTGCTGTGCTTCTCTTTCTGGCTGCTGCTATTTATTTAGTGCTTGAGCTAACTTATGAGGAATTACTTATACAAAGAATACAAGAAGTATATCAGTTTTCTGTACTGGAGTTATATCACTATATAGTGATATAATATTTTGGAGATTTAGGGGAATTCAAAATTATAGCTGAATTATGTGATGTTTTGATTAGTGACAGTTGTTGGTATTTTGAAATTACTGAAAATACAAGTGGAAAGATGGACACTTTCTGATTGGTCGGGTTACTGGGACGTTCCTCCTCTTCTGCAGAGTAGCGTGTCCTAACCAGCACATTGATTATGGCTTGGAGATGAGAGTTAACATTCACCTGGGCTTTCTTTTCCAGTTTGAAATGTATAAGCCTTTCATACTCCTTTTTTGGTTTTCCAATATTTGGGTTTAGAAGAATTCCTCGGCCTGGGAGTGCAAGACCAGCCCCTCCCCGGGTCAAACGGCAAGACAGCATGGAGGCGCTACAAATGGATAGGTAAGGCTGGCTCAGCAGGGCAGTTCCAGCCACACAGTGTGTTCTCCAGTGGGCATGGTGCCTCCGCTAAGAGAAGGGGGAGGGAAGCAGCACATGGTGCTGGAAACATGCTATTGAGGAACAAAAAGTGAGGGTAGGCCCTCGCCTCACACCATAGGCCAACAGACATGTCAGATGGATGAAAGAGAAAAACCATGCATACATGTAAAATACATCTTCACATCTATGGGAAAATGTTGGACTGCATTTCTCTGACCCCTAGATTGAAGACTTTCTAAGCGTGAAAACAATAGGGGAATTAGGAAAAAATAGGGGAAAAAAATTAGGGGCTTAATTGCAGAAAAATTAAAAATAGAAGGTGATCAAAATGTTATAAGCAGGCTGGGCCTGGTGGTTCACGCCTGTAATCCCAACATTTTGGGAGGCCGAGGCGGGCGGATGGCTTGAGGTCAGGAGTTTGAGACCAGCCTGGCCAATGTGGTGAAACCCCCGTCTCTACTAAAAATACAAAAGTTAGCTGGGCGTGGTGGCGTGTGCCTGTAGTCCCAGCTACTCAGGAGGCTGAGGCAGAAGAATCACTTGAACCTGGGAGGTGGAGGTTATAATGAGCTGAGATTGCACTGCTGTACTCCAGCCTGGGCGACAGAGTGAGACTATCTCAAAAAAAAAAATAAAGTCATAAGCAATATAAAGACAAACAACAGATAGGATGGATCAGAGTGGGTTTCAGATCAAATAAGAGGCAGGGATTGGAGGCAGGAGTAGATGTGTTTTTCTAGGAGTTTTGCCACAAAGAGAAGGGAAGGAATAAGACTAGAAAGTGGGAAAGGTGGTGTCAAGGGGAGTTATTATTTTTCTAATGACGGGAATGATCCAGTGGAAAGGGGAAATTGATGACGTAGGCGACGTGGGACAGGGGTTTGGTGGAGCAGAGTCCCCGTGTGGGTGTGGGAACGGGCGCGGAGGTGGAGTCGGCACATGGTGTGATGCAGATTCTTAAGGTGATTTTCTGGTACTTATTTTTCTCATGAGCCGTAAGAGGGTCTGGGGGAAGAGGAGTGTCAGAGGAGAGAGGGGCTGGGTGAAGTCGCTGTGCACGAGAGTGGGCTAGTGAAGAGACTGGAGCAGAGGTTTTCCTCTAGGGGTGATCCTACTTTGGGGACACTGGGCCATGATCTGGAGACATTTTCTGGTGTTCTGATGAAGGGGAGGGGTTAGGGCAGGGCAGTTGCTGAACCTCCTACAATGCACAGGACAGTCTCCACCACAAAGGAGGATGGGCTGCCTGCCCATAGTGCCTGGGCGGAGGCCGTGGCTGACAGCTGACTTCAGGGCAGCATCTGGTGGACTTGGGCGTAAAGAGACAGAAGATGGTGTGGCGGGGCCTGTTCTGCAGCTGCAGTTGGCTACACCTACAGGCACTGGGGGGCACAGGCTGTATTAAACAGGGCTCGGCTGTGCCAAGCAAGTGCACCGAGAGAGAAGGGAAGGAGTAGGAGTATGTGGAAGCGCCACGGTCATGACCAATGTGGGATTTATGCCAGTGAGTGAGGGAGGAGCCCTCGGGGTGAAGGTCAGGAGGAGGCATTAGGATTGAGAGGCTGAAGGTGCCGGATGGATAGAAGGATTGTTGGAGTCAGGTCCTAGGGCGGTGAGCTGGGAATATAGATAGTGGTGGTAAAGGAGTGGGGCGCTTGGATTTGAGGTTGGAGCTTGCTGTTAGTGGTAGTGACAGGGGTGCCCCTGGGAGTGGGCGTCGAGTGTGGGAGGTGGGATCATCCCAGCAGGGTTCAGGGACCCAAGGCCAGGATTTTGGAAGGATCATTTCTCAATACTTGAAATCACAAGTAAGACAGGAGCACCGTTGGTGAGAGTGGCGGGTCCAGGAGGACTGGGTGGGACCATGGGTTGGCAGCTGATGGCAGCAATGATGGGGTCGAGGGTGACAAGATTTAAAGTTGGCAGTTTTTAGGGAGAGTGATCTGGAAGCCGAAGCAAGCATAAGGAAATTACTGACCTTCCCTCTGGGCCCGTGACAAGAGGCCGGTGGGAGGAGCAGCAGCTGCAGCTGAGGGCTGTGGGGAAGCTGTGTCCTGGAGAGCAAGGCGGGACAGAGAGGGCCTGCCGATCACGGCAGGCACAGGGGCGCAGGTGTTGAGGAGGTGGATCGTGGGCCACAGTGAGGGTGTGCTGGGAGCGTGAGAGACGAGGGACGGGAGCCTGGACTTCCTGGTACTGACAGAGCAGCGGGTTCGAAGTGAGGTTGGTCCTGGCGGAGCCACACAGGTGGTTGTTGAGTGTCTCAAGGACCCAGTTGAGGAAGTCGAGGATGTTTGGGGCAATGGGTGTTATTTTCAGAGGTCGTTCCCAAGTGTCTACATTCCCTCTGGACCTTGTGCATGGCACTGAAGCAAGGGAGGATTTTGGTGTGTGTGTGTGTGTGTGTGTGTGTGTGTGTGCGCGCGCGCGCGTGTGCGTGCATGTGCTTGTGTGTATGCGTGTGTGTGTGTGTGTGTGTGTATGCATGTGCACGCATGCAGCACTGCGATAACGGGGCAGGGGGAGTTAGGTGATTGCTTAAAGCACAAGTGTGTAGGGAAGAAACAAAGGCAGGAGGGGCCATTAAGGAGCCTGTAGAGTGTTTGGGTCGGGGGCTCACATTTGTACAGAGTGAGCTGACAGTGGCCTGAGTGAGGAGGAGTGGGGCAGCTGTAGGTGGGGCAGTTCTAGTAGGTGGCCCTGGAGAGCATGAGAGAGCCCTTGGGTGAAGGCTGTCACCAAGGAGGACAAGGTCTGGGGCTGGAGGGCCAGGCTGTTGGACGCTGACTTGCCCAGAATGATGTGGACTTGGGTGGAGCGCAGTGTGTACGTGGTGCTGAGCGGGACATAGGGCAGCCACTGTGACTAGGAGTTGAATGAGGGGCCTCCAGCTGGCTGTGTGAAGAGAGGTCTGGGGTCAGCCCTGGTCAGTGGGACCCCAATGTGGCCCCTGCCCTGAGGTTTGTGACCCAGGGCAATAAGCGCCTCCAGGTAGAAAGCAGCAGGTGAAGGGCTGGTGTCACTGAGAGCGCAGTCAGGGGAGAGGCGGAGGCCCTGAGGGTCTTTGTGCAGTAGAGGGCATGACGAGGCTGTGGGGACGGGAGGCCAGGTGTGGACCAGGAGGCCTGGGCAGCACAGGGACGTGGGGAAGCTGGGTGGGGGTGGAGGGCGAGGCTCACAGGGACTCAGGCCTGGAGGGCTTGCAGAGGACACTGTTTGCAGACAGTCCATCTTAGCTTCAGCGGGTAGCTTGAGATGCTGTTCTAGCTAGAGATGGTTGGTGATTAGATTCCTCTCTGCCGACCTCTGACACAGTTTCAGATGCTTGGGACTGATGAAAATGTGTAATTCTAATTTAATCTAATTTCTTTTTATTTAGGTCAGGGAGTGGTAAAACCGTTTCAAATGTGATTACAGAGTCACACAATTCTGACAATGAAGAGGATGATCAATTTGTGGTGGAAGCTGCCCCTCAGCTCTCTGAAATGTCAGAAATTGAAATGGTTAGTTAACCGAAATATGATGTTTTTTAATAATAATGTTTTACCTTCATTGAGATTAATAGTCTAGCTTTTAGATTTATGTAGACAAAAATGTCCTGTAATTTTTCAGTTAGTTTTCTACCTTCGTTAATTTTGTTGTTCTTTTTTTGAGATCCACAGAAGCATGATCTTTAAAATTCAACAAGCCTGAATCTTCTTTTTCCCCCTTCCTTTCCTGCTCAGGTAACAGCAGTGGAACTAGAAGAAGAGGAGAAGCATGGTGAGTCCTGGGCACGAGTGTGCATGTATGTCCATGTGTGTGTGCTCATGCACCTTCTCCACGTGGGCCTGGAAGGATCCAGTGCAAGGGACTGTTGTGTGCCAGGTTCTGGTCTGGGTCACACTGGCGGGATCACACTGGTGGTACATAGGACCCTGCGGGCATGGATTACTCTTAAGGCGATGGCTGCTGCTCCCCATCCTTAGAGGAGGGGGAGGGCACAGTTGGAAGCTGGAAACTCACTGGCAACTGTCCTGCAGATGACATCTCGTCTCTTCCGTACGATTAAATTGTGGAAGTAGATGATCTCTGAGGCCCTTTGCAAGTCTAGTTCTGGAATGTTATTGTTGGTTTTCTAGCTGGACAACTCAGTAGTGCAAACCCCGTTCCCCACACCAGGGTTTGAGTATCCTGGAACACAGTTTCTGCAGAAGAGGCAGGCTGAGTACTTTCCTTTATAGATCTGTTCTCACAATATGACTTTGTTTCCTGGCACCTATCACAGGTGAGTAACGAGGGCTTGTTGGTTTTGGGGGTTTGGGGTTTTTTTTGGTATCTATATGAAGCCACCCTTTTTTATTTGAGGCGGAGTCTTGCCCTGTCACCCAGGCTGGAGTTCAGTGGTGCTATCTCAACTTACTGCAACCTCTGCCTCCCGGGTTGAAGTGATTCTCGTGCCTCAGCCTCACAAGTAGCTGGGACTACAGGCGTGCACCACTATGCCTGGCCAATTTTTGTATTTTTAGTAGAGACAGGTTTTCGCTACGTTGGCCAGGCTGGTCTCCAATTTCTAACCTCAAGTGATCCACCCGCCTTGGCCTCCCAAAGTGCTGGGATTACAGGCATGGGCCACTGTGCCCAGCCTAGTCACGGATTTTTAACATAGTGGATGTGTTTCATTTCAGCCCATCTCAGTTTTTCTTATTAATGTTCAGATTGCCCAGTATTTGACCAGGGGAGCCTATTGGAGTTATTTTCTGGGGGCCTTTAGACACATCCCAGTACACTCTTTAGCTTCCTTGTTTTCTGATACGACAAGGTGTTTCCAGCTTATTTTGTGTACTTCCTGCCCCATAACTGCCTCATTTCTCCAAGGCACCTGGCCGCTTACTGCTCTGGGTTGCTTCTTGTTTCCAGGCATTTTCACTGCAAAAGCAGGGATATACTTTTTTAAAATAAGAAAGTATATTCTGACTTAGTGATGATATTTCCAATTCCGATTTAGGATTGTAGGGTTTTGCCTGCATTCTTTGGTTTTATATATGCATCTCTTCCATCTCATGCCAAAAAGCCTGGCTCCCAGCAGCAGCGGCTGTCCCCATGCTTTATGATCCTTCATATGCTCACATAGCAATTTTAGAACACCACGACTGGTTTTTAACAACAATAGGATTACTGGAAACGCTGAAGGATTTTATTTTATTTTATTTTATTTATTTTTATTTATGTATTTATTTTTGACATGGAGTCTCGCCCTGTCGCCCAGGCTGGAGTGCAGTGGCGCGATCTTGGCTCACTGCAACCTCTGCCTCCCGGGGTCAAAAGATTCTCCTGCCTCAGCCTCCTGAGTAACTGGGATTACAGGCGCCCACCACCACACCCAGTTATTTTTTTGTATTTTTAGTAGAGACGGGGTTTCACCATGTTGGCCAGGCTGGTCTCGAACTCCTGACCTTGTGATCGGCCCCCTTGGCCTCCCAAAGCGCTGGTATTACAGGTGTGAGCCACCAAGCCCAGCCCAAGGACTTTTTTTTTTTTGGTAGGTATGTCTGCCTGTTTGTTGGGTATATCCTATTAGGGATGTACAGTCAGTTACCCTGTTTTAAAGTTGTGAAACAATTCTCTAGTGGCGCATGCTTGCCAATTGGATATCACTAAGTTTATTTCATTTTGCATTCAACCTTTAGGCATTAGTGTTGTTTACCTTTTTAATGTAAGATAATTCGCATGATTTTAAGGTCAGATGTACAAAACCAGGTATAATCAGAAATGTGGGGCTTTGACCCGTCTTCTCTACCCTCTACTCTCCCTGTCTCCTCTACCCTCTACTCTCCCTGTCTCCTCTACCCTCTACTCTCCCTCTCCCTGTAGGTAACAGTAAAATAGGGCTTATACTTACATTTGAAAAACAAACAAATAAATAAATGCATATGCATGTGCATGTGTATTTACTGATACCTACACTTATTTCCATCTTGCTCTTTTTAATTTGACAGCAGATGCAGGCTTTCATTTTGCAGCAATGCAGAGAAACCATCCTCATTTCCTTCATAGCCACGTCGTCCTCCACCGTGTGGACGTACCCTCGTTTATTCAGTCAGCCTCGGGCTGATGTATGCTTGGGTGAAACACTATTCCAAAAAACTTCACATGATATTTATCCCATGAGTAAATTCTGAAAGAAGTGGAATAGTCTTGCCCCAGTGTAAAAGAAGTATCCGTACTTAGAAGCATTTCTTGTTATTTCTGTTTGTAATAAATGGCTATATTTTTGGATGTCAATCTACACTCCTTCTTAATCTTTGAAAATAGAAAATCTATTTTATTTCTAAAGCTTTTTACTTTTCAAGGAGCTGATTTCCCTGAAACACTTTGAAATGTGATAATTTCCACTACCAGCTGTCTATCACTCTTGTGTACTATCTCCTTAACAAATAAAGATTATTTGAAACTGTTTCAGCATAAAAAGAGATAGGATAAAAACTTAGTGTTTTTCCCACCATCCCACCCATTTAGAATAGGTTTTTGGGATAGAGAATAAACTTTTAACATAAAATCACTGATTTTTCAACAGGTGGACTTGTGAAAAAAATTTTGGAGACGAAGAAAGATTATGAGAAATTGCAGCAGTCACCCAAACCTGGGGAGAAGGTAATGGAATGATTTCCATAAACACTGGCATTTTAGCAGTCTGTTTCATGCATTTACAGACTTTTACAAGTTGGAGCATCTTTCAATATTACCATTATCAGTGATGTCTGTTTGCATATTTAAATGCCATTCCTGGCCAGGCATGGTGGCTCACGCCTGCAATCCCAGCACCTTGGGAGGCCAGCGCAGACAGCTTACCTGAGCCCAGGAGTTCGAGACCAGCCTGGGCAACATGGTGAAACCCTGTCTTTACAAAAAATACAAAAATTACCCGGGTGTGGTGGCGCATGCCTGTAGTCCCAGCTACTTGGGGGGCTGAGGCAGGAGAATCGCTTGAACCTGGGAGGTGGAGGTTGTAGTGGATTGAGATTGTGCCACGGCACTCCAGCCTGGGCAACGGAGTGAGACCCTGCCTCAGAAAGAAAAAAAAAGCCATTCCTCCCTCCTCCCAGTTGGGAGGATATAAAGTGTGGGACTTCCTCTGTGGGGCTACTTCCCTGGCCTGGTATCCAGCCCCGTCTTGGGAGGGGGCAGCGGCTTACTTGGGGAGCTCAGGAGCCAAGAGCCAAAGGCCTGTTGGGCTCTGACTCCCTGACTCTCCCCTTCTGGCCTTGCCCATCCCTTCTCCCAGGTCCTGTTTGCAGACTGGGAGGCTGGCTGCCTGATCCTGGCTGATTGCAAAGTAAGAGACTGGGAATTTTTTTTTTTTTTTTTTTGAGGTAGAGTCTCGCTCTGTCGCCCAGGCTGGAGAGCAGTGGCATGATCTCGGCTCACTGCAAGCTCCGCCTCCCGGGTTCACGCCATTCTCCTGCCTCAGCCTCCCGTGTAGCTGGGACTACAGGTGCTCGACACTGCTCCTAGCTAATATTTTGTATTTTTAGTAGAGACGGGGTTTTACCGTGTTAGCCAGGATGGTCTCGATCTCCTGACCTCGTGATCCACCCACCTTGGCCTCCCAAAGTGCTGGGATTACAGGCGTGAGCCACCGCGCCTGGCCGGGAATGTTTTTAAGTCTTTTTTTTAAATACATGTTCTATTGTACCTGGTTCCCCGCAGTCTCCCTCACACATGTGTGATGTGCTTTTGTTGGGACCTGTGGCCTCTTGCCAGCCACTACCCTTTCCTTGGGCACATGACCACTAGGGCGGGCACCTGTGGGCCAACAGGGTGTGTCTCAAATGCCACAGCCAGGTTTCTCTTACAGTCACTTTAAAGAGGAAGAAGAATTTTTTTTTTCTTTTAAACAGAAGTTTCTTGGATATTTAGCCTAATAACTCAACAATTTAAAAAAGTTTTATATATAGGGATGTGTGCACACATACGTACACACACATGCACACATATATGTATTTCTCCCCAGCTGAATTAATGGTTGTTTTAGATAATTTTGCTTAACATGTCCTAGTTTGTCACAAAGCTAGGGCCTGAAATAGCCAATGAGAACTGTGCAATTGAGACTAACAGTAGAGGGAGCCCTTTTAACAATAATAACTGGAGAATGTTGTCGGCGGAGGCTTTGCTGACAGCACCACTGTTTGCCTTGCTGAAAGGAGAAATGCCTTCTGCAGTTTGTTTTTTCATTGATGGAATGTTAATACATTATAGTCCTTTCTGTATGCATGAGGGGTTGTCCTGGTGTCCCTGGTGGTATTTCTGAGACCCAGTCGAAAACCCTGAATGTGTCCCTCCAGGCTCCTAGTGGAGGTCACCTTTGAAGCCTCCATTGGTTTCAATTTTATAGCTATGATTTTTACGCAAAGCATATTAGGATTGTGTTTCAAAGTCTCCTTGGAAGAGTAAATTATTTCAGATTGGTAAATCTTTGGGCTTCAGAAGATGAAAGGAAAAGTGTCCTTTTTTGGTAAACATCTGCTGTTTTGAAAAAGAGTGGTCAGTGAGAACTTCAAAGTCAGGGTTGATGTATGTTACAGTTAGGGGAAAATCAGCAAGTGTCTGTATGATTTTCTTTAGGATATTGATAAACATCAGACTTAAATTTAACTTGTTGGTCTTCTTAAAACATTTTTGTTACATTTTTTTTTTTTTTTGAGTCAGAATCTCGCTCTGTTGCCCAGGCTGGAGTGCAGTGGCGCGATCTCGGCTCACTGCAAGCTCCGCCTCCCGGATTCACGCCATTCTCCTGCTACATTTTTTTTTTAAATAAATAAAAATGTGGCCAGGCGCAGTGACTTACACCTGTAATCCCAGCACTTTAGGAAGCCAAGGTGGGCGGATTGCTTGAGGCTATGAGTTTGAGATCATCCTGGCCAACATGGCCAATCCCCTTTCTACTAAGAATGCAAACATTAGCTGGGCATGGTGGTGCACACTTGTAGTCCCAGCTACTCAGGAGGCTGAAGCACAAGAATCGCTTGAGCCCAGGAAGCAGAGGTTGCAGTGAGCTGTGATTGCACTGCTGCACTCCAGCTTGGATGACAGAGCAAGCCTGTCTCAAAAAAAACATGTAGGAAGAGCCAAAGTCCTTTTTCCCCCTGCCCCAGTCCTGTTCCCCCGAGGGCAGTCCCCAGGATGAACTTGGTGTGTATCTCTACTTTGGATGTGCCTCGTGGTGTTTTTTGAGTTTCTAATGTCACCCTCGTGTTGATCTGTTATGCAGGTTGCTTTCTTCATGCAGCATGTTTCTCTCTCTCATGTTTTGATACATGTAGATGTAGTTTATTCATTTTAATTGAAGCCTTATAGTCCATTATTTGCTTATTAATTACTCTATTGATGGACATTTAGGTTTTTCAGCCATTTCCTTTCATAGACAATGCTTCCATGGCTCCTCTCCATGCCTCCTAGCATTCAAGAGCCAGTGTCTCTTCCAGCAAGAATCAGGCCACTTTCTGTAAAGGGCCAGATAAAAATACTTCAGGCTTTTTGAGCCAGATGGTCTCTTGCAACTATTGAATTCTGCCGATGTGGCATGAATGCAGCCGCAGCATTAGACCATGTAAATGAGCATGTGTGGCTGTATTCAATAAAACGTACTTTACAAAAACAAGGTCCAGGCTGTGGGCTATAGTTTACTGATTTCAGCTTTGGGGGTTATGCCCAGGCTTAGAAGTGCTGTGCCAGGAAGTACACAGATCTTTAGTTTCACCAGATAGGCCACTTTCCTCCTCAAAGTGGCTGTACCAATTTATTCTCCCAGTACAATGAACATCTGTTTCCAAACATCCATGCCAACGACAGTCAAGATAGTGAACACACTCATCACCCTCCACAGTGTCATGTGCCCTTGGTGAGCCCATCCTCCAGCCCATCTCCATGTTCCCCTTACCCCACGCCCCAACCCCAGCAGCCACCCCTCTGCTCTGGTTCACTGTGCTTTAGTTTGCATTTCCTAGAATTGTGTTTAAATGGAATCATGTGATGTGCACTCTTTGAGGTTTTTTTTTCAGTCTGGCCGTTTTTACTCAGCATAATTATTCTGAGATTTATCCATGTTGTTGCAGCGTGTATCTATAGTTTATTTGTTTTTATTGCTGAGTAGTATTTCATTGTATGGATATACCACAGTGTGTTCATCCATGTATCAGTTGATGAACATTTGAGTTGCTTCTAGTTTGGACTATTATAAATAAAGCTGCTGTGAACATTAATGTTCAAGTCTTTGTTTTGACAGATACTTTCATTATGTTGTATGAATACAGTAGAACCCCTCTTATTTGCAGGGGATATGTTCCATGACCCCTAGCGGATGCCTGAGACTGTGGATAGTACCAAACCCTGTATATACCATGTTTTTTCATGATACGTTCCGATGATAAAGTTTACTTTATGAATTAGGTTCAGTAAGAGATGGACAATAACTGATATTAAACAGAACAATTTTAACAATATGTCAGCACCACTCCCTTGTACTTAGGGGCCATTGTTAAATAAAATAAGGGTTACTTTAACACAAGCACTGGGATACTGCCACAGTCTAGACTATCTGATAACTGAGAGGGCTACTAAGTGACTAACAGGTGGATGGTGTGTACAGTGTGTATATATACTGGACAGAGGGATGATTTATGTCCTCAGCAGAACTGTGCAAGATTTGATCACCCTACTCAGAATGGCATGCAATTGAAAACTTATGAATGAATTGTTTATTTCTGGAATTTTCCATTTAATATTTTCAGATTGCAGGTAACTGAAACTGCAGAAAGTGAAACTATGGGTGGGGATAGGACTGTTGTACCTAGAAGTGGGACTGCTGAGGCATACGGTAAGTGTGTGCTTAACTTTTTAAGAAACTGCCAGACCATAGGGCTGGGTGCTATGGCTCACACCTGTAATCCCAGCCCTCTGGGAGGCCGAAATGTGAGGATCACTTGAAGCCAGGATTTTAAGACCAGCCTGTGCAACATAGGGAGACCCTGTCTCTACAAAAAAACAAAAACAAAGATTGCCAAACTGTGTTGCAAAGTGGTTGTATCATTTTGCATTCCTACCAGCAGTGTATAAGAGTTTCAGTTCCTTCACATCCTCGTCAGCACTAGGTACGGTCAAACTTTAAAATTTTTCAGCCGGGTGTGGTGGCTCACACCTGTAATCCCAGCACTTTAGGAGGCCGAGGCAGGCAGATCACGAGGTCAGGAGATTGAGACCATCCTGGCTAATGGTGAAACTTTGTCTCTACTAAAAATACAAAAAATTAGCTGGGCATAGTGGCACAGGGCTGTAGTCCCAGCACTCAGGAGGCTGAGGCAGGAGAATCGCTTGAACCTGGGAGGCGGAGGTTGCAGTGAGCCGAGATTGCGCCACTGCACTCCAGCCTGGGGGACAAAGTGAGATTCCGTCTCAAAAAAATTTTTTTTCATAGTTGTAATTTGCATTTCCTTAATGGCTAATGATGTTGAATATCTGTCCTATGGTTGTATACATAATATATAATGACACCCTTGTGTCTCATATGTTGTAAATATTTTTCCAATCTATCGCTTGTCTGACTTTGCCTTTTTATTTAAAAAACTTTTTTTTTTTTTTGAAACAGAGTCTGGCTCTGTTGCCCAGGCTGGAGTGCAGTGGTCTGAATCTCGGCTCACTGCAACCTCTGCCTCCCAGGCTCAAGTGATCCTCCCACCTCAGTCTCCCGAGTAGCTGGGACTACAGGCACACGCTACCACACCTGGCTAATTTTTGTATTTTTTGTAGGGGGGTTTTGCTATGTTAGCCAGGCTGGTCTTGATCTCCTAGGCTCCAAGCGATCCTTCTGCCTTGGCCTCCCAAAGTGAACCACTGCACCTGGCCAAACTTTTCTATTTTGATGTAAAATTTAAACAGCCTTTTTCTTTATACATTATTTATTTTTTTTCTTTTTGTTATGGCCAAGAGTTTAAGGTGCAGTTATACTTTATTTTTGATTTTGTCTGAAGAAGCTGTCCTATCCTGGTTGTAAAGGTAGTCTCTAGTTTAGTCTTCTTTTTCACGTCTAGGTCTCTGCGTGGTCTGGAAGTGTGATTTTCTGCTGTGTGGTAGCCAGCCAAGGCTTCCTTACCCCGCCTTTGTACCCCCACCTCTCTAGGGAGCCCAGGCACTACGTGTTTCCGGGCTCTGCTGTGTCTCTCCTTGTTTCAGCACTATGGTTTTACCTCTGGGAAAGCCTTTCTAAATGTTCCTCCACTCCTCCCCGACTCTCCAGGTTGTCTTGATTGTGAGTAAGTCTTTATGGCTTTATATAATTGTGGGATCAGTTTGTGTGGTTCCATGAAAAACCTTGTTGTGATTTTGACCGGAATCGTATTGATCTTCGCTTGACTTGACTTTTACCACTAACTTCCACTCCATTGCCTTGCCTGTCTTTGGAGCAAAATGCCTTAAAATAATCGCTTATCTTTTGCTGTCTACAATCTACCTCTTCCCACTCTCTCCTAACCCCATTCCAGGGAGGCCGCTGGCTCTCCACCTTCATCCGAGTTGCCTGAGTTGCCCTCGGCAGGGTCACCTGACCTCTCAGTTGTTATATCTGCTGGTTATGTCTGTGTCCTGCGACAGCGTTTTGATGCTGTTGGCCACTCTCTCCGTCCTTGGCATGGCCTCCAGCACAGCACTCTCCTCTGGCGCCCCTCCTGCCGGGCCAGTCCCCCTTCTCTCTGTCCTTTGCTAGTTCCTTCTCTTTTCATTCTTTTCTTAGTATCACCATCTTAATGTTATTAGCTGTCCTTTCAAACTAATTTTTTTTTTTTACTAAGTCAGCTTCCTTAGTGGTTATATTCCATTTTTCTGTTTTTTCTTTCTTATTTTGGTAATTAATGTTTGAATCTGTTAGGTTTAGATTTACCTGCAAGCAAAAGAAAGCTAAAACATTAGTGGCGTAAATGAAGTATAAAGTGTTTTATCTCATGGGTCAGTCTAGAGGTAGCCATCCAGGTGGCAGTGACCCTGACGCCTTCTGCCTCATTCCTCCACAGCATGATGTGACCTCCCTTCCTCAGGGTGCCTCACAGGCCAGCATAGCTTCAGCTTCCAGCCAGCAAGAGGGAGAAAAGGGAGGAAGGAGAAGGCCTGCCCTTCTCCTTCAGGATATTTACTGGAAGTTGGACAGCACTTCCACTTATATTATGTTGGCTAGAACTTAGTCACAAAGGAGACCATGAAGTGAAATCTCTATTTTAGGCATCCATTTGCATAGCCAGAAATCAGGAATTCCATTATCACAAACTAGAACGTGTCAAATTTTCTCAGTGCCTGCCATGCTCAGAAAATGGTAGTGCTTGCAAGGCACATGGGTAAGTGGAAGAGGCTGCCTCCCTGGCTAGAGGCCGAGGGTTCCTGGACCCAGCACACGTCTCACATGTGGGCCGCACACAGTGGCGGGAAGCTTTGCCAAAGCGGAGATCAGAAACAGGGTCGACCAGCTGTCTCTTCCACAATGTTTCTCTAGGAAATTGTTTATTTCATTCATGTCTTACAGTCATGGCATAAAGATGTTTGAAGTAGCCTTTATGATTTTAAAATATCTTATCTATACTTAGTTTTTCTTTTCTTCCCAAAATTTTGTGTCTTTTTATTTCTTGGTGAGACTTTGAAAAAACTATTAAAATAAACACTCTCTAGCAAAGAATCAACTTTCAGTTTTATAGATACTCACTTTTGTTTTATTTGATTAATTTCTACTCTGTTATTCCTTTTAATTTCTTTGGGCATTGACTTTTCCTAGTCTCTTGAATAAAGCACACAGCTCCTTTATTTTGAGTCGTTGTCGTTTTAAACCTACATATATTTCCGATTGCACAGCTCCTTTTAAGCATGGTTTATCCTTGACTTCTAAATTCCTTGAATATTGAAAATTGATATTGAATATTAAAAATTCCTTGAATTTTAATATGAAGTACTTTGTTACAATTTTAACATATGGGCAGTTGGGATTCTTTTTTTAGTTTTTTACACATAAAGATTTTTAAAAGTCTTTTTAATGATAATATCTAATGTAATGAAATTGATTATTTGGAATTGATGAGACTTTTAATGTGGCCTATTTGGTGGTCAGTTTTGTGTTTCAAAGTACTTGCAAAGCTGCTTACTTCTAGACATACTTCAGGTCCAGGCTTCCACATACCGTTGTTGATTTCACAGAGAGGCAAATGTAAGACTATATCCTCAGGCCAGGTGCGGTGGCTCACACCTGTAATCCCAGCACTTTGGGAGGCCAAGGTGGGCGGATCACGAGGTCAGGAGTTCAAGACTAGCCTGGCCAACACAGTAAAACCCCGTCTCTACTAAAAATACAGAAATTAGCCGGACATGGTGGTGTGTGCCTGTAGTTTCAGCTACTCAGGAGGCTGAGGCAAGATAATTGCTTGAACCCAGGAGGTGGAAGTTGCAGCGAGCCGAGACTGCACCACTGCATTCCAGCCTGGGCAACAGAGCGAGACTCTGTCTCAAAAAAAATATATAAATAAAAATAAAAATGTATCCTCAAAGCATGTATGCTGAATCTATCACCATTATCGATTTATACATGTTATCATAATAATTGCTTATTTTCTCTCTGTCTCATTAAAAAATACAAAACAGGTGTTTTCTGTGCTTTTCACATAAATTGTGGTGTGCCCTTCCTTAGTCTTGATACTTTTTATTTTTTTGGAGGATTTTTTCAATGCTAAAGAAATGCATATTTGTAATTTGGGCCTCTCTCCAGCCTGTCTTTGAAGTTGCATTGGAAGTAAAGCCATTTCTTATTGTACTAATGGACTTGAATAATACATTATAGAATAAATATGTGAATCAGATTGCTTTAAGCGTTTTCTTCATTATCCTGACTTTTTTGCTCTCTTTTCAAGAGGAAATATAAACTTTGTTAATAGTAAGATATTAGCTCCTGCCAGCGTTTTTTTTTCTTTCTTCAGGTTTATGAAGAAGTTTTTGAAAAACCATCAAAAGAACCATTTTATTACAGTGTTTCTTAGGCTTTCTAAAGGTTTATATATGAGGATGCTTTAGGCTAATGGCCAACAGTTTTGAAGACTGTTCACTCACTTTAAAGTATTTAAATATTTCTCACTCCTAATTTTTCAGTCTCCTTTTACATGATCTTCCCTTTGTTTCTCTTTTTCATTTTATATCTAATTATTAATAAATATGATTTTTAGATGCTTTTTCTTTTCATTTAAATTTTTTATTTTGAAATAGCTATTGGAGTACTTCTTTTTGTAGATTTCCTTCTTTCTTCATTTTAAGGTTTTGTGACTGCTCTCTTCTCTACTTTCTTGATCTTATAAACCGTGCCTTGTTCTGGGACTGCTAGACGTCACGCCCATATCTTGTCCTGGTGAGAACAGGTGGGCATGTATTGAATTTGACCTGCATATATGTTTTTTGTTGCCATTCTGAAAGAAAGTTGTAATAAGCAAGCAAATATTGCTAGAATGACTAGCATGGATGACTGTCTTAAAGAGGCATTTATTTGGGAATGTAAGAACTTCTTGTATCTTGAAATGCCTCTTGATGGATACAATGACCTTATCGTGAACAAGTTATGTTTTAATTAAAGTCAGTGGCATATAACAAATAGTATTTAGCTAAATTGTTGATGAAAGTCAGGGATTTGAGTCTTAAATTATTTCACTTTGGTGATAGGAATAGATCCTCAAATTTCTTTTTTTGGTAGGTAGATGGTGCAGTTTCATCACAAATACTATAACTCTTTCAGAAAAATGCTATTCAGAATCTCTCCTTACCTGAAAATTCTACACCTGACAACAGTATTTTTAGTTTGGGTATTTTTGGTCCTAGTATTATTGGATTTTTCCTTTGCTAGGAATATTGTTTCCATTGAAATTGTTGTTAAAGAAATAAAAATGGGCCAGGCGCGGTGGCCAACGTTTGTAATCCTAGCACTTGGGAGGCCAAGTCAAGCAGATCACTTGAGCTTAGGAGTTAGATACCAGCCTGGGCAACATAGCGAGACACCATCTCTACAAAAATTAAAAACAATCAGACATGGTGGTGCATACCTGTGTTTCCAGCCACTCGGGAGGCTGAGGCAGAAGGATGGCTTGAGCCCACAAGTTTGAGGCCGCAGTGAGCCAAGCTCGCGCCACTGCACTCCAGACTGGGTGATAGTGTGAGACCTGTCTCAAAAAAATAAAATAAAAATAAAAATAAATAAATAAATAAAAATAAAAAGAGACATACTCTGTTGGTAAGACTTTAATAGTTAAATTGGGAACTACTGAAATTGATTCTAATCATGAAGGGTTATATGGTGGGGTTTTTTGTTTGTTTCTTAGAGGTTTTGTTTTTGTTTTTAAAGAAATAAGGTGATAGTTTTATGTTCCCAAGTAAAATCTCTGAATGCAGTATCTTACAATATGCAGGCTGGAGATTTTAAGTTTTGGATATAAAATTTGTTACCACCCCATTATCTTATAAAAAATCAGACACCGGCTGGGCGCAGTGGCTCACGCCTGTAATCCTAGCACTTTGGGAGGCCGAGGCGGGCAGATCACAAGGTCAGGAGATCGAGACCATCCTGGCTAATATGGTGAAATCCCATCTCTACCAGAAATACAAAGGGGTGGCAGGCGCCTGTAGTCCCAGCTACTCGGGAGGCTGAGGCAGGAGAATGGCGTGAACCTGGGAGGCGGAGCTTGCAGTGAGCAGAGATCGCGCGCGCCACTGCACTCCAGCCTGGGCGACAAAGCAAGACTCCATCTCAAAAAAAGAAAAATCAGGCACCAGCTATATCATTTAAAATATTTATAAACATATGCCATGGGTGTATTATAGACCACAAAAATGATTTGGAAGCCATTAAAATATTACATGTATATGAACTTTATAAAGATAATTAGGAGGAGATAGGCCTTTTCTCTATAGACAAATAAAGTTCATGATAAGGATAAAATATGAGTTCTTTACCTGAAAAAAAAATAGATACACATATAAATGACTTAAGAAAACTGTATTATAAAAATGTGTTTAGCTGTATTGTCACAAACATTTCCAAATTGATATGCCCATTATCTTCTGGTTCATGATTACTCAGTGAATGATAATATAATCAATAAAGATTTTATTTTTACTGAAAATGTCACTGAAATTCATATTATGTCCTCGGTTTTTTAGATTTTAGTCAGTTGTGGCCTGATAGGTTATTTCTGGTCTTAATTTCACCAGTACCCTTTTCTGTGCTTTGCATAAAAAAAAATCTTTATTTTTGATTGGTTTTGACAGCCTGCCTTGGATGTCAATTCAGTTTCTAAGTAGTGTAGACCCTGGTGTTTAAATATACTCACTGTGACACATTAATGGATATATGAGGGAATGATGTTGTGTTAGCCCCAGGATGAAAATTAGTGGAGGCTGGGTGTGGTGGCTCACACCTGTAATCCCAGCCCTTTGGGAGGCCGAGGCGGGCAGATCACGAAGTCGGGAGATTGAGACCATCCTGGCTAACAAGGTGAAACCCCATCTCTACTAAATATACACAAAAATTAGCCGGGCGTGGTGGCACGTGCCTGTAATCCCAGCTACTCAGGAGGCTGAGGCAGGAGAATCGCTTGAACCTGGGAGGCAGAAGTTGCAGTGAGCCGAGATCGCACCACTGCACTCCAGCCTGGGTGACAAAGCAAGACTCTGTCTCAAAAAAAAAAAAAAAAAAAAAAAAAAGAAAATTAGTGGATAAGGATTAGAATTAAATAGAATTTAGTCACATTGACTACTAAACAATGCCCCAGCTCAGTGGAGAGAAGTGTAGGAGGTATCTGGAGAGCAGTAAGTAGAGAAATCAAAGGGGATGTGGCACAAGTTTCAGAAGCCTCAGCGCCCTGCAACAGAAGACTGAAGATGTGGATCTCACTAGTTTGAAGAGGTGTGAAGACTTCAGAAGCTACCCAGTGAGACATCATGAAATTGTTAAAATCTGTTAGTCATTAGGCCTTGAAAGGAATGGTTTAGAAACGACCTAGCTGAGCGAGTGGGCTTGGGCCTTTGGTGCACGCTCAGCATGGGCTGGGGTCCCCTTAGCATGTGGTGGTGGCTGTGACAGCTCTTGCTCCTCGTGGGACTGAGCTTTCTCAGAGAGACTGTGGGACACGGGAGAGACCGCGGTGGGACCGAGAGCCTGCGCCACCGAGCCCTCTCTGTGCAGGGCTTCCCACGCATGGCCTCCTGCACCTGCACCACAACTCACTGCTGAGGAAATTGAGGCTTAGGAGAGTCTCAGTCCCTTGCCCAAGGCCTTGCACTCCAGAGCCTGGATCCAAACTCTTATCTAGCCCCAAAGTACAGGTTCTGACCACAGGAGGGAGCAGCACCGCGGCTCCAGCATGCCCCAGGCCCGGAGCCTGTGCCTCCCTGTCTCAGTGCGGGGTGGGCGCGTTGAGCTGCTTTTTTTGGAGCAACTTATTTCGAGAATTATTTTAATCCTTAAATTCCATATTTCTTCAGCTTCCCTTTGAAAAAAAAAAGGGAAATTTGTGTTTTTAAAAAGTGTTAGTTAGTATTTTTGTCCTTTCCAAAACATATTCACTTGTGCTTACTGTTGTGAGACACACATGTATTTTTCTAGTTCCCATCTATTATTCCTTGCTGTCTGTTTCTGACCTGAAAAGCAGCTTCCAGTGAAGAGCTATCACTAGAGGAACAGGACTTGGCTGAATGAATTAGGTTTTATTGAGTTTTTAATTTAATGTGGGTAAAGCAGGCTCAGGAGGGCTGAAATGGACGAAACAATGGCACAACTTTATTACTTTTCTCCAGGGTATGGATTATAGGGGATATTTTAGAGTAAAGAAACACTAAGATTCTTGGCATTAAAATGCTTCGATTTCCTATTTATAGCAGTGATGCATATATAATTTTTCATATTGGACTGTTATTAAGGTTTTTCTGATTGAAATCTCCGTACGGTTTCTTCTGGCCAGTAGACTTCCTCCATCCCCAGATGTGACCCCTTTTAAACTAATAAAGCCTCTTGATAATACTTACAATACTTGTCACAGAGGGCAGGACTGACATTCACTTAGTGAAGGGCTTGTATTATACCAGGCTTTGCTCTATGTAAGTTTTATATTTTCAGGAATATTCTTAAATCCCTTAAAGAAAAAAAATGAAAATAAAGTAGAAATACATTTATTTTAGATATTGTTATTAATAATTTTTTTTTGAGACGGAGTTTCACTCTTGTTGCCCAGGCTGGAGTGCAATGGCGTGATCTCGGCTCACTGCACCCTCTGCCTCCCAGGTTCAAGTGATTTTCCTGCCTCAGCCTTCCTAGTAGCTGAGATTACAGGCGCCTGCCACCATGTCCAGCTAATTTTTTTTTATTTTTAGTAGAGACAGAGTTTCACCATGTTGGCCAGGTTGGTCTTGAACTCCTGACCTCAGGCGATCCACCCGCCTCGGCCTCCCAAAGTGCTGGGATTACAAGCGTGAGCCACTGCGCCTGGCCATTGATAAATACTTTGTAAATAAAATACACTGTGTCTATACTCTTACATGATGCACCATGTTAGTTTTTAAAACTTGGGAGTAATTTCTGTATATTAGTATTTTGGGTTCTGACTGGGTTTCTAGGTAGCTTAACAAAGCTTTTATTGTACTACAATAAAAGTACTTTGTACAAGTAGAGTTCATTTACAGTAAAAAATGATAGAAAATAATGCTGTTATTTTAATAGTAATAACCAAGCAATTAAAGTAAATATATATTTTTAACAATTTTGAAATTAGCTTTCTAAGAAAAGCGGGTTTAGAAGCAGGCAAAGCATTCACTTGTGAAAGACACTTTTGGGAACTTCAGAGCCTTCAGAGATTAATGGTAGTGATATTAAAAGTGGAGCGCGTTCCACTGTCTTCCATGCGGGAGCTTTCTGGCTCTGCTGCTTTTTGTTGCAGAAGCATCCAGTCCAGAATGAGTTAGGTGTTTTGTAAGTTTCTTTCAGTCTCAAACAGTCTGTGCTCTTCCCTTGATTTGGCCTTGACAGTTTTGAACAGTACAGCTATTTTCCTGACTGGCCCCCGGTTTGGGTTTGTGTGGTGTTTCCTTGTGATTAGAGTCAGACTTTGCATCCTGGGCCGAAACCTTCCAGAAACGAGGCTGTGCTGCCTTTGCTGCGTCTTGCTGAGTGGTTCAAGGTTTCAGATTGTTCCTGACTGCAGACGCTCTCCGTGGCCTCTCGATGTGGATGCTGTCTGCCAGCTTCTCTGCAGTCAAGCCGCTCCTTTTCTCTTTGTAATTACTAGCATTTTGGAGGAAGTACTTTGTACAATCGAAGTACCCTGTGCTTCACTAAGTTTAATCATTTGTTTGTATCATTATGGGCTTGTGCCTTCCACTTGGACTCTGTGGGCTGTAATCTCTTACTGCCATGATTTTCATGCGCAGATGGCCTCAGATTTGGCTCTGGAGAGCTCCTTCAAGCTGGCTTTGTGTCCTTTCAGCCTGCGCCCAGCATTCTTTGAGCTGTTCCTTGCTTTCTGGCTCATCCTGTTCTTTCCCTGCTCCAGCCCCAGAATCAGCCATTTCCCCAGGAGACCTGGGTCCTTTGATTGGAGAATGGAGTGTTTGCCACTTTTGGAGGTTCAGCTCTCAGGTCATCTCAGTGAACAGAGCTAGAGGGGGAAAATGTATGTGTCTGTGTTTGTTATATATGCGTGTGTGCATGTCTGTATGTATGTGTGTATATATGTGAACGTGTATGTGTGTCTGTAAGTGTGCATGTGTATATATGTGTGTGCATGTCTATGTGAATGTCTGTGTCTGTGTGTGCATGTGTGTATGTTTATGTCTGTATTGTGCATGTCTGTGTATGCGTATGTGTGCGTGTCTGAGTGTATACATGTATACGTGTGCATGTCTGCATGCATGTGTACATGTGTATATATGCATGGCTATGTCTGTGATATATGTGTATGTGCATGTCTGTGTATGTGTGTGTACATGTGTGTGTGCAAATGTCTGTGCCCTCCCTACCTGGTCTCCCTGGCCGTGTGGGTGCCCTCTCCCTCCTGTGCTGGGCTCCTGCCTCCATTCTCCCTACCCCGGGCTCTCCCACCCCCAGCCTAGTGTACATGCTTCCCTGGCATTGCCCACTTCATGGCTTCAGGACCAAATGGCTCAGGAGGGAAGATCAGTTACTGACTTTCCCCTGGAATGGGCATCTCATAAGGTGAAGACCAGTGCCTCTCATCTCCCTCTCGTGGCTAGCATAGCAGTGGACGTTAAGTGCATGTCATCAACTGTTGAAGAGATGAATTTCATCGCCAGTTGAACAGAAGTTAGAAGAGAAAGGGGGAAGTGGAAGGGAATGAATGATAAAATGTGGGGAAGCACTTGCCAGAGGTGAAAAACGAAGCTATGTGCATTTAGGGGAATTACGGACATTTTTCATGCTGTAGCCTCTGGTGAGCCCCATGCTAACACCAGGGGGTGCTTTAAGCCCATCACGAGGCCTCTGAGTGCTAGGGAGCGGGCATAGTTCTCTTGTAATGTGGTTTTCTGCCACAATTTGGACATTTGTCGTTTGGACAGTAATATAGATTTCTGAGTAAAATGTGATAAGAACGAAGTTTACTAGCTTTCTGATCTCAGTTAATGCGACATTGAAAGTCTGTTTTTTAGAGGTGCTTTGTACTTTTCGTAAAGAGCGTGAAGCTTGACCTTCTATGAGTCTGCACTTGAAAAGGGCTTTCATGTGCCAGGTAAAAAGGAAACTCACAATATTGGCAGTATTGTTGAGATCAGGTGTTTTTTTCGGTTTGTTTTTGTTTTTTTTGGTGGGGGGAACAACCAAAAACAATCCTACAAGTATATTGTACATCAAGAAAAAATAGGTTCTTTTGAAAAGAACCAAAGTCAGATTTGCTGTAGACTTCTCTGTGGCCCTAAATGCCAGAAGAAAAAGGAACAGTTGCTTCAACATTTGGAGAGAAAGAAACTGACCCAAGATTCTTACTATTTAGCTAGATTGTCATTTCATACATAAAAACAGTGGAAGACACATCCAGATAATGCAAGAGCTCAAAAAAAGATTGTTCTTATATTCTTCCAAACCTAAGCCTAAGGAAAGCCTGAGTGTGGGCCTGGGATGACCAGCGCAGTGGCCACTCGCCCATGTGGTGGGGGTATTAGAAAACTGACGAATCCCAACTGAAATATATCCTAAGTATAAAACACACACCAGATTTCAAATATGGTGTTGGAAAAGAAGAATATAAACTATCTCATTAGAAATTATTATATTGATTACATGTTGAAATGATTTTGTATATATCACATTAAATAAAATTTATTGAAACTAATTTCATCTGTTTCTTTTTACTTTTAAAGTGAAACTAGTAGAAAATATTAAATTACGTATATGGCTTGCATATTTCTATTGGGCAGCATTGGTATAGGTGAAATGAATTAAAATTGATTATTGAAACTGATTAAGCATATAGAATTGAGTATAACTACAGAATTGAATGCAAAATCCCTAAACTAGTTCTTGAAAAAATAGTTTTGTGGAAGAATAACATAATAATAATAGATGGTAGGGTTGAGGGAGTCAAGGGAAGTAAAATCACATTAAAGTAACATTCATTTAAAAGTTTTTTTCTCCACTTTCTTTTTCATTTTTATTATACTTTAAGTTCTAGGGTACATGTGCACAATGTGCAGGTTTGTTACATAGGTATACATGTGCCATGTTGGTTTGCTGCACCCATCAACTCGTCATTTACATTAGGTGTTTCTCCTAATGCTATCCCTCCCCCAGCCCTCTGCCCCCCGACAGGCCCCGGTGTGTGATGTTCCCTGCCCTGTGTCCATGTGTTCTCATTGTTCAACTCCCACTTATGAGTGAGAACATGTGGTGTTTGGTTTTCTGTCCTTGTGATAGTTTGCTTAGAATGATGGTTTCCAGCTTCATCCATGTCCCTGCAAAGGACATGAACTCATCCCTTTTTTATAGCTGCATAGTATTCCATGGTGTATATGTGCCACATTTTCTTTACCCAGTCTATCATTGATGGACATTTGGGTTGGTTCCAAGTCTTTGCTATTGTGAGTAGTGCCATAATAAACGTACATGTCCATGTGTCTTTATAGCAGAATGATTTATAATCCTTTGGGTATATACCCAGTAATGGGATTGCTGGGTCAAATGGTAATTCTAGTTCTACATCCTTGAGGAATAACCACACTGTCTTCCACAACGGCTGAACTAATTTACATTGTCACCAACAGTGTAAAAGCATTCCTATTTCTCCACATCCTCTCCAGCATCTGTTGTTTCCTGACTTTTTAATGACTGCCATTCTAACTGGCGTGAGATGGTATCTCATGGTGGTTTTGATTTGCATTTTTCTGATGACCAGTGATGATGAGCATTTTTTCACGTGTCTGTTGGCTGCATAGATGTCTTCTTTTGAGAAGTGTCTGTTCATATCCTTTGCCCACTTTTTGATGGGGTTGTTTGTTTTTTTCTTGTAAATTTGTTTAAGTTCTTTGTAGATTCTGGATATTAGCCCTTTGTCAGATGGGTACATTGTAAAAATTTTCTCCCATTCTGTAGGTTGCCTGTTCACTCTGATGGTAGTTTCTTTTGCCATGCAGAAACTCTTTAGTTTAATTAGATCCCGTTTGTGTATTTTGGCTTTTGTTGCCATTGCTTTTGGTGTTTTAGTCATGAAGTCCTTGCCCATGCCTATGTCCTGAATGGTATTGCCTAGGTTTTCTTCTAGGGTTTTTATGGTGTTAGGTCTAACATTTAAGTCTTTAATCCATCTTGAATTAATTTTTGTATATGGTATAAGGAAGGGATCCAGTTTCAGCTTTCTACATATGGCTAGCCAGTTTTCCCAGCACCATTTATTAAATAGGGAATCCTTTCCCCATTTCTTGTTTTTGTCAGGTTTGTCAAAGATCAGATGGTTGTAGATGTGTGGTGTTATTTCTGAGGCCTCTGTTCTGTTCCATTGGTCTACATCTCTGTTGTGGTACCAGTACCATGCTGTTTTGGTTACTGTAGCCTTGTAGTATAGTTTGAAGTCAGGTAGCGTGATGCCTCCAGCTTTGTTCTTTTTGCTTAGGATCGTCTTGGCAATGCGGGCTCTTTTTTGGTTCCATATGAACTTTAGAGTAGTTTTTTCCAATTCTGTGAAGAAAGTCTTTGGTAGCTTGATGGGGATGGCATTGAATCTATAAATTACTTTGGGCAGTATGGCCATTTTCACGATATTGATTCTTCCTATCCATGAGCATGGAATATTCTTCCATTTGTTTGTGTCTTCTTTTATTTAGTTGAGCAGTGGTTTGTAGTTCTCCTTGAAGAGGTCCTTCGCATCCTTTGTAAGTTGGATTCCTAGGTATTTTATTCTCTTTGTAGCAATTGTGAATGGGAGTTCACTCATGATTTGGCTCTCTGTCTGTTAATGGTGTATAGGAATTCTTCTGATTTTTGCACATTGATTTTGTATCCTGAGACTTTGCTGAAATTGCTTAATCAGCTTAAGGATATTTTGGGCTGAGACAATGGGGTTTTCTAAATATACCATCATGTCATCTGCAAACAGGGACAATTTGACTTCCTCATTTCCTAATTGAATACCCTTTATTTCTTTCTCTTGCCTGATTGCCCTGGCCGGAACTTCCAACACTGTGTTGAATAGGAGTGGTGAGAGAGGGCATCCTTGTCTTGTGCTGGTTTTCAAAGGGAATGCTTCCAGTTTTTGCCCATTCAGTATGATATTGGCTGTGGGTTTGTCATAAATAGCTCTAATTATTTTGAGATACGTTCCATCAATACCTAGTTTATTGAGAGTTTTTAGCATGAAGGGCTGTCGAGTTTGGTCGAAGGCCTTTTCTGCATTTATTGAGATAATCGTGGTTTTTGTCGGTTCTGTTTATGTGATGGATTACGTTTATTGATTTGTGTGTGTTGAACCAGCCTTGCATCCCAGGGATGAAGCCAACTTGACCATGGTGGATAAGCTTTTTTTTGATGTGCTGCTGGATTTGGTTTGCCAGTATTTTATTGAGGATTTTCACATCAATGTTCATCACGGATATTGGTCTAAAACTCTCTTTTTTTGTTGTGTCTCTACCAGACTTTGGTATCAGGATGATGTTGGCCTCATAAAATGAGTTAGGGAGGATTCCCTCTTTTTCTGTTGATTGGAATAGTTTCAGAAGGAACGGTACCAGCTCCTCTTTGTACCTCTGGTAGAATTTGGCTCTGAATCCGTCTGGTCCTGGACTGTTTTTGGTTGGTAGGCTATTAATTATTGCCTTAATTTCAGAGCCTGTTATTGGTCTATTCATATATTCAGCTTCTTTCTGGTTTAGTCTTGGGAGGGTGTATGTGTCCAGGAATTTATCTATTTTTTCTAGATTTTCTAGTTTATTTGTGTAGAGGTGTTTATAGTATTCTCTGATGGTAGTTTGTATTTCTGTGGGATTGCTGGTGATATCTCCTTTATCATTTTTTATTGCATCTATTTGATTCTTCTCTCTTTTCTTCTTTA
Source organism: Homo sapiens (assembly GCF_000001405.40). NCBI lineage: Eukaryota > Metazoa > Chordata > Mammalia > Primates > Hominidae > Homo > Homo sapiens. Next base: position 238,375,031 of record NC_000002.12, read on the forward strand.
TTAGTCTTGCTAGCGGTCTATCAGTTTTGTTGATCTTTTCAAAAAACCAGCTCCTGGATTCATTGATTTTCTGAAGGTCTTTTTGTGTCTCTATCTCCTTCAGTTCTGCCCTGGTCTTAGTTATTTCTTGCCTCCTTCTAGCTTTTGAATTTGTTTGCTCTTGCTTCTCTCATTCTTTTAATTGTGATGTTAGGGTGTTGATTTTAAATCTTTCCTGCTTTTTCTTGTGGGCATTTAGTGCTATAAATTTCCCTCTACACACTGCTTTAAATGTGTCCCAGAGATTCCGGTATGTTGTGTCTTTGTTCTCATTGGTTTCAAAGAACATCTTTATTTCTGCCTTCATTTTGTTATGTACCCAGTAGTCATTCAGGAGCAGGTTGTTCAGTTTCCATGTAGTTGTTCGGTTTTGAGTGAGTTTCTTAATCCTGAGTTCTAATTTGATTGCACTATGGTCTGAGAGACAGCTTGTCGTGATTTCTGTTCTTTTACATTTGCTGAGGAGTGTTTTACTACCAATTATGTGGTCAATTTTGGAATAAGTGCGATGTGGTGCTGAGAAGAATGTATATCTGTTGATTTGTGGTATAGAATTCTGTAGATGTCTATTAGTTCTGCTTGGTCCAGAGCTGAGTTCATCTTCACTTTCTTTATGGTGTCTTTCAATGACATTTTAAAGACATTTTTAATTTTAATCAAACTTTTCAATCTTTTCTCTTATGGTTAATGCTTTTGGCGAGTCGGTTAAGAAATCCTTCTGTATTCCAAGGTCAGAAAGATATTTACTCTTTTTAAAAAAGTAAAGCTTTGTTTTGACATGTACATGCTTAATCCACCTGGAGTTGATTTTCCTGTATTCTGTGGGACAGAAGTGTAGTTTTTTTCTCTCCTCATATGGATAACCAAGTTTTCCTCCTTTCCCCATTGATCTGCAATGCTGTCTCTGCTGAATATGAAAGTTCCATATGCGTGGAACTCTTTCTGTGTTCTCTGCCCCAGAGGTTAGCAAACTTTTTCCGTAAAAGGTCAGGTAGTAAATATTTTCAGCCATGAGAACCATGTAATCTCTGTTGCCACTACTCAACTTTGTTATTGTAGTGTAAAAGCAACCACAGGCAATATATAAATGCATGAGCGTGGCTGGTTTCCAATAGGGCTTTATTTATTTATGGACACTGAAACGTGAATTTTGTATAACTTTCATGTGCTGCAAAATATTATCCTTTAACTGGGTTTTTCAACTATTTATAAATAAAAAATCATTCTTAGCTCATGGGCTATAGAGAAATCCAGGTGGTGGGCCGGTCCACAGGCTGTAGTTTATACTGCTCCACTGGCCCGCACTGATACCACCCTGCTGTAATGACTGTAGCTTCAGAACAAGGCCTTGTGTCTGGTAGCAAAGCCCCTGCCGCCTTATGCCTCTTCTTCAGCTATGTTTTGGCAATTATTGGTCTTGTCCACTTCCATCTACATATTATAACCTGCTTATTGAGTGCCGTGAAAAACCCTCTTGGGATTTCAGTTGGAGTATTTATGAACAAAACTATCTCTCCATTTATTTAGACTTGCTTTAAAGTCTTTTAGTGAATGTTTATAATTTGATTTGTTAAGGTTGTTCGTATCTTTTGTTAGATTTATATGTGGGTATTTATAGTTTATCTGCTATTATAAATACTGTATATTTATTTAAAATTGTTTTCTAGTTGTTGATTGCTGGTAGATAGTAATGCTGTTGACTTATAACCAGCTTCATTTAAAACTGTTTGCTTTAAACGTGTCTGTTGAGTCTTTTCTGTTTTCTTCGCTGTAATAGCAGCAAACACCTAATAGGGCACGGTGTGCAGGCTCTGTTCTAAGACAGCTAATAACATAGGTCATAGTGAGACTCGGGCACTGTTGTTACCCATTTTGAAACTGGGGCATTTGGAGGTTAAGGAACGTGTCCGGGGCCGTATGAGTGGTGAGTGGCAGAGGAGTGATTCAAGCCCAGGCAATCGCACCCAGAGTCCATGCCTTTAGCCCAAGCTCCGCACCATTGTCTGTGTCATCTGAAAGTCCTGATGGCTTCATTTCCTTCTTTCCAGTCTTAGGCATTTAATTCCCTCTTACTGTTGCATTTCTGTGGCTAGGCCCTCTGCTAGAGTAGGAATAGTAATGGTGATTGTGGGTAACCTCGTTTCCTTCCTTCCTGATTTTCTTTTTTTTTTTTTTTTTTTTTTTGAGACAGGGCCTCCCTGTCACCCAGGCTGGAGTGCAGTGGTGCAATCATGGCTCACTGCAGCCTTGCTTTCCTAGGCTCAGGTGATCCTTCCTCCTCCCAAGTAGCTGGGACTGCAGGCGAGTGCCACTCTGCCTGGCTAAGTTTTTGTAGGTTCCCCCCCCACTGTGGGGCTTGGTTATTAATGCGTGTTAAATTTTACTAAATGCTTTTTCTGGGTCGATTGAGATGATTCTATTATATTCCTTAATTCACTATATGATTGTAGCTTTTCTAATATGAAACAGTCTTTACATTCCTTGGATCAAATCAATTATGGTATATTATTATTATTTTTAATCCACTGTTAAGAGTCTAGTTGCTAATTAGTATTTTTCCATTTATATTCATGAATGAAATGGACCCATAATTTTGTTTTTCTTGTATGATCCTTATTTTTTTTAGTACCAAGGTCAAGAATGAATTGAGGATATTCTTTGTTTTTATCTGTTCTGGAAGAGATTGTATATGATTGGAATGTATTTCTTGACAATTTGACAGCTTCACATGTAAAACCACCTGAGCTTGGTGTTTCTTTGTGGGAAATACTTAAACCATTGTTTTCATTTTTGTATTAATTATGAGAGTATTCAGGCTTTTTAAAATGTGTTTTCGAGTCCATTTTGACTGTCAGTTTTTTGAAAATTTTCAAGCTTATTGGAAAAAAGCTCTTGCTAGAACTCTTTAATATTTGCTCTGGATGTAGTTTAGTTTAGTTTAGTTTTTGTTTGTTTGTTTGTTTTTTGTTTGTTTGTTTTAACCAATATTACTTACTTAGGCATTTTTCTTTTTTTAAATATATTTTTCCAGAAATTTGTCTGTCTGTCTAAACCACTGGCTTTTGGCTTTGTTGTTCTCTTTTTAATCTTTGTTTTTCTTTTCATTGATATCTCCAGTTTTATTTAAATTTTCTTCCTTCTCTACTATTTTTCTTTTTAAATTTATTAAGTTGGACACCTAAGTTACTAGTTTTTATTTAGCCTTTTAAGAATCTAATGGAAACTTGTTTTATGACTATAAATTATCATGTTTTAAAAGTTAGCATTCATTCATTCACCAGCCATCTGGCACCTGCCATGTGCTAGGCACTGTTCTCGGCATTCAGTCAGAAACGAATGACAAGGTTAACAACTGTCTTTTTGGCAGCTGTTGAGATGTTCCTATATTAATAGACTTCCTAATGTTGAACAGTTCTTACACACCTCAAATAACCTTTGCCTGGCCATCATCTATTATTTACCCAATATAAAACTATATTTAATTTGCTGACATTTAAAAATAGAACTTCATCTCTATATTAAAGTGGAATTGGCCTGGAGTTTGAGAGAGAGAGAGAGAGAGTTTGTGTTTAGGTTTTAGAATCAAGGTTATGTCCATTTTATAAAATTAATTTGGGACCCTGCGTTTTTTCCTGGGCCCTAGAACAGTTTAAGTCTGATGGGTGATCTGGGTTAAGGGAACTTTGAGGCTGGGCACTTTCTTCGCAGTTTGATCTGAAGCCGGGACCCCCCCCCAGGCCCCAGGCTGCTGGGTCAGAAGCCTCTTACCATCACTTGCAAACCCAATACCATGAGGCACTCAAGTGGTTTTGCGGTCAGTCTTTGCTGACCAGTACCAGGTTGCTTCTGCTCTTGCCTTCAGGGGAGGTGGGTCAGGAGTAGAAAGGCCCCAGAGGGAGGGTCCAGTCCTTCTTTGGTGCCCTCTGTGGGACTCAGCGTTCGGTCCCCACCTCAGGCAGCCTGGCGCTGATGCTGATGCAGCCGCCCTGTGTCAGGTGCTCAGCGGAACCCCAGACTTGTTCTCCTTGTTTCCTGTCGACTCACTCTTTGGTCGTCTGTGTGTCACTGGGGGCCTGTTTTCTTGCAGTCCAAGGTTACCTGGAGGCTGCTGGTCTCTCGGGCCGGACAACCCCCACCCCATTTAAGTCCCTGCCCACGAGTCTCCTCTTCAGAGAGGCCTTTCCTGTCCACCTAGCTGTGTGGGGCCTCAGCCGCACACTCACCATCTCTGACCCGGGCTCTGCTATCCTCACAGCATTGGTCACTGACTGAGACCATGCGACTGACTGAGACCATGCAGCTGGCTGTCAGGATGCTGGTGGAGGGAAGAGTGAGGAGTGCCAGCTTCAGCAGAACTCCTTATTCTGTCTGCCTTGGCAGCCACAGACACCTGCTCGTGTGAAGGCGGCAGCGTGGTGCCATCACTTGGGTATTTGGAACTTGACCATCCTGTATGTGAATTTTCCTTTGCTCATCCAGTCCTTAGACTCACTTCTTCTATTCATAATTAATTCTGTGACACGTGTTTTCTGCCGAGGACCTCTGACCTCATGGCCACTTCCTGCTGCAGGTTTAGACGGTGGTTTCCTCCCCCGCTCACATGCCAGCCATTCAGTTCAGTGGGTCTCTTGTTGCCCAGTAACTACCTTTTATAGCTGGTATTTTTGGAGTGATTAAATATGTTAAGAATTTAGAAGGCAAAATGTGTAATAATAACACTGGAGCCAGAATGATAAGGAAATACTGTAGCAATAGGCTCAATAGAAAATGATTAATATTTTAGTAAGACATTTAAAATAGCAAATCCAATTAGTTAGTACAGAGGTGGAAATAAAAAACAAAATAATTGAATAATCACCTCACTGGCCATTTCCAGCATTGATGGAGAAAGACAATTTTAAAGTCCATTTTAAAACTTAGATTCTTTTGCTGCTGCTGCCTATGAGATGGAAAGGGATTCTAAAATGTAGAGAAAGTGAACTTTACAACCTTATGTCCTTTGAAATTTGCTTAGAGGTTCATCTGCTCAGAGACGTCTACGTATTAGAACCATTCAGAGAGTGTTTCTGAAATGCTGGTGCCCAGGCCCCTCCCCTCTCAATTAGGATCAGTCTCTGGGCAGGTGCTGGCGCTGGGTGTAAAATTGCTCCCCAGGTGACTTCGTATGCAGCTGGATCCCTACGGTGCCTTCCAGCTTCTCAGAGGGCCTCTCTGAGCCCTGCAGGAGCCACGTGGAGAAGCTGCTTACCTGGGCCCTTTGGTTCCTGTGCACAACGACTGATCCTGTTAAACCCAGAAAATATGGTGTCTTCATGCCCAGGAAGGGAAGGTCCTCTCCCCCGGGTCCCTGAGTGGTGGGGGTGTCCTCTTGGATTTGGCTAATTTGAACAGGAAGCTCTGCAGTTGAGGCAGATCTTGCAGTATCCCCCTAACCGATAGGAAACATGCACTGCTGCCCGACCCAGTGGCCCAGCCCGGCCACTCACAGCATCTTCTTCTCGAGCATGTGGATGGACTTGGAGGCTTGTTTCCAGGCTGTTGTGGAAGAAGCAGATCCTGCTCTTCCTGAGCTCAGCCTCACCCTGAGCAGCCTCAGTTACCTGTGATTCACCCCCGGCCCCAAGGTGAGATGACCCCAACAATATTTTAAAGGAAATGCCTGCATCACACCTTTTTGTCTTTGAACTCCTGAAAAATCAAAATAACAGAAACACTGTTGTAAAGTGATTAGAAGAATGCAAGAAAATGAGGTAAAAGCATGTTAGCAACCTTCATTTTCATGAAGGTGTGTGAGTCAATGTTTAAATGTGAGTGCTGTAGCCATAAAACAAAGATGGAGAGCAAGGATCCTTCCTGGGAATATCTTCCATAGAGACTTAAGTTCTTTTGAGTGCTTGAAACCAGTTTTTCCAGATCTCTATTGAGTCTGACTCATTTGTTTTGGTTTCCTGAGGATACTCTCAAAAGGCTTCATCTGTCCTATTTACAGAATAGCAACTATTTTTCTTGCCACAATGACGGGATTTGGGTAGGATGCTTGGGTTTTTTTTTTTTTAATTATTTATTTATTTATTTTTTTTTTTTTCAGAATTCTGTTTCCATGGAACTCCTGGGTCAGCTAGGGTAGCTTGAACCCAAGTTTATCTTCCCCCTCTCAGAATCCCAGTGAAATGAATGGAACATAAAAATGGGGCAAAAACCAGTGAGGGTTGCACCCGCATTCCAGAAACTTTAGAAAAGTTTCTTTGGGACTTGCAGATGGGGCTGGATTCGAGGAGGGCCTGTAGGGCCCACTGAACCCCACTGACACCCTTGGAGGGGGCCATAGGCATGGGTGGCGGGTGGGGTGCTCTTTGATTCTTGTTCCCTGCTGTGGCTCAGTGGCATTTGGAAGTGGGCCCTGAGGAACTCCCAGGTTCAGGCAGGCTTGCCACCACGCTGGAGGCCGGGAAGGTGGGGGCCAGTCCTGTGCCTGCAAGCAGCACTGTGTGGAAGGATGCTGGCCAGGGGCTCCTCCAGTCACTGAAGAGAGATGGACCAAAGTTCCCTTGTAGACACCACCCTGATGGGCCACTGCCCTGCACTTGTCCCTGATGGGATCCTCGAAAATGGGTATAAACATTCATTTGCACCACTGTTACAGGTAGTGAGCAGAGAGAGGGTTCATGAAGCACCTCACGTGAGCAGAACTGACGGGGACCTTTGAGGAAAGCTCATCGTGGGCATGGGGTGGGATACTTCTGTAAATATGTTCATCATGCTCTACGAATTTAAAAAATGCCAATGATTAAGCGAAAAGCAAAAAAATGACATGAAGACAGGCTGAGAAGGAAAGGGGCTGGCGGGTAGGAAGCCACAGATGGGGAAGAGGAGCGCGCTGAGTCAAGGAGGGACTGTTACAGAAGCACACGGATGTGATCAGAGGAACAAAGTATTTACCTGAAGCCGTAAAGAAGCAGAATCGACACAACAGAATAAGCAACCAGTGATGTTTGGGGCAAACTTGAGAAGCCTTTCCAGAATATGAAGGAGGAAACACCAAAGCCATGGGGACATGTGAGAGAGGAGATGACAGAAAGGGGACAGAGAGCCCGGGTGTGATGGTTGGCATTCATAAGGAGGATACGAAAACAGGCGAAACAGATGCCACAGTGGTTCTCCTGCATGGAAGACCTGAGTATGCAGACAGGAAGGCACTCCCTGAGTGTCAGCTAAAAAGTACCAATATGATACTGAGACACATCCTGGTGGAATCGTTGACTGTCAAGGATAAGAAAAGAGCTCTGCAAAGGACCCAGCCAAAAAAGCTGATAAAAGAACAAAAATCAGATTGACCACAAACTTTTGCAACATTAAATGTTGAAAGAATCCAGAAAAATTTCACGATTGTAAAGGAAACATTGCAACAGAAGAACTTTATATAGCAGCTTAAGTTGTCATTTGCATCTGGAGGCAGTGAAATGGTGTGTTCAGATCAGCAGGTCGGGGAGGATGAGGGACATGTGGATGTCTGCCTCCAGGCAGGCCTTTTCCTGGGAGCGGCACGTCTTCCCTTGGCACCCCATAGATGTCTGAGGCTCAGCAGCTCACAGTCGAGTGTCACCAGCTTCCTCCCAGACAGACCTCCTTTGCTGGCTCAGCATAGGGCATCACTGTCCCCCAAGTTGCTCAAGAGAGTCCCACCCCTCCCTCCCTGCCCCTCCATCTCTCATAAAGCAAGAAGCCTGCATGCTTCTCTCTAGTCCTGCTGCCACCCTCTCCTGCCTTCATCAGTTCCCTGGACGGTTGGTCACAAGAGCCTCGTTGCCTCCTCTCTCTCTCCCCCAAGTTGGAAGCCACGTGTTTTTATTAAAACTTTGATCTCATTAGGTTTCTGTGCTCCTGAAATCCCTTTGTTGGCTTTTTATCGCCCATAGGATCAAGTCCGAAATCCTCACCACTCTCGGGCTCCAGCCACCTCCCTGCCTGTCTCTACACACTGTCCTCCAGCCTGCAGCCTTCCCTTGGCTTCCGGAACCTGCTGGTGGTTTTCACCTCTGAGGAAGTCTGCACCCAGCTCTCCCCTTTGTCTGGAATACTCACCCACTATAGGCCCACCTGCTGTAGGCTGCCCTCCAGGCAGTCTCCTACCACCCAGACTGTGTGGGGCTCCTCTTCCATTCCCCCATCTCCTTGGTGTCTCGGCAACTTGAATCAAACTTGCGGGTCTCTTTTCTGACTAGATTGTGAGAGTCCCAAGGGCAGTGGGCCCGGGCCCTGGCACACAGTAGGTGCTCAGTAAGTGCTGTGAGTGTGTGGCTGCACATAGTGGTGCTGTCCAGCATAGGCCTTTGGAAACTACCTATTAATGAACAATCTGCATTGAGTCTGTCAGTCATCATCCAACAGGTGAATGCTCACTGTCCCACTGCACAGATACACCGTGGCGTTTCCCTAGGCCCCTGCTGACTTTGGTGCTGGTGTGCTTACAGGCTTTTGCTATAATTAGAAATGCTGAGATGAAAAATCTTGCCCACGTATTTTTTAGCACCTCTCTAACGTTTCCTAAGGTAAATCTCAGAAGTAGAATCTTGGGTCGTCTAGATTGTCAACATCTTTCTGTCCCATACCTGAATGTGTTCATTTCCTCATTCTAGCAAACACTGGACATCTTAATTGATTTTGGATTCCTTGCTAGGAGCTAAACCCGTTTTATTACTTTTCATGTTGCAAATTGAGGTGAATAACTTTTTGTTTGTGCTAGTTGCATTTCTCTTTTTGTGAATTCCTGTTGTTATTCTTTGCATGGTGTTCTAATTTAGTCCGTTTACACTTAGTGCAGTTGTTGATATAGGGAGGCTTAAGTCTGTCATCTTGCTCCTTGTTTCACATATCTCCCCTTATGGTTTTTGTTCCTCTTTTGCTTATTTACTGCCGTCTTTGGGGTTGACTATTTGTTAGTTTTCTACTACATTTTGTCCACTGGCTTGTTCTCTGATTCAGCTGTGGTCTTGCAGGGCCCCCCCCATCTGGATGCATCCTCCTTGGCTCAGTGGCACCCTCATGCTCCTCCATGTAGACTCAGCTCTGTGCCCTGGTCAGGCTGTCATCCCCACACAAGATCTGGGGCACTCGTGGGCTGGCCTCCTGAGTGTCCCTTGTCTCGGGGCTCTCACTTGTATGCTGCCTCCGCCCACGGCTGACAACAGTTGCCTCTGATCTTTTGTTCTGTTTTACACTTGTTTGCTAGTCTGGTTTCTCCTTTTCTAATCTGTCCAGAATCAACCTGATGTATGTATGTATGTATGTATGTATGTATGTATGTATGTATGTATATATATATATATGGAGTCTTGCTCTGTTGGCCAGGCTGGGGTGCAGTGGTGTGATCTTGGCTTACTGCAACCTCTGCCTCCTGGGTTTAAGTAATTCTCCTGCCTCAGCCTCTGGAGTAGCTGGGATTACAGATGCATGCCACCCCGCCTGGCTAATTTTTTTTTTTTTTTTTTGTATTTTTTTTTTAAATACGTTTTACCATGTTGGCCAGGCTGGTCTTGAGCTCCTGACCTTGTGATCTGCCCGCCTCAGCCTCCCAAAGTGCTGGGATTACAGGCGTGAGCCACCACGCCTGGCCTGATGTCCTTTAAAAAGGATTACAGAATCCTAAAACTCTATGGCTAGAATGGAGTTTAGAGATTTCATTTCAGCAAAGATGAAGAAATTTGAACAAAAGGTTAAGAATTGCTAGTAATTTTTTCCTAAAGCATGTATTTTATTATATAATCAAAAGTGAGATAGAATATATTCTAGGATCGAAACTCTGTTTCCTAATAGATAAATGTATTTGTGACTAGTTCCCTTAGTAGTTTCTCCAGTATTTTTTCCTTCTTCATGTAGCCATGGCCAGGGAAGAGTCAGTCATTTCAGTTAAGAAATTCAAGTCAGTTGTAGCTTTTTATTTTTCTTTCTTTCTTTATTTTTTTTTGAGATGGACTCTCGCTCTGTCCCCCAGGCTGGAGTGCAATGGTGCGATCTCGGCTCACTGCAATCTCCGCCTCCCGGGTTCATGCCATTCTCCTGCCTCAGCCTCCCGAGTAGCTGGGACTACAGGTGCCTGCCACCACGCCCGGCTAATTTTTTGTATTTTTAGTAGAGACAGGGGTTTCACCGTGTTAGCCAGGATGGTCTCGATCTCCTGACCTCGTGATCCGCCCGCCTCGGCCTCCCAAAGTGCTGGGATTACAGGCGTGAACCGCTGCGCCTGGCCTGTAGCATCGTTTAAGTGTTGACTACTTACCTTACATTTAACCAAGAAATTATTCCTGAACCGGATAAAATCACTAGTCAGTGTACTTTCTCTTAAAAATAAATGACTCATGTAAAATTCAATATCCATTATACTGAAAACCTGTAATGAACTAGGAATAGAAAACTACTTCTTTTTCATGAGAGAGAGAAAACACCTGTGTCAACAGTCAACATCGTATGTAATAGTGAGTGGCTGGAGATATTTCTACTACAGTCAGGAACAAGGGTGGGTACCATGACCCTATTTAGATATTCTACAACAGTGGTCCCCAACCTTTTTGCTACCAGGGACTGGTTTCGTGAAAGCCAGTTTTTCCGTGGACTGCTAAGTCTGTTTGTACAGTATTCTTTTGGCCTCAAACCCACCTCTGGTGATGAGAATGTTTCTTTCCTTTTGGTGCAAGGAGGGCATCTCCTACATGGGAGTTTCATCACCTGCTTTTAAGAAGAAAGGGGGAAGTCAGACTGGCCTTCTTGCACCGCTGTTTTTTAAGTGCCTTTAGCTCAAAATAATGCTCCTGCCAAAGTAGCATATTTTTGGGTGGGATAGTCTGTCACCCTTCAGTGAACAGGTGATTTCAATAAATATTTCCCTTGTCGAAGTCAAATAAAATATAGAGACAAATCTTGAAATTTAAAACATTTTATTCGGGAAGAAAGAATTACAATTTGGGGTATACATGCAGACCAGATGGTCTTCGGTATGTCTGAAGAACAGAGCAGGTTGGGAGTTTTATCAGAAAGAGAAAGGTTACGTATTGTCTTGGAAGAAAACTCATTGGCACTAGAAAAGTTTTGGGGAGCTGGCAAGCTGGGATTGGTGAGTGACAGTGGTAGGTAAAGCCGGTCTTAGAGTCACAGAGGGTTGTTTCAGTGGCTTCTAGGTAAAACTGGTCTTAGAGTTACAGCAGGCTGTGTCAGCAACTGGGCTTCTGAAAAATATAACTCTTAAACATTTTTTTATTTTTATTTTTGTGACAGAGTCTCACTCTGTCTCCCAGGCTAGCGTGCAGTGGTGTGATTTTGGCTCACTGCAACCTCCGCCTCCCAGGTTCAAGCGATTCTCCTGCCTCAGCCTCCCAAGTAGCTGGGACTACAGGTGTGCGCCACCATGCCTGGCTAATTTTTGTATTTTTAGTAGAGACGGGGTTTCACCATGTTGACCAGGCTGGTCTTGAACTCCTGACCTCAGGTGATCTGCCCACCTGGGCCTCCTAAAGTGCTGGGATTACAAGCGTGAGCCACTGAGCCCGGCCAAAATTTAACTCTTGAAGCAGATGCCCTGAGTGCTTTTTCCCCTCAACCCTATCTCTGGTTTAGTTGGGTATGACAAGAATAACCCAACTCATAAAATCAATTTTCAGACCATTTTAAGGTCCATCAGAAAGGCCAGTTTGAAGATTTCTCTGTTTTGTGTTCTGATCTTTTGCCTTGACCACAGTGACCCATTGGGGCTCATGCCAAGCTCACTTACGCTGGCTTAACACATAATTCTAAGAGGGTTTCTCATTCATCTTCCAAGGCCATTCACGTTTATCTGTAAAAGTAGCTAACATTTAATGATATTTTGCTCTGTATGCATTTTTTCTCCTATAGAAATTTACCATTAATAATTATTCATTATAGACAATATAATTATTCTAACAGCTAACATTTATAGAGCACTTACCATGACTAAGGAATTGCATGTTTTATTTAATACAGTCACCTACAGATGAGACAGGCGTTACACCCATTTGCTAGGTTAGGAAAATGAGGCACAAAAGTTACCTAGTCCAAGATGATACAGACAGTAAGTCCCAAAGGTAGGAGCTACCCCAGATCTGTTGGGCCCCGGTCTGGGCAGTTAGCCCTCATCCTGTCCAGCTTCTCATACATCCATGCTAAAGGCTTACCACCCATGTGTAAGTAGATGTAAGTAATTCGTCTAATGAGCAGCGGTCTGTTATTTGGAAGGCTCCTTTTAACAGCCTATTCCTGACTTGGAGTAGCAGTTTTCTAGCTGCTGCCAGATAACAGTTCAGTAGTTATTATCTTCAGTTGTCAGATTGTAGAAATGGCATGGGAGTAGAGCTAAAGCTTCCTTTATAGCCTAGAAATAAGATAGTGATTAATGAAAAATAGTTGATGTAAATTTCTAAAACTATATGAAAACGGTTTGGCATTACATCATAAAGTTGAGAACACACACCCTTTGACCCAGTAATGCCACTTCCTGTTGCATACCCGACAGTCACGTGCTCATCTCTATTGGGACATATATAAGATTATTCAGAGTTGTATTTTTTTGTAATAGCCCTAGACAAAAAAAATAACCCAAATGTTGTCCGTCAGTGGCAGAATGGATGAATAGTGGTATTTCATTCATATAATAAAACACTATTCAGAAACGCAAATGAACAAAATACATGTAACATGGTTGATTCTTAAACATAATTTTGAGGCTGGGCATGATGGCTCATGCCTGTAATCCCAATGCTTTGAGATCTAAAGAGGAGGATCACTTGAGGCCAGGAGTTCAAGACCAGCCTGGGCAACATAGCAAGACCTTGTTTCTGCAAAAGTAAAAAATTAAAAAAATTAGCCAGGCATGGTGGTGCACACCTGTATCCCAGCTACTTGGGAGGCTGAGATGGAAGGATTATTAAGCTTAGAAGTCCAAGGCTGCAGTGAGCTGTGATTGCACCACTGCATTCCAGCCTGGGTGACAGAACAAGACTCTGTCTCAAAAAATTAGTCGGGTCCGGTGGCTTATGCCTGTTATCCCAACACTTTGTGGGGGCCAAGGTGGGTGGATCACTTGAGGTCAGGAGTTCAAGACTAGCCTGGTCAACATGGTGAAACCACGTCTCTACAAAAAATACAAAAATTAGCCTGGCGTGATGATGCGTGCCTATAATCCCAGCTACTCGGGAGGCTGAGGCAGGAGAATCACTTGAACTGGGGAGGCGGAAGTTGCAGTGAGCTGAGATCGCGCCACTGCACTCCAGCCTGAGGGACAGAGGGAGACCCTGTCTCAAAAAAAAAAAAAAAAAAGGATGTGTTTGCAGGCTGTTTTGCTTGTGTGTTCAAGGGATCCAACTTGACCTACATTCGAGATGAACATATGGTTTATGAAGAAGTTTGGTGATGGAATATTTCTGGATGAACAGGACACTTAGAATAATTATTCAGTCATTCTGTGCTTTTCTTTTGTAAATTGAATGCAGGTATTCCTCTGTTTATGAAGAACACAACTTTTTTTTTTTTTTTTTTTTTTGAGACAGAGTCCTGCTCTGTTGCCCAGGCTGGAGTGCAATGGCGTGATCTCAGCTCACTACATCCTCGACCTCCTGGGCTCAAGGGCATCATCTTGGCTCACTGTAACCTCTGCATCCTGGGCTCAAGCAATCTTCCCACCTCAGCCTCCTAGGTAGCCAGGACCACAAACATGCACCACTATGCCTGGATAATTTTTTATAGAGATGGAGTTTCACCACGTTGTCCAGGCTGGTTTCAAACTCCTGGGCTCAAGCCATCTGCCCGCCTTGGCCTTCCAAAGTGCTGGCATTACAGCGTGAGCCACTGCGCCCAGCCTAGAAAACAAACTTTTGACAGGTTGCATATAAATCAATTCCTGAGGTCATGAGAGAGTATGTTATTTGAAGCAAATACATACTCTTTTGATTTATTGCCCACCTCCCCACCCTACAATTAATCAGGCTTTTGTTTATTGGGTTTGCTTAATGTCGGGTAGAGCTCTGCTCAGGAGTGTGGCTGAGCAGTCACATCCAGCAGCGGGGCAGGGCAGCGGTCAGAGGCCTCCATTCCCATGTGCCCTGGATCCTGCTTCCGAGAGGGACTTCTGGCAGCATTAAAGACCAGACTTCTGAGACATTTTTTTTTACATTTTATTTTGTTTTAGATTTGGGGGTACATGGGCATGCTTGTTAATGGGTAGGGACTTGGCTTCTCGTGTACCCATCACCCAGTAGTGAATGTTGCACCCAGTGGGTAATTTTTCAACCCTCCCCCTCCCAACCCTCCCGCATTTTGGAGTACTCAGTGTCTATTATTTCCATCTTCATTTTTTAAATTTTATTTTAAGATATTTTAAAAATAATACTTTTGGCCGGGTGCAGTGGCTCACATCTGTAATCCCAGCACTTTGGGAGGCCAAGGTGGGTAGATCACTTGAGGTCAGGAGTTCAAGACCAGCCTGACCAACATGGTGAAACCCCATCTCTACTAAAAATACAGAAATTAGCCAGATGTGGTAGCAGGCACCTGTAATCTCAACTACTTGGGAGGCTGAGGCAGAAGAATCTCTTGAACCTGGGAGGTGGAGGTTGCAATGAGCTGAGATTGCACCACTGTACTCCAGCCTGGGTGACAGAGTGAGACTCCATCTCAAATAATAATAATAATAATAATAATAATAATAGTAATAATTCTCTTGAAGGATTGCAGTTGAAATTCAAATAAATCTCTAAGGTCAATAATGTGTATTTATATGACTTATAATCAATAACTATAAATTTAAAAATCACTAGAAGTGCAAATGCCCATGTTTCTGAGGACAAGTGTGTGTGTGGTAAAATGCAAATAAAATAGTCCCAGAAATAACTGTTCGCTTGAGAAATCTTGGAAGCATTTTCTGAAAAGTGTGTGCGCACGTGAGCACATGAAGTGGCCCAACGCTGAGCTGCCTTGCCAGAGGCCTTCCTGCCAGAAGGCAGCTGAGTAAACAGTCTTTAGCCCGCAGGAAAAGGGAGGCCAGCCAGGTAGGAGGCAGGAGGGGACAAGAGGGGTGACTTTGTGTCCCCTTGAAACACACGTGGGCTGCCACCTCTCTGTTTGCCTAACTTGGAGAAACTGCCTTTAGACACTGGATCCATGGTGAGGGTGCCACAAAAAGGTGCCGTGGGTGGTTCTGCGATGTTCACAGCAGACTTCCTCTGAGCTCAGGATCACCAACCTTTCAGCGGAGAAAAGAGCTTTGAGATGAATTTCATAGCTGTGGGTTATTTATATTCTTAAAATGGAGATGGAGAAGGAAGTGTGTCGATGAGGAAGGTAAATTACATTTTAATGAAAGAACTTGCCTGGACATGACAGCTTGTTAGGTGGTGCTGATAATATCTATAAATACTTTTTTCACTGTGCGCTAAAGTATTCCAAACATGCCTGGCTAAGAATGTTTCATAGCCAACAAGTTGACAGGAGGTAAAATAACTGTATCAGTGCACAGGAAAAAGCACCCATGCCTTGTCCTGGGGGCACTTGCAACTTGCTTCTTTCTGGGGAATAAATTTACGATAATGGTTAACATCTACTTGAGGGTTTACTATGTGTGAGGCACTGAACTGCTTACTTTATATTATCCCATTTAATGTTACCTGAAGGATAAATATTATTATTTCCATTTTCTTGTGAGGAAGCTGAGGTACAGAGAGGTCATTCCAAGGTCATAAAGTTAGGAGGTGGTGAGGCTGGGTTGTACCAGCCCCTGGAACCACAAGGCACTGACTGCGGGTCCTGCTGCCCCCGAATCCTCCTATGGTCTAGGTGGTTTTAGGTCATATTTTGTGTAATGACAGATTTCCTTTCCTTTTCTTTTCTTTTTTCTTTTTTGAGAAAAAAGGGTTTCGCTCTGTTGCCCAGGCTGGAGTACAGTGGCACAGTCTTGGCTCACTGCAACCTTCTCCTCCTGGGCTCAGGCAATCCTCCCTGCTTAGCCTCCTGAGGAGCTGGGACTACAGGTGTGCACCACCACGCCTTGGTAATTTTTGTATTTTTTTTGTAGAGGCAGGGTTTCACCATGTTGGCCAGGCTGGTCTCAAATTTCTGGCCTCAAGTGATCTGCCCACCTCAGCCTCCCAAATTGCTGGGATTACCGGCATGAGCCAACACACCCAGCCATGACAGATTTTCAATAATTAACACAGCAGGGGCAGTCATCTAATTCCTGTGTGGGGGTAATAGATCCTCAAACTACTATTGGATTAAAAGTCTTTAAAAACAAGGTTGTTTTTATCTGGAAAATTGTTGATATATCTACATGAGCAACATATAACTCGAGGTCTGTCATCAGAGAGGTGTGCTTTTTAAAGCAAATAATCACGGCTTGATGCGTTCACGCTGCCCCTGCTGTGTTAAATGAAAGCTTGAAAATTGCCAGAGTGTTGGTGTTTTGCAGCAATGTATTCCAGTGCCTTTATGCTAATAATAAAACCTGTCCTGACTATCACAATCCCAGCCCAAGTGTACTTATTTTAAAGTCTTAATCTCTTAAACATAAATTATAAGCTTTAAGATTAGTGTTCCAAATTCTGCTTGGTCCTGTGCAATAGAAATATGAGGAGTTTGGCCAGATTACCTCTTAGTGTCTTTTTCTACATTGTAACTCTCCAATTTTGTAAGATATTTGTTTATATTAGTCTCCTACCTTAAGGTCCATGCCCTAAACATTTTTATATTAGAGTTAACACGATGCCAAATGCACAGGAATTACTTGATAGTCATTATGAATGGGTTTTAATAGAAGTTTGAATTTCTTAACTAAGTCAATGAGACATTTACTAATTTGTGTATAATAAAGACAATATATTTTTCTCTTGGGAAGTAGCTTATTTTATTGAATTCATTTCAGTCATTTAGCGTCTTAATTTAAAGGCATTTTATATAGCCTTTTAGAAATTAAACGTTTGATATAACCATAGATTCATATCCAGTTATAAGAAATAATAGACGCCCAGGTGTGGTGGCACGTGCCTGTAGCCCCAGCTACTTTGGCAGGCTGAGGCAGGAGAATCGCTTGAGCCCAGGAGTTTGCGTTCAGCCTGGGCAACACAGTGAAACCCTGTAAAGAAAAAATAGTAGAAAAAGAAATAATAGAGATATACTGTATGCCTTTTGCCCACTTTCCCCCAGTGATAACATCTTACAGAACCATAGTACATTGTCAACCAGGATATTGACAATGAAACAGGATCCAGAACATTTGTATCACCTCAAAGATCCCTCTTGTTGCCTTTTTATAGCCACACCCTCTTCCCCCACCTCGAACTCTTCCTTCACCCCCAGCTACCACCATCAGTTCTCCATTTCTGTAACTTTGTCTTTCCAGAATCTTGTGTAAAAGGAATCCTACAGCATGTAACCTCTTGGGATTCACTTTTCTTATTCCTAATCCTCTGAGGGCCATCCAGTTTGTTCCATGGATTAGCAGTCTGTTCCTTTTTTTTTTTTCTTGAGACGGAGTTTTGCTCTTGTTGCCCAGGCTGGAGTGCAATGGCGTGATCTCGGCTCACTGCAACCTCGCCCCCCCACCCGGGTTCAAGGGATTCTTCTGCCTCAGCCTCCCGAGTAGCTGGGATTACAGGCATGCGCCACCGCGCCCAGCTAACTTTGTATTTTTAGTATAGATGGGGTTTTGCCATGTTGGTCAGGCTGGTCTCGAACTCCTGACCTCAGGTGATCTGCCTGCCTCAGCCTCCCAAAGTGCTGGGATTGCAGGCATGAGCCACCATGCCTGGCCAGTCTGTTCCTTTTTATTGGTAGATAGTTTTCCCTGGTGTGGATGCACCACAGTTTAGTTAACCAATTACCTATCGAAGGACACGGGGGTTGTTTCCAGTTTGTGGCTACTTTGATTAAAGCATCCGCATGCATTTGTATACAGGTTTTTCTATAAACATGAATTTTCATTTGTTTGGATAAGTGTCCAGGAGTACAACTGTTGGTTGATACTGTAGTTGCATGTTTAGTTTTATAGGAAACTGCCAAACTGTGTTCCAGAGTGGCCATATCTTTTTACATTCCTGTCAGCAATGAGTGATCCAGTTTTCCCTAACCAGCATTTGGTGTTGTCACTATTTTTTATTTTAGCCATTCTGATTGTTGTGTGGTGATGGCTCATTGTGGTTTGAATTCGCATTTCCCTAATGCCTAATGATTTCAAACATATTTTCATGTGTGTGTTGGCCATCCTTATATCTTCTTCAGTGAAATGTGTCTTTTGCCCATTTTCTAATTGAATTATTTGCTTTCTTGCTGTTGTGTTTTAAGAGTTCTTTGCATATTCTAGCTATAAGTCCTTTATTGGATGTGTGATTTGCAGTTGTTTTTGCTCATTCTGTGACTTACCTTTGCGGCTTCTTCCCAGGGTCTTTCGCAGAGCAAACATTTGAAATTTTTGTCATGCTTTTGGTGTCAAGTCTTCGAACTCTTTGCCTAGTCCTAGATCCCAAAGACTTTTTCCTCCTGTGTTTTTTATCTTAAAGTTTTATAGATTATATTTAAATCCATAGTCCATTTCGAGTTAATTTTTGTTTAAGATATGAGATTAGGTCAACGTTTTGTTTGTTTTTTGGCTTATGGATGTCCACTTAACCCAGTGCCAAATGGTGCAAAGCTCTCTCTGCCACTAAATTGCTTTTGTACCTTTGTCAAAGATTGCTTGGGCATATGGACATATTCGTATGGATCTACTTTTGGATTCTGTGTTCTGTTCATTTGATCTATGTCCCTCTGTCAATACTGCACTGTCTTGATTACTGTAATTGTATAAAAAGACTTGAAGCCTACGCGGTGGCTCACACCTGTAATCCCAGCACTTTGGGAGGCCGAGATGGGAGGATCACCTTAGCTCAGGAGTTTGACACCAACCTGGCCAACATGGTGAAATCCCATGTCTACTAAAACAAAAATTAGCTGGGCATGCTGGTGTGCGCCTGTGATCCCAGCTACTTGGGAGGCCGAGGCAGGAGAATCGCTTGAATCTGGGAGGCAGAGGTTGCAATGAGCCAAGATCACACAACTGCACTCCAGCCTGGGCGACAGAGTGAGACTCCGTTTCAAAAAAAAGCCTTGAAATTGGGTAGACTGGTTATTTCTGTCTTTATTCTTTTTCTGAAAATGTTTTAGCTATTGTAGTTCCTTTGCCTTTCTGTATACATTTTAGGATAATCTTGTCTATACAAAAACATTGGCTGCAAGTTTGGTAGGATTTGCATTAAACATGCGTATCGGTTTGGGGAAAATTCATGTCTTTACTGTGTCCTGTCTTCCATTCCATGGACACAGTGTGTCTTCTCATTTATTTAGATTTCCTTTGATTTCTTTCATCTGCATTGTTTCGTTTTCCATTTCCAAGTCCTATACATGTTTTGTTAGATTTACAACTAAGGATAGTCTTCTATTGAACAATTGTCAATGGCATTGTATTTTTAATTGCAGTGTCCATGTTTTCATTGCTCATACATAGAAATATAGTTGATTTTCATATGCTCATCTTGTATACTACAACCTTGCTGAACTCACTTATTAGTTGTATGAGTTTTACGTTTTACTTAAAGTCCCAATTATTTAACACTTTCTATGTGCCAGGCATTATGCTAAAGCTTTCTTGTACTTGTCCAAGCCAGTAAATGGTGGAACTAGGATCTTCATACATAAATCATTTATCCACTTCATTAGTTCATTTCACAAATTCTTAGGCAGAGCTTATGTGAATCACAGTGAATCTAGGCACAAGGTCCTGCCCTCCTGAGCCCACAGTCTGAAACTAGCAGAAGTAATGCAAGTGAATATGTAGCTATGATACGTTCAAATTAAATAAGTTGATTTGTTACAACTGAGTGCATTTACTAGCTCATTCTGTAAGTGGGTGAGGCAAGGAAGGGCCCCTTACCGGTCTGGAGTGGGTGGGGGGGTGTCCAGGGAGGGCTTCCTAAAGAAACAGTGTTGCAGGGCATGATGGCTTACATCTGTAATCCCAGCGCTTTGGGAGGGCAAGGCAGGAGGATCACTTGAGCCCAGGAGTTTGAGAGTAGCCTGGGCAACATAGTGAGACCCTGGCTGTAAAGAAAGAGAGAGAGAAGAAAGAAAGGGAAGAAGATAACCATCTGATCTTTGACAAACCTGACAAAAACAAGCAATGGGGAAATGTTTCCCTATTTAATAAATGGTGCTGGGAAAACTGGCTAGCCATATGTAGAAAGCTGAAATTGGATCCCTTCCTTACACCTTATACAAAAATCAATTCAAAATGGATTAAAGACTACATGTTAGACCTAAAACCATAAAAACCCTAGAAGAAAACCTAGGCAATACCATTCAGGACATAGACATGGGCAAGGACTTCATGTCTAAAACACCAAAAGCAATGGCAACAAAAGCCAAAATTGACAAATGGGATCTAATTAAACTAAAGAGCTTCTGCACAGCAAAAGAAACTACCATCAGGGTGAACAGGCAACCTACAAAATTAGAGAAAATTTTCGCAACCTTCTCATCTGACAAAGGGCTAATATCCAGAATCTACAATGAACTCAAACAAATTTACAAAAAAAAAACAACCCCATCAAAAAGTGGGCAAAGGATATGAACACACACTTCTCAAAAGAAGACATTTACGCAGCCAAAAAACACATGAAAAAATGCTTATCATCACTGGCCATCAGAGATATGCAAATCAAAACCACAATGAGATACCATCTCACACCAGTTAGAATGGCGATCATTAAAAAATCAGGAAACAACAGGTGCTGGAGAGGATGTGGAGAAATAGGAACACTTTTACACTGTTGGTGGGACTGTAAACTAGTTCAACCATTGGGGAAGTCAGTGTGGCGATTCCTCAGGGATCTAGAACTAGAAATACCATTTGACCCAGCCATCCCATTACTGGGTATATACCCAAAGGATTATAAATCATGCTGCTATAAAGATACATGCACACGTATGTTTATTGCGGCACTATTCACAATAGCAAAGACTTGGAACCAACCCAAATGTCCAACAACGATAGACTGGATTAAGAAAATGTGGCATATATACACCATGGAATACTATGCAGCCATTAAAAATGATGAGTTCATGTCCTTTGTAGGGACATGGATGAAACTAGAAACCATCATTCTCAGCAAACTGTCGCAAGGACAAAAAACCAAACACTGCATGTTCTCACTCATAGGTGGGAATTGAACAATGAGAACACATGGACACAGGAAGGGGAACATCACAATCCGGGGCCTGTTGTGGGGTGGGGGGAGGGGGGAGGGATAGCATTAGGAGATATACCTAATGTTAAATGACGAGTTAATGGGTGCAGCACACCAACATGGCACATGTATACATATGTAACAAACCTGCACATTGTGTACATGTACCCTAAAACTTAAAGTATAATAATAATAAAAAAATTAAAAAAAAAAAGGAAAGAAGGAGAAAGAACTGATGTTAATTTTCCCAAGCTTATTGATTCTTATCAACTCACATCAGTTTCTGACATTCAGAGATGTCTGTGATCAAAGCTCATATGAAGAGAATTCTAAATGTTGCATGGCAAAGAACCCAAGAACTCCTGGCCCAAACCGCATGCAGCTCCCCACTCGTCTCTGCGTCCTCCTCACCTCCTTCACCTGCTGCTGTCTCAACTTGACCCCTTCCATCTGGCCCCTGACCCCTGGACTCTGTGGCCTCCCTGAGCGGCCAGCACAGTCACGTCTAAGTCGACCTGACCATCTGCCTGCTGGGTGCTGCTGGCTGCTGCTGGCTGCTGCTGGCGCTGGCTGCCCTGCACATTCTCCATGCCCTCCTTTCCATGGCACCAGTTTCTGCCTCTCCTTTGGGTTTCTTTCCCCTTGCCCCCTGGCAAGCTGGGTTTTGAAGTCATTTGGGATGGAAGGTGGGCCATTTGAAGAGCTGTAGGGTCAGGCCCTCATTCTGCCAGTCCATTTGGGAAAAATCTTCCATGTCACTAAGCTCTTGTAACAATAGCTACAAAAGTTGCTTGTTAGTTGGGAACTGAAATCTGCCTGTATAGAGATTTGCCCTCAGATGGATTTCCAGGTAAAGACAGACCCCCATCCCCATTGAGCAGGGAAGGAGCGGCCCCTCCCTGGCAGTGCTGTGTCCTCTGATGGCGTGCAGCACTTCAGAGTTACTCTGTTAGGCAGCATGGCTCTCCCTTTGCATGGGAGTGAGTGTCCCACAACCAGCACTGTCTCTGCCTGCGCCTTTCCTCCCAGCCCCATGGCCGTGTGCTGAGTGCACCGGCCCTGTTCTGCCTTTGGACTGAGGAGGCGTGTTCCTCTTCCTATGTCTCCCTGACTGTAGGAGCGATCTCTCTTTGAGTCGGCATGGAAGAAGGAGAAGGACATCGTTTCCAAGGAGATAGAGAAGCTCCGCACGTCCATCCAGACCCTGTGCAAGAGCGCACTTCCCCTGGGGAAGATCATGGACTACATCCAGGAAGACGTGGATGCCATGCAGAATGAGCTGCAGATGTGGCACAGCGAGAACAGGCAGCACGCCGAGGCCCTGCAGCAGGAGCAGAGGTGGGGGGTAGTAATGGGGAGGGGGCCCTGCAGCAGGAGCAGAGGTGGGGGGTAGTAATGGGGAGGGGGCCCTGCAGCAGGAGCAGAGGTGGGGGGTAGTAATGGGGAGGGGGCCCTGCAGCAGGAGCAGAGGTGAGGGGTAGTAATGGGGAGGGGGCCCTGCAGCAGGAGCAGAGGTGAGGGGTAGTAATGGGGAGGGGGCCCTGCAGCAGGAGCAGAGGTGGGGTGTAGTAATGGGGAGGGGGCCCTGCAGCAGGAGCTGAGGTGGGGTGTAGTAATGGGGAGGGGGCCCTGCAGCAGGAGCAGAGGTGAGGGGAAGTAATGGGGAGGGGGCCCTGCAGCAGGAGCAGAGGTGAGGGGAAGTAATGGGGAGGGGGGCCTGCAGCAGGAGCAGAGGTGAGGGGAAGTAATGGGGAGGGGGCCCTGCAGCAGGAGCAGAGGTGAGGGGAAGATAATGGGGAGGGGCCCTGCAGCAGGAGAGAGGTGGGGGGGAGCAGGGGGATAATGGGAGGAGGCCTGCAGCAGGAGCAGAGGTTAAGGGTAGCAGAGGCAGGGAGTAATGGGGAGGGGGCCCTGCAGCAGGAGCACAGGTAGGGGATAGCGGAGTGGGGGGAGTAATGGGGGAGGAGGCCCTGCAGCAGGAACAGGTTGGGGTGGGGCAGGAGGGTAATGGGGAGGGGGCCCTGCAGCAGGAGCAGAGGTAGGGGTGTAGCGGAGTGGGGCAGTAATGGGGAAGAGGCCCTGCGGCAGGAACATAGGTGGGGGGTAGTGGAGGGGGGATCCCCAAAGTCAATGGGGACTTTGCTGCATACCTCCTTGTCCCAGAGGTTGTTCTGTATGTAATTTAAGGACTTCAAGATTATCATTGAAGAAATATTAACTGCTGCTTTTATAAATCTCATGTTTGACTTCACTTTTGGTTGTAGCAGGGGTTGTGAAAATAAGAAATAAATATTATCCTTTTCTTTGGATGAAACGAATAATTTACTTCTGTTGTCTTTCAATGTCTTAATTAAGAAGCCAACACACAATGAGATGAGAGAGTGATGAGCCGCTGGTTTTGTTCTCCCTCAGGATCACAGACTGTGCCGTGGAGCCCTTAAAGGCTGAGCTCGCGGAGCTGGAGCAGCTGATCAAAGACCAGCAAGACAAGATCTGTGCTGTGAAGGCCAACATCCTCAAGAATGAAGAAAAAATCCAGAAAATGGTATATAGTATCAATTTGACTTCGAGAAGGTGAACACTCAAAAGTTTCAGAGATGAAAAGTCACCTCAGTTTAAAAGCAAAAAGGAAGATAGAAAATCATTACTCTTTTAAGTTCCAGTTTGCTAAGAAAATGAACAGTTTACAATGTTATTATCCAGCTAATTTTCAGAGCTTTAAAACTGTAAGCATGTTAAGTGTATTAAAAAAACCATGTTTTCTTACCTCCTTCCAGATGGAATACTGGCTAGTTATAAATAGCGCTTCCAAACACCTCTGTGAAAAGTTTTTTTGAAAGCCTGTTCTTTGTGTTTCTGCTGTAACCTGTTTAGTTCTGTACCAGAACTCTCTAGCAGGTAAGTGGTGTGGGCATACCAAGGGAACAGTAGTCCTTTATTTTGGTTTAGTGGAAAGACTTTCAGAGGTCAGTGCCGAATGAAGGATGACTGTGTACTTTTTGATAGGCACTTGATAAGTAGAATGAGGCCTGAAAATGAATACATTATATTTTTAGTTAATTTCCAATGGAAAGGGCTAACCTCAGCCTGTCTCCATATCAGGTACCTATCAACTGGATTGTTTTCATTTTTGTTTTTTGACCTCTTTGTAATTGCATGTACTTCTCTATGTAATTTTCCTCTTGATCTCTACTATCGTTTGCTTGTGTTTCTAGTCCTTAAAGTTCATAAATTTAAAAAGGAGATTTCAGGATGGCCTTTATGGACGTTGTCTGGACATACATCCTCACTTTCTTCCGCAGTTTACCCTGGTTTTCCTCAGACAGAGGCTAGCGCAGCCCCCCGGAGTCCTTGTTCTCCTTAAGAGGGTCTCGCTCTGCAAAGCATTGGCGCCATGGCTTTTCCTTTGCATGGGTGTGCATACCGAGAGACAGGCAGCTTAGGAAAAACAACATAAGGAAGACTTAAAAGGATGCACTGATTTACGACGTTTTTTGATGTTAGCCATTTTTTTGGAAATTGTTTTTTAAAGCAAAAGTTTTTTAAAAACATGGTTTATAGTTTTTCACTTACATATACTATTGTAAATACTTAGCAGAGTCTTAAGTTACTGTATAAAACATTTCATTGTGTTTGAAGACATACTTATGGGTCTTGAGGTCTGGGTCCTAATACTTTTAAATAGTGTATTTATTATGTAAACTGAGGAGTGCCATTTAAAGTGTGAGGATTGCCTGAAAAGGTTTTGTTTCTTTCTTTTTTTTTTTTTTTTGAGATGGAGTCTTACTCTGTCGCCCAGGCTGGAGTGCAGTGGCGCAATCTCGGCTCACTGCAACCACCGCCTCCCGAGTTCAAGTGATTCTCCTGCCTCAGCCTCCTGAGTAACTGGGACTACAGGCGCACGCCACCATGCCCAGCTAATTTTTGTATTTTCAGTAGAGATGGGGTTTCACCGTGTTGACCAGGATGGTCTCCACCTCCTGACCTCGTGATCCGCCTGCCTCGGCCTCCCAAAGTGCTGGGATTACAGGCATGAGCCACTGCACCCGGCCAGGTTTTGTTTCTTTAAGGATTAGCACAAATGGCACCGTTGGGTTTTTCTTCATACAATTTCCAAAATAAATTCTGTACTCAGGTTGTTATATGATTTTCTGAGCTGAATAAGTTCAGGAGCAGATTATTAAGATCTGCCATTCTGAAACGCTGGTCTTTTTCTCCTTCCTATAGTGCACCATAAAATTCTGTTTGATCAGATTATATTACATACATTTTGGGGGAGTGGAGGGACATGAGTTAAGTAGCCCTTCATGTATTTATAATCTCTTTTCTACTGAATCAAATGACTTAGCCATGACCCTGAATGGACCTTGTTTTACTTCAAGTTGAGATGTCTGCCTTTTATGAATTTGTATATGTGAATAGAGTTTGGGGGTTGCCAAAAATTGCATACATTGTATGTAAGTAAAATTTTTTATGAAGTAGTCTGTCAAATTGTATCATAAAGTTTATTTTTCTTTTATACGTAAATCATTAAAAATAATCACATATTTTTTCCATAAGTGTATGGATTGTGCAGTTCGATTCACACATGGAAAAATCATAAGCATTTGGATTTTTTATTTTCAAATGTGTGTGTTTTGTTTTTCTCGTGAGGAAAGTTCAGGGAAATACATCTTTTCATTCATATTGTGACACATCTCTTTTCAGTATGAATTGAAGTTTTATAAGATAGGTAAGCATTTATCAGAAATTGTAAGATCATTTGTGAAGTTTTAGAAGGTCTCTACACGTGATTGTTACTGTATCTTATCCTACACACTAGATCCTGATCTTAATTTGAGAAATTTAATTTTTCTCTTATTTTGAGACAATACACAAATGGGATTATTAAGTATTTTTCTATACTTTGGTTTATAAGTTTTCAGGGAGTACTGGAGTCATACTTCAGGAATTTGAATTTAAAAGTTGAGCTGATGATAATTTATATTCAAAGGAAATGCATAATAGACCTTTGGAAGAAATAGTTCAAGACTAAAATGCAGCTTTCTACTTTGATATTCATCCTTATTTTTCTTTTTAATAATCAACTTTTAAAAACTGAAATCTATGAAGAAAAATGATGTCACTTGGTGACATGAAGTGCTACTTAGGATTTGGGTGATATGGAATTCTAGTCAGTGTATTAACGAGTGCCCCCGAACTATTCCGGTGCTAGTCTTCTGAGCTGCCCTGGACTGATGGGGTTTATCTTCTGTTGGTCGATGTGCACAGTGTCATGGCACACGAGTAAGAGAAAAGATGGCCAGGGCCTTTGAGCAGCTTTGGGATCAGTAGCCAGTGTGAGCCAGCAGCAAGCAGGATGAGCAGCCTGTTTGAGCTTCCGCAGGAACCTGCTTCAGAAGGAGGCCACGCCCAAGCAGGATCAAGGCTCAGCATGTCACCGTCAGGGAAGACACTAAACACCCAGACCTGGACTTGGCTCCCCACTCTGGACTCTTCTTTCCACACCCGAAAGTGCAGAGAGTAAATAACCTTGTTCATGGCGCCTCTACGTAGACCACTGTGGGCTCCTCTGAGGGGCTCTCCAGCAAAGACTAATGTAGCAAAGCAGAAGTAAGAAAAATTCTAAGTCAAGCATGAGCCAGCCTAAGTCGGAGGAGAAGGAATAGCTGTTCTCAGTGATTCTCAAATGTAACTACTTGCTACATTTGGGCTCTGAGTTTAACTCTATCATAGGATACACTTTATTAATAAAAATGTTTTATATTTTCCTAAAAGGTGTTTCAATAAGTATGGTTTATGCAAGCTTTACATTGGGGCATTAGTGAAGCCCCCTAGTCAGAACCCCTTTTTGATTATGTGTATTTTCATAAAGGGATATTGGGAGGGACTTTGGTTTCTTTTAAATTCAGCAAGAGAAATTTAAATGTCTTTTAAAGCTGTAGAACTTGACCGGGTGTGGTGGCTCACGCCTGTAATCCCAGCACTTTGGGAGGCCAAGGCAGGCAGATCACCTGAGGTCAGGAGTTCGAGACCAGCCTGGCCAACATGGTGAAACCCTGTCTCTGCTAAAAATAAAAAAAATTAGCCAGGCGTGGTGGTGGGTGCCTGTAATCCCAGCTACTTGGGAGGCTGAGGCAGAAGAATTGCTTGAACCAGGGAGGCAGAGGTTGCAGTGAGCCGAGATTGTGCCACTGTACTCCAGCCTGTGTAAAAGAGTGAGACTCTGTCTCAAAAAAAAAAAAAACAAAAACAAAAACTATAAAACTTGTTTTGGCCAGCCGTGGTGGCTCATGCCTGTAATCCCAGTATTTTGGGAGGCCGAGACGTGAGACTCACTTGAGCCCAGGAGTTCGCGACCAGCCCTGGCAACATAGTGAGTGAGACCCCATCAAAATAAACAAAAAAGCCGGGCATGGTGGTGTGTGCCAGTAGTCCCGGTTACTCAGGAGGCTGAGATGGAAGGATCACTTGAGCCTAGGAGGTTGAGGCTGCAGTGAGTCATAGTCATGCCACTGCATGCCAGGCTGGGTGACAGAGCAAGACCCACTCTAAAATAATAATAATAATAATAATAATAATAATAATAATAATAATACATAAAACTTGTTTTTAAATCCATATATAGAGCTGAATTCCAAATTGGTTATCAGTTTCTTAAACCAAGCAAATTGGTCTTTCTGTTAAGAAAATGGAGTTCAAAAGAAAGTTAAATTACACATATTACAAGAAGGTTGTACTCTGGTCAGTCAGGGCAGAATCACATCCTTGTAAATGAATGCAGTCAAATGTGTGTGTCCAGATTGGTGGGCGTGTGGTGTTGGCGAAAGCACCATAGAAACCTCTGGGTGTCTTCTGATGAAGCCGGGCACCCAGAGCCATGTGATTCCAGGAGATGCTTGTGGAACAAGGCTGGGCTGGCCCTGCCCCACTGGGCACACCGATGGTAGGGTCTGATTTATGTTCTCCAGCAGCCAGGCATGACACTTTGTGGATAGTGCTATGTGTAAGTTTTTAAAGAAAATTATCCTTACTGTCAATCATGTATCAATATCACCCTTAGTCGTGCCAGGTATTCATGTTGGCATAACTAATTCATATTCCTAAAGTATTCATTTCTTCTTATTTAAAGGACTTTTAATGGAAGAGGTAATATATTAGCATGGATCCACAATCACGGTTAGCTGAAAGGGTCCTCTGTGAGAGGTCCCCTCCCGTGGTCCCTGTCTGCCTTGCTTCTCCTTGCCCCTGTAGGCAGCCATTTGCATTAGACCCTTGTACAAGCAGATAAGAATATTTACTTTTATACCCCTGCAACATACAGTTTCACAAAAGGTCATAGTCTATACCCTGTTCTGAACCTTGGCTTTTCGGATTTATGCAGTCTGGGGACCTCAGAGTGTCCACCCTAGACACCGTCCTCACTTCTCTCCAGGCTGCGTGGATCTCCCCCTGCGGCTGCCTGGCTTCTCCTGCTGGCTCCCTGGTGCTCAGTCGCGTGGTTTCTAGTCTTCCGCCATTAAAAGCAATGCCGCCGCGAATAGCTTTGTTCTCCCATCATTTCTTCTGTGTGGAGAGATACCCGGAAGTGAGACTGCAGGGTCAAAGCACAGTGTGTCGCCATATTGGTGGGTGTTGCCAGATGCTGTTTGTGGGATGGTTCCATGTTCCTGCACCAGAAAATATGTGGAAGTGTCTTTTCCCTGCAGCCTTCCAGCGGCGGATGGCCACACGTAGACATTTCCACTGCTCAGGCGAGAAAGAGGATCTCAGCATGTTTTCATTTACACTTTCGCATTTTGACTGAGTTGTAGCCTCTCTTGATGTGTTTAAGGGTCATTTGCTTGTTTGCTTTTCTGTTCTGTGAGCTGACTGTTCAGCTGCTCATTTGCCCTTTGTTCTGTTGGACTCTTGGTTTTCCCTCCTGGATTTCTAGAAGCACTTCGTGTTTTGAGTTCATATTATTCCCAGATTGCCTTTTGACTGTGCTATAGCTTCCTTGCCCCAGTGCGATGCTGGACAAATACGAAGGACAGTCCTTGTGATTTTATAATTGGTCCGATGCTGCCAGGAACGATGGCGACGGCTGTTTTCTCGTGTTAAAAACAGACTCTTCTGATCCTGGTTACAGAGAACCTCTAGCAGGAATGGATGTTGAATTGTTCTTGTGATCGCATTTTGTCTCCTTTGGCTTAGTAATGTGCTATTCTCGATTACCCAACATGAAAATATCCTGCGTTCATAGATGAAGTCTTGCGTGCTCAGTCGGGCTGTTCCTCCCTCATGCTGAGTAGTTCTGCCGCACATGCGTGAATCCACTGTTTCTTGCTGCCCGGTGCTTGTCAGCCGGCAGGGGGGTTGAGGGCATTACTCTGTTGTTTGATTAACCCCAGTCTTAGGTAGACACCGTGTCCCTGGGTCTTGGCTGTAGCTGGGTTGGGGGCATACTCTGTTGCTTGATTAACCCCAGTCTTAGGTGGACACCGTGTCCCTGGGTCTTGGCTGTAGCTCTGGAACCAGCTTGCATTCCTGCCCCTCCCCCAGGAGTCAGGGTCTCCTATTCCTTCCCAGCTACAGGGGTTCCCCCAGTGCCCTAAGGCTGACAGGTTTCTCAGCTGCCCCTGCACCGTATTTTCTGTCCCAAAGGGGAGAAGATTCCAGCAGTAGTTCTGTGCCCTCCAGCAATGACTACCGTTGGAAACTTCTCCCCTCTGGGACAGAAGACACCGTTCAGGGGCAGGTGAGAAGCCTGACAGTCTTAGGGAATGGGGAAACCCGCTGGAGCTGGGAAGGGAGTAGGAGACAGGGCCCATAGGGAAGAAGGGTCTTTCTCAGGTGTGCACAGCAAGGGACACTTCAAACTTTCTCCAGTCTTTCCTGAGAGGTTTTGTGGAAACAGCCTTGGGGAGGCAGCTGACCCCTGTTGAGGCCCTGGGGGCTTTGCGTTCTCTCTCCTGGAGCACACTTGTCCTGCAGCCGCCCCACTGAGCTTTGCTCCCCAGGTTGGCCTGCACTCCCCTGCCCCCTCTGGCAGCTGGCTGTCTGTCCTTAGGTTTGTCCAGCTGTTTTTCATCTAAAGAAACTCCAGCCAGGCACGGTGGCTCACACCTGTAATCCCTGCACTTTGGGAGGCTGAGGTGGGCAGATCACCTGAGATCAGGAGTTTGAGACCAGCCTGGCCAACATGGTATAACCCCGTCTCTACTAAAAATACAAAAATTAGCCAGGTATGGTGGCACGCACCTGTAATCCCAGCTGCTTGGGAGGCTGAGGAAGGAGAATCGCTTGAACCCAGGAGGCAGAGGTTGCAGTGAGCTGAGATCACGACACTGCACTCCAGCCTGGGTGACAGAGTGAGACTCTGTCTCAAAAAAAAAAAAAAAAAAAAAAAAAAACCCCAGAGTTTAAATTCTGAAGTCGCTGCTTACTACTTCTGAAGGTGTTTCCTAGGTCTTAACCCAAACTGGGTTGAGAGGCCCTTGACACAGATTGACTTTGAAAGTCTGGCCCAAAGCGGTGCCTCGCTTTTCACCCCTGGCCTCTGTATCTTGTTCATGGATCATGCTGCATTGTTTCTGAAGCACAAACAAGGTTTATTATCAACAGTAAGTGGCAGATCTGCGTGGGGTTCAAGCTTGAACAGGAAGTAGCTGAGGCGAGAACCACAGTGTGTGTGCCCCGCGGAGCCCACAGCATAGGCCCTGACTGCCAGGCCTCCCGTCCCACCACCGGCCTTCTGGGGTTGTGGCTAGACCCCTCCTCCCCTGCCCAGTTTTGTGGGTGGTGGGCATAGCTTCAGGCCTTCTTTCACCTTTTGGGCTTCATTCCTCTCCCCTGCCAAACCGCGCCCCTGCAGGGTAAATTTTGCCCATTCTTGAGGTGGTGTGGAAGAACACAGAGTGTGGGTCAGGACACCTTCCTGTCAGGCGTGGATGTGTGATTTGGGGTGCTCCTATCTGTCTCTCCTTTGAGCCTCAGTTGTCCACTGACAGGTCATCTTAGCCACGGGGAGCACACGTGGCTCATGGGTGCCTGGTGATTGTTGGTGTGCGGTGCGCTGGCAGTGTGTGCTGTGCTGTCCCTCACCTCGGCGGTTGGCTGGCGGGGCCTGGGGGCTCCTGCTCAGCTCCGACCCTTCAGGACCAGCTGCCTGTGGCCCTGTCTTGGTGGATGGTCTTACATCTCCTAGGCAGAGAAGCTGATGGCTGAAATGTGCCATAAAGACACAGTGACATTGAGAAATGCCTCCGCCGTGTTTGGATAGCTTGCTATTAGCATGTTCCCATGAGGGACGGATACAGCAGCCTAAGCTGAGGACTCATGAGGAAATGAGAGCCCAGGCCCCACCCCTGAGGACGGACGAACCTCAGGGATGGGCAAGTTTGCCTCGGCCTCGGCCTCTGGTGGGGTGGGGGGCTCAGGCCTGTGGGTCGGGGGCTTGGCCTCTTGGGAGGGGGGTTGGGCCTCCTAGGTAGTGGCATTGGGATGAGAGAAGCGCCTGCTAGAAATTTGTGGTTTCAAAGCCGGGCATGTGACCCTTTAGAGCTAATGGGCCCTGACAGTTCTGGGAAGCATTTGTTTTATTTTCATAAAGTGCATAAAATCCTTCTGACTTGAGCAGAAAGAAATTGGCGGTGCTGCTGCAGATGCTTCCCCAGGCTGCCCACCGTCTGCCAGACCAACCAGTGAGGACAGGCGGGGCCGACGGCTGTGGGGAGAGGGTGCCTAGGGCCAGCTTCCCCTGCACCTTGGGCCGAGGGACAGCCCGAGGAGGAGGAGGAGGAGGGAGAGGCTTCAGGTGAGGCAGTGAGGGACCCTCCACAGGACTAGACTCCCAAGAGGACTGGGTGGTGTCTGTGTCCAATTCTGATGTGGGGACGCGCAGTAGTGAAACCTCCCAGGCCCTTCTGTCTCCCTGTCCAGGGGACCTGGGGTGAGAGGGACCCTGCCCTCCTGCAGCCCAGCCTAGGATGCTAGTGCTAAATACTTTTTGGGCTGAAGAACTTCCTTAAAAGGACACAATTTCCAGAAGCCACAGATGAAAAAAAAAACGGACACTTTGCTCCATTAAAAAGTGAAACTTTCTGTATTCCAAGCAAAAGTAAAAAACAACACATTGGGATAAACTTGCAATGTATTTTAAACTCTGTTTAAAGACAGACTTTTTAATAAGAGAAACAGCCCAACTGAACGATAGAAGAAAGGAATAAATAGGCAATCAAATAATCACAAAGCATGAGAAACCAACTTTGCTGTCGAGAGAGAAGGTGGCAGAGATTTGGGAATCCAGACTGGAAGAGGAGTTACCTGGGCTTCCCAGCGGCGCAGGCACTGCCACGCCCTTGGCCTTGGCTGTTGGCTTAGGCAGGTGGCCTGACTCCGGCCTCCCTCTCCCACCTGCTTGGTTGGATTCAAGAGTGCTGGCCTCACCTTGTCATCAGAGCATACGTGCAGCATTAGGTGGAAAGTGCGAAGGGCAGCCCTCAGCACACAGCACACGGTGCGCTCCAGGCGGACCCTGGCTCTGGTTTGTGATCTGTGTAATGTAGGTTAATATCACAGTTGCACACATCTTTCGATTGCCAAAAATTTAAAAATTGATAGTATTTGGAGTGGCTGAAGATGTGGGGGTGTAAATTGTGTGAGACTTCTGGAGGACATTTTGGAAGTACTTCTCAAATTTAGAAATATTTTGCTGGCACAAGAAAAAGCTGGAGCAGGGACATGGCCCCCTATCTTGAAATAACAGGTCTGGGGTGGAGGGAGGGTTGAGCCTGTTCTCTGTGGCGCTGGAACCTATGGGTGGGAGACAAAGGGAGACTGATTTTGGCTCTGTGTAAGGAGGGAGCCTCCGTTCCAACAGGGTTCAAAGATGACAGGACAGCCCCTCATCAGGTAGATGGTGAGCTCCTCGTCACAGGAGGCGTGCAAGCAGGCAAGATCTCCACACCCCCATTGCACTTTCTACCAACTGCATCAACACGTCAGCACCCACGTAGGCTTCAGGCCTTGGCAGACATGACCTTCAGGAGCCCCCAGGCAGATGGAGCCTGGGCTGCAGTTCCTGCCTGCCCCTATCCCCCAACCCTTGGAAGGCCTCTGAAGTCTCCAGCGCCCCCTCACTGCTCAATGTTTGCCCAGGGAGTCCTGTCCGGCCCCCAACTTGTCCTTCTTCAAGCTGGGGAATGAATATCATCATTCCCTTTTGAATAGAAACCACCTTTTGGGGAGGTTCCCCACGGTGCAAGGACACGAGACCACCTTGCAGGCAGCCTTCAGCGGCCTGCCCCTCTTTGAGAACAGACTACATTTGCCAGTTTTCATACTTCACTTTCAAGGAGGCTGTGTAAGACCCCTTCAGAATTGGGGGTCTTCCAAAAATTTTATTCAAACCCTGGGCAAAGTTACCCTCTGTGACTGTGTGCCTGACACTGGCCGCCTGTGTTGGCCGCAGCTGCCCTGCAGTGTTCCAGGGCTTGGCACCTCAGGACTTGAAATTCCCTCT
This sequence comes from Homo sapiens, assembly GCF_000001405.40. Taxonomy (NCBI): domain Eukaryota; kingdom Metazoa; phylum Chordata; class Mammalia; order Primates; family Hominidae; genus Homo; species Homo sapiens. The sequence continues at coordinate 238,408,847 of NC_000002.12, forward strand.
GTCGGGGAAGTCCCTCTGCTGTTTTGTTGGAGCTGCAGGGAAGAAAGAAAAGCCTCCTGGCGGGCGGTTGTTGAGGAAGAACTTTGGCGCCTACTTTCTCAAGTGAGCCTCCCCGGGGCTGGGAGTCAGGCCATAGCCAACCCACAGATGAGGAAACCGAAGCTCAGAGAGCAAGGTACAGTCCCTGCCAGCTCTCGGTCCCTGGCACGATGTCCTTTGGGATTTAGGGGTCTGGCTGCGTTGGCTGAGCACATGGCTGGCCCGGGACCCCAGGGAGCAGTTCAGGAGAGCATGGCCTGCCTGTCCCTGGGATTTTTCTGCTTGAGTGTTCTGTCATCTGCGTGAGCACACAGCTAAGAAAGGGCAGGTTGCTGAGTTGAGATTAGCGTGACCACTTTTTTGGCTGATGTGTGAGTGAGTGAGGATGCTTGAGAGGGCAGAATAAGAGAGGCGTTCCTGCTCTAAACAGTTCCACTGGGCTGCATGGCCACCGCCCGCCCCAAACCATGCACCTGAACCAAGATCTTGTTACTTGGCCCATCCTGCCCCGAGGGTGCAGCCGCTCATTGTGGGAGTGTCCGCAGGGCGGCCAGACCCATTAAGCCCAGCAGGCGTGGCGCCAGCACCCGCGGCGCTTTCCACAGCCCTCGAAAGTGTTTTCATTTCTTTCATAATCAGAAGAAAAAAATGAACTTTTAGGTCAAAGTCAATGTTTTAATATACAATATTAATATATTCATCTTTACATCAATGCCATCGTAAAATAGAATTTTTAATATTTTTTATGGAGGAGGGGCTCCTGAAAGTCATAATGCAGCCCCGAACCTTGGCCGGTCGCTTGGACTCGCAGCCATCCCCCGTGTGGCTTGGACCCACCGCGAAGCTGACCTCATTCTACTCTCCAGCCCAGCATGCGCCCGGGGAGAGGAGCAAGCTCTCATTCTTCTGGTGGGTTTTCCATTTCCAGGGATTATGGCTCTAAAGAAAAGCGTCTTTGGGACAGTTTCAATACAAACACCAGGATGCTTTTAAAAATAGAACTTTCAAATAATATCTCTTAAACCATGGATTTTAAGCATTAATCTCGTTCGATAGTTGCAAAATCAAAACCTTCCGTCAGCACGTCGACCTGGATCTTGCAGCCCGCGGCGCTGTGCAGGGAAGCTCTCCTCTCAGACGCCCCTTGAGCTGTGGTTGCTTCTCAGCCCCTGTTCAGAGCATAGTCACATGGGCGAGGCTTGTGAGCTTGTGAGCCAGGCCTTTATTCCTCCACGAGGGCTCTCTCCCATTGCCAGTAAAACTGCACACCCGTTTATTTCTATATTTTCCCTATTTTTACACCTGCCAAAACATCCATTTGTGGTGGTAAAATACTTGGACTCCCTAGCAGTGAAATGAAAAAGGTTGTGATTTATATAAAGAGCAGAGTGGCCTCTGGGGTGAGTTGGGCTGAATTAAGGTCCCTGTAACCTCCAAGATGAGCCTGGCAGGACGCAGCTAGTGGGGCACGTCCATGGCTGCATGGTGGCCTCCAGGCCATGCTTACCCACTCTCCTCTCCAACCCCCAAAGCCTTCTGCTACTGGCTGGCATGGTGAGTGCCTGGGCACCAGGAACAGGGCACAAGGGGCACTCGTGGGCTGGGGCTGGCTGTACAGTGAGAGACATTCAGGAATGTTACGAGCCATTACATTAAAATACAAAGGTAAGGAATATGGAAAACTAATTTTTTACATTTTCCTTGTGTCCATGCCCTGAGGTGATTTATATCTTGGACCTCAGGGGGAAATCCTGGGGTGTATGTGCGATTGTGCATCTCTTCTAACTCCAAGTTGGGTGAATTCACATTCGCTGAAGGCAAGAGTATTTACACCACGGAAATTGACAGATGCTACAAGTCAGGACTTGACTTGTTTTGTTGTTTATCTAATTTTAAGAAAGTGATAGCGTGAAAGTGAGTGGAAGGAATGCTCGGTAAACATGAAGTAAATGTCACAGCCAGCTGGGTGCAGTGGCTCACACCTGTAATCCCAGCACTTTGGGAAGCCAAGGCGGGCAGATCACCTGAGGTCAGGAGTTCAAGACCAGCCTGGCTAACATGGTGAAATCCCGTCTCTACTAAAAATACCAAAAAATTAGCTGGGCGTAGTGGTGGGCAATCCCAGCTACTCGGGAGGCTGAGGCAGGAGAATCGCTTGAACCCGGGAGGCGGAGGTTGCAGTGAGCCGAAATCATGTCTCTGCACTCCAGCCTGGGTGACAGAGCAAGACTCTGTTTAAAAAAAAAAAAAATTATAATTCCCCTCCTCCTAGAAGAGGAGGACACTGTCTCTGGTTTCGGTCCTCTCCTACTGGAGAGCTGCGACAGGTGCCGTTGAAAGCTCTAGCCCTCACCCCTGTGGGGCAGGTGGGGGGCGTCAAGGAATTCAGGCCCCTGGAAAAGTGAAACCTTCCGCTCCAGAGCAGCCCCTGAAAATCCTCTGGGTCGCTGGGGATTTGCCCTCCTTTCCAAGATCATCTCCTAACGACAGGTTCTTCAAGTTACACTTCTCCCTGAGTCCCCAAGCCCGTGTAAATAGCCGGTTCCCTGGATCTGGGAAGGCTGGGCTGGGGCTGTGGATGGAAGGTATGTTGGTTGCTTTCCAAATGACTACACCTGTCCTGCTTCCCCATCAAACAGCCTCTGTGTTTACAGCTCCTTCAGGCTCTGTTTTTGTGAACAGGCACATTTAGGGGCTTTGGATGTGGCCTTCCTCCCCTCGGTTCAGCGGGCTCCAGGGAACTGGGTATTGAGGTGTTCTCAGGGGTCCAACACCTTCAGCTGGGGGCTCCAGAACCAGCAAAGAGCCTGAGAACGGGGGCGGGGGATAGGGGAAGGAGAGTGAGAGGCCTTGCAGACAGATCAGAACTGGCCTTGGCGAATCTAGGTACAGAACCCAGGCTGCCCCTACCCAGGGTCCTGCCGGGTGGCATGCCTCACCGGGGAAGGCAGGATCGGGGGGGTCTCTGGTGTCTTTCCGTGGGCACCCAGTGTCCTGTGGTTTATTGTGTTCGTGTGATGGGCGTCAGTCCTGCAGCAGCACTAGGAGGACAAGAGGTGGGCCCTGGGGGCTTGTGTTTCCCAAGCCTCTGCTGCTGTTATCTTAGTTACCTTTATTGTTTTCCTTTCTGATAACCGAATTCATATTAATTCATCTAGAAAACCACACGAAGAAGTAAATAAACATCACTTGTAAATCCCACCTTCCAAAATTGACCACAATTTATAATGCTAGTTGCTAGTATGTATTCATTTTCTCATCGTGTGTGTGTGTGTGTGTCTGTGTGTTTTACAGTCTTGTCTATTACAATCTGTTGTCCGTATAACATACACAGAAGCACCCGTTTATACCATTGGGACTATGCTGCTTACAGTGTTACGTAATGTTGACTTCTTTTTATTTCCCGTAAACAATTTTACTACATTTCTTCCCTGTCACTAACTGATGTTCTCTTAACCATGATTTTAAGTTTCATTGAATGGGCACCTTATTGTAGTTCAGTTGCGTATATTTTCTCATTTCTATAATGATTTATTCTTTAGTGCGTTATGAAATACTTGCTTCTGGTTTTTTCTCCTGGGTTATCTTTTTTTTATTGATTTCTGATTTGATTGCATCTTGGGGAGAGAATGTGGCCTGCCCAATACCGGTGCTTTGAACGGTGTGGAGGCTGCCCTGATGGCCCAGCACGTGGTCACTTTCATAAAAGCGCTATATATTTTTTTCACAACTTAATTACTTTATTGGGCTTAACAAATAGCATTTCCTGCTCGCTGTACTAAAATTGGAATGATACAGAGAAGATTAGCATGGCCCCTGGGCAAGGATAGCACAAAATTTATGAAGCATTTCATATAATTAAAAAAATAATATTTTGACATATCATTATATTTTTTACTATAAAATACACATAACAAAAATAACCTTTTTTTTGAGACAGAGTCTCACTCTGTTGCCCAGGCTGGAGTGCAGTGGCACGATGTTGGCTCACTGTAACCTCCACCTCCCAGGTTCAAGTGATTCTCATGCCTCAGCCTCCCGAGTAGCTGGGACTACAGGCGTGCACCACCACACCTGGTTAATTTTTTTGTATTTTTAGTAGAGACAGGGTTTTGTCATGTTGGCCAGGCTGGTCTCGAACTCCTGACCTCAGGTAATCCACCCACCTCGGCCTCCCAAAGTGCTGAGATTACAGGCGTGAGCCACCCTGCCTGGACTACCATCTTAACCATTTTTTAAGTGTATAGGTCAATGGCATTAAGTACATTCATACTGTTGTGCAGCTGATCCCTAGAACTTTTTCACCTTCCAAAACTAAAGTTCTGTATCCACTAAACAGTAACTTCCCATTCCCCCTACCCCCAGCCCCTGGCACCCACCATTCTACTTTCTGTGTTTATGAATCTAACTGCTCTAGGAACCTCTTATGAATAGAATCATATAGTATTTATCTTTTTTGTGACTGGCTTGTTTCACTAAGCATAATGTCCTCAAGGTTCATCATGTTGTAGCACGGGTCAGCATTTCCTTCTGTTTTAAGGCAGAGAATAATATTCCATTGTATGTATATACCACATTTTATGTATCCATTCATCCATCAGTAAATGCTTGGGTTGTTTCTACCTTTCAGCTATTTGAATAATGCTGCTATGAATATGGATATGCAAATATCCTTTGAGATCCTGTTTTCAGTTCTTCTGGGTGTATGCTCAGAAGTAGAATTGCTGGATTGCGTGGTCATTTTAGATTTAATCTTTTCAGGAACTGGTATACTGTTTTCCATAGTGGCTCCAGTACTTTGCATTCCCACTAGCAATGTACAAAAGTTGCAGTTTCTCCATATCCTCACTAACATGTGCTATTTTCATGGTCCCTATAATTTTGAAAAGGACCTGTACCTTCACATGGTTGGGCACGGTGTTGTATCTATATATGCCCATTCTGTCGAGCTTGTAACCATTTTGTTCAAATCGATATGCTAATAGATGTTTTTTCTATTGGATTCACCATTTAATGAGAGAGGTGTTTTAAAGTTTCCCGAGTACTACGATGAACAATTTATTTCTCCTCGTAGTTTTTTCTGGCTCATATATTTTTCCATCCTTTAAATCTTTCAGAATTCTTATATTTTAACTGTGTCTTTTATAAACGTTGAGTCAGGGCCAGGTGTGGTGACTCATGCCTGTAATCTCAGCACTTTGGGAGGCTGAGACAGGTGGATTGCTTGATCTCAGGAGTTTGAGACCAGCTTGGGCAACATGGCAACACCCCATCACTACTAAAAATATACACACCACACACACACACACACACACACACACACACACACACACAAAATACAATAGCTGGGGTGGTGGTACATGCCTGTGCGGTCCCAGCTACTCTGGAGGCTGAGGTGGGAGGATTGCTTGAGCCCAAGGTGGGAGTGGGTATGGGAGGGGGCCAGGGGTGCAGAGGTTGCAATGAGCTGAGATCGTGCCACTGCACTCCAGCATGGGTGACAGAGAGAGACCTTGTCTCAAAAAAAAAAAGAAAGAAACATTGAGTCAGTAGTCTTTGTTTTTACCTGGAGAGTTTATCACATTTGGATTTATTATACTATCTTATTAAGTGCTATTTTTCCCACTTTTTGTTTTTCCTCAACCTCATTTTTCTGGACTTCTTTGGGAGACAAAATCCTCTTATTTTTCCTAGACCTGTCTAGTTTGGAGTTTGTACATTATATGACTGTTATTTTAATAGTTACAGTAGCTACTTTAACACTGGTAGTTTACAAAGTCTAAGCTTAATTTCTTTAGCTTTCTTCAAATAATACAAGGACAATCCCAATTTATATGCTATATTGTCCAGTGTTTCCATTTTATCCTGTTTTTAAATTCACAAATTAAACACTCTATTGTTTAGGCAGCCAAGGTTTGTTAAAATTTATCTACCTACTTACCAATATCTGCTCATCATTTCTTTTAATTTTTATGGGTATATAATAGGTACATATATTTATGGGGTACATTTATCATTCCTTCTTGCATCAAATACTCTCTATCTGGGATCCTTTTCCATCTTTCTAAAGTTGATCCTTTAGAATTTCCTTTAAGGGATACAGGATACAACAAGCAGAATTGTCTGTAACTAGCCCTAGAAGCTCACTCAGGGTGGCCTGGATAAAGAGTAGGTTAAAACCACCGCTGCCCCCACTCAGCCTGCCTTCTTTCAGTGGGGGGGGAGTGATGCAAGCTCGACATCCCGTGGGGCTCAGGTGTGGGGCAGCTGGTTTTCTCAGCAATGAAAACAGCTGGCACCCAGGTCCCAACTGCTGCTGCCTCAGCAAGTCATCCCCCTCCTAATAGGTCACTTCCTGTTTGCCTCAGAAGGGTAGCAACAGGGGCCGGTGCTTCTCCCTGAAAGGTGAGCTGTCTCTGTGTGAGCAGAACGAGGCGAGGTTGGGGTTGCAGGCTCCCTGCTTTTGTGTCTCTTGCTGCCACTTGCCCATGTAAGCTTCTGATGCAGGATTTTTCTGGGCTGCTTTGCCAGCTGGAGACCTCTGGTCAGCCACACCTCTGCCCGGGCCTTGCTCGGCCCCAGGTTTGCCACAGGAGGCACCCTACCCACTCAGTCCACTGGGCCGCATCTGGCTTGCACACCAGTGCAGACCCCATGGCCACCATGACTGAGTGCTCAGCCCCCGGCTGGAGGGTGTGTGTGGGCAAGTGAGTGTGGGGTCCAGCACTGGCACAGGAGGGGCTCTGTGTGGGGCTTGTGGCTGGACCAGGCATGTTGCAAGCTCCTGCAGTGAACTCTAGTGTCCAGATGAGGAGAATGCGGTGGCATCGAAACAGGGAGGGCTGCAACCTTGAAGCCCCAGAGGTCACACTACATGGGCTAACAGGTCTTTTAGGCCTGCCACAGCCCAACAAACAGGGGTATATTAACATCTCTGTCAGTCCTGTTGCCCTGCTCCAGCCCATGGCTCTGGGGCTCACCCAGCCCTGTCGCTGCTTCCTGTTGGTGTGGTGCAACTGCTAGGCATTGATCATGGGTGGGGAGGGTAGAGGGCTACAGTGTTACTGCCGTCTTTGTACCCGAGTTCAGCGAGGTCCTGAGTGCTTGTCCCACATCCAAGAAGAATGAGATTACACTGACAAGTGAAGGGTGAGAAGGGCGGAGAACAGTTTTACTGAATGATGAAACAGCTCTCAGCAGAGATGGGATTCAAGGATGGTCTCCCACCAGAAGTCATGTGGTCTCTCTGTCAGTGTGGCTGGGTTTGGGGCTTTTATGGGCTCAGAATCGGGATGTGTTATTTATTGGTTTGTGAGTATCCAAAAAAGGCTAAAACAAAGGCACAATTCAAAGGTGGGCATGACAGTGTAAAAAACCAATTAGGGAAGGGTAGGTATATGTAAAATAGGTGAAGCGTGGGGATCAATCAGAGGAAAGTGCGCCAAATGGGAAGAGAGGTTCTCAATCCGGTCCGTGGACTTATCCAAGACTGGTAGCTTGGCTTTTGGGCTTTAAACTGTCTTTGGTTTGAAGGTGGGGTTTCACTAGGGACCTGCCCCCAGTCTGCCTAAGAATTTGTCTACCTCCTTCTGCTATCACTTCCCTGATAAAGCTTATTCCTTAATCTATCCTGTGTTTTGTTGGGAAATCATCTAAGATCTGCTTCCTGGCAGGTGGTGACCACCAAGAGACCCATCTTTTAGACAGTGCCTTTTAGTGATAAACTTTGTCTATTTTGTCATCATACCTGAAAGGTAGTTTCCCTGGGTGTAGAATTCTAGGATGACAATTGATCTCTTAAAGCACATTGAAGATGTCATTCTAGTGCATTCTGGCATCCACTGATGCTGTTGAGAAGTCGGCTTTCAGTTACATTTGTTTCCTATGTGGTCTCTCTTTCTCTGGCTGCTTTTTAAATCTTTTTCCTTGGTGTCCTGCAGCCTCAGGACTTCAACATGCATTGAAGTGTGCTTCTATTTAAATCTTGCTAGGGATTTACTGAGATACCTGGATTTCTAACTCTGGAAAAATTTCATTCCTATCTCCTTTAATATTGCTTCCTCTCTTCTCTGTTGATTCCCTTCTTGAACTCCAGAGTAGATGCTCCTTAGACCCTCCTACCCCAGCCACCATGTCCTTCACTTCTTGTCTATATTTTTCTATCTCTGTCTCTTGGTCCTATAGTTGGGATGATTTTTTAAAATTTTTTAGATTTCATTTATTTTTTAGAGATGGGGTCTCACTCTGTCACCCAGGCCAGACAGAGTACAATAGTGGGACCATAGCTCACTGCAGCCTCAACCTCCTGGGCTCAAGTGATCCTCCCTCCTCAATCTCCTGAGTAGCTAGGACTACAGGCACATGCCACCATGCCTGGCTAGTTTTTTTTTTTTCTTTTTGTAGAGATGGGGTCTCATTCTGCTTCCCAGGCTGGTCTTGAACTCTTGGCCTCAAGCGATCCTCCCACCTCAGCCTCTTGAGTCTCTGGGATTACAGGTATGAGCCACCTTGCCTGGCTAGGATGATTTCTTGAGCACCGTCTTTAAGTCCACAACCAATTGCCTCTTTAGACATATCTAATATACTTTTCACTGCAACCGTTTAGTATGTTTTTTTCGACCACTGTGTTTTTAATTTCATTTTAGAAGTTCTGTTTAATTTTTTTTTCAAATATACTGGTTCTTTCTGTGAAGTCTCTTGGCCCTTGTTCACATTTTCTTTTTTTTTTTTTATGATCTTGTTGCATGCCAACTTCGTTCACATTTTCAGGCTTCTCTTTACTACTTAAACATTAAAGTTGAAATTGACACCTTCCCCAACTGGGCACTCCCTGCGCCCTTCTCCTGCGTGTGTCTCCCCAGCCTGGCACTCCCTACACCCTTCTCCTGTGTGTGTCTCCCCAGCCTGGCACTCCCCGCGCCCTTCTCCTGTGTGTGTCTCCCCAGCCTGGCACTCCCCGCGCCCTTCTCCTGTGTGTGTCTCCCCAGCCTGGCACTCCCCGCGCCCGTCTCCTGTGTGTGTCTCCCCAGCCTGGCACTCCCCGCGCCCTTCTCCTGTGTGTGTCTCCCCAGCCTGGCACTCCCCGTGCCCTTCTCCTGTGTGTGTCTCCCCAGCCTGGCACTCCCCGCGCCCTTCTCCTGTGTGTGTCTCCCCAGCCTGGCACTCCCCGCGCCCTTCTCCTGTGTGTGTCTCCCCAGCCTGGCACTCCCCGCGCCCTTCTCCTGTGTGTGTCTCCCCAGCCTGGCACTCCCCGCGCCCTTCTCCTGTGTGTGTCTCCCCAGCCTGGCACTCCCTGCGCCCTTCTCCTGTGTGTGTCTCCCCAGCCTGGCACTCCCTGCGCCCTTCTCCTGTGTGTGTCTCCCCAGCCTGGCACTCCCTGCGCCCTTCTCCTGTGTGTGTCTCCCCAGCCTGGCACTCCCTGCGCCCTTCTCCTGTGTTGTCTCCCCAGCCTGGCACTCCCTGTGCCTTTCTCCTGTGTGTGTCTCCAGGGCACAGGTGTGTCAACTCCATGGCAGCCGGGACTTTTGTCTGTTTATCTCACTTTTGTGTCCACTTCCTTGAACAGGGCTCAGTAAGCCAGCACTGGTTGGATAGACAGTAGCTTCATATTCGGTGTCTCATCAGTGTTTGAAGCCTGTGGAGGACCCTTTTGCTGACTCTCCTTCTGTGTGCACTTTGCTATTTCTGCCCCAATGAGAGGTTATTTTTCTTGGAACTTGATCTGTGGGAATTCTTTGAGGCCCAGGCTGAAGTAGTCTCTAGAAAGGAACTATATTTGCTTCTGCCAGTTGCTTGGGGCACTATCAACCTAGAACTGCTGTCACTTAGCTTCTTTGCTTGAGAGTTTTCAGAACACTAAAGTGTGAATTTCGGTGGGATTTTTGATCTAAACTTCATGTGAGGCCCAGGCCTGGGCTAAGGTTGAGATGAGCAGGCTTTTCTGCTGAGCCAGTATTTTAGTTCTTGTTACTTCTATCTCCACCTCCTCCTCAATGTTATCTTTAAAATTTTTTTTAATTGTGATAAAATACATGCAATATATAATTTACCATCTTAACCACATTGAAGTGTATATTTCAGTAGTGTCAAGTGTGTTCACATTGTTGGGCAACTGATCTCTAGAATGTTTTCATTGTAAAAATGGAAACTATACCCATTAAACACTAGCTCCCCATTTCCCCTCCCCCAACCCCTGGCTGAATTGCCATTCTTTCTGTTTATGAATTTGACTACTCTAGATACCTCATGAGTGAAATCATATAGCATCTGCCCTTTTGTGTCTGGATTATTTTGCATAGCATAGATGTCTTCAGGATTCACCCACATTGTAGCATGTAACAGGATTTCCTTCCTTTGGAAGCCTGAAGAATATTCTGTTTTATGGACATACCACATTTTGTTGATCCATTCATCCACTCATGGATGCTTGGGTTGCTTCCACCTTTTGGCTGTTGTGAATAATGCTGCTATAAATAGATATGGGTGTACAAATGTCTACGTCCCTGCTTTCAGTTCTTTTGGATATACTCAGAAGTGGAATTGCTGGATCACGTGGTAATTCTGTTTAATTTTTTGAGGAACCACCATACCATTTTCCATAGTGCCTATACCATTTTAAGTTCCCACCAATAGTGCACAAGGGTTCCAATTTCTCCATATCTTTGCCAACACTTGTTATTTTCTATTTTTTTCTTAAATAGTAGCCATCCTAATGGATGCAAAATGCTATTGCATTATGGTTTTGATTTATATGTCCATAAAGATTAAAGATGTTGAGTATCTTTCCAAATGCTTATTGGTATTGGTGTATCTTCTTTGGACAAATGTCTGTTCAAGTCTTCTGCCTATTTTTTTCTCTTTTGGTAGGGTCAGGGTCTTGCTGGGATGCCCAGGCTGGTTGCAAACTCCTGAGCTCAAGCAATTCTCTCCCCTTGGCCTCCCAAAACACTGGGATTACCGGCATGAGCCATTGTGTCCAGCCATTTTGCCTGTGTTTTAAATGAGGTTATTTGTGGATTTTTTGTTGTTGTTCTTATTCTCGTTACTTTTTACACTGAGGGTGGGACTCTATGGGTGCCAGTTCTATGCAAGCATTTCGTATGAGACTCCTGCTCTAAATTGGTTTCTGCACCCTATGCAGTCATCCAGGTAGAAGTTCAAGCTCTCAGCACACAGTTTGAGATGAGTGCTGGCTCAGACCCACTAAGCTGTCAGGGTTTCTGCCTTCTCTTTGCTTCTGGCCGCTATGGCAGCCTGAGGATGCCTCTAACAAGATGCGTTTTACATTTTCTCCAGCATTTTAGCTGTTTGTATCAGGAGGGCCGTCAGGCATCTAATCGCCCACACGATAGAAACCGTAGCTCCCGGACACTGATTTTCTTACCACGTCTTGACTTTTCTCTCTGCCATCAGAAGTATTTGCTTGTGTCTGAGAGAGCCCGAGGATTCCGTATAGGTAAATGCATCATTAGGGTCATGACAGAAAGGAGAGCGGGGAGTAAATGTGTGTCTACACCATGATTTTGTAATTTTATATGCCTGTGAATAAGGACATGAAGTTTACGTAGAGAAAGGAAAAGAGGTCATTTCTTAGACTGGTGTATTGGGGACAGCTTACTCTCCTTTTAAAAATGCACTCCTCCCTTCATCAGCCACGCAGTCAGTCAGTCAGTTGAGAGTGAGTCCTTGGCTCCAGCCCTGTCCTGGAAGCAGGAGACCCAGAGACTGAAGAGATTAGAAAGCGCCCGGTCCTGAGTCCCTGTGCTTGTGATGCTGGTTATGTACACAGTGAGCAGTGGCCTGCAAACGAAGTTAGGTGATGCAGTAATGGTATGCGGGTTAAACACTTTAACATTGGAAGGGCAACCTAAGAAAACAATCCCAGCAGTTTGGGAGAGAACGCCTAGTTCTCAAACAGATGTTTTCGAGGGACAACAGGAACCACTGGAAAAGAGTTTGAAGTTGTGACTTTCCTTAGAGTGGTGAAAACAGGATTCCATTTTCAAAAATGTCCTTTTCACACCACTAAGAAATGCCAGCCACAGAGGGGATCTCAGCTGGGGGAGGGGGCAGAAGTGTGTAGGGTTTAGAGAAAAGCCCAGCCCCCTTTGGGCTTCCAAGAGCAATTCAGAATTCCTATGTGGAAAAGGGGAGAGGGGCAAGTTCCCAGAGAGACGAAGGGCAGAGCAGCCTGGAGACTTCCTCTCTGCTGGGACACCGCCTGCTCCGGCTGTCGGCAGCCTTCTTCAGGTCCCCTGTCTTTGTAAAAAGTGCTGCTCAAAGCTGGGACTTAAACTAAACAGATTTCCTAGAGGAAACACACACACACCATCACACTCTGCTAACGTTGCTTTTATGGACATTTCCCTGAGAAATATTTCTCTCTGGAAAAATAAATTCACAGGATGTAATTAAAACCATGATGTGTGTATGTTGGCCAGGACTCTTCTTAAGTGCTTCACCAAATGGGCCACCAAATAAAGCAATGAAGGCCGGCTTTGTTCACGTCGATTAACAATGCTATTTATTAATTGTAACACAGGGCATTCTCTTGGTACTTTATGGTTTCAGAAACAGCCTTGCGGTTGGCCCTTGCCCAAGGCAGCCTCAGTTGTGACCCCAGTGTGACCTCTGCAGGGAGACACCGCGAGGGCTCCTCCGTGGCACTGGATGAGGCGACAGGCTCAGCTCCACCGACACGCCCATTCAGGCGTGTGTTTTCTGCTGATAACCTAGGGGAAAATACATTCCAAACATGAAAAAGTTCCTGAAAAAGAAACTGTTAGCAAAGCAGTGCTTTTGAGTAACAGGGCTAAGGGGAGTGAAGTCTTCTTACCCTCGGTGTGGCTCCTGGAGACGCCTTCCCGCTCTCAGCCCGGGCTCTCCTGCTGGGTCCTCGCCGCAGGGAGCGACTGTAATTCCAGTTTCCTTACTGGATGTATGAGCCCTGAAGCTTCGGAAACAGTTCACCACAGACCCGTGTGAAGCCCAGGTGCAGGCAGGGCTGCGCTCCCCCGACCCCCACGTTCTAGGGGAGGGTCCTTGTTGCCTCTGCCAGCTTCTGGGGGCCCCAGGTGTTCCTCGGCTTGTGGCCACGTCGCTGCACTCTCCACCCCCGTCTTCACGCTGTCTTCTCTCTCTCCAATCCGCCTTTGCCTTTCTCTTGTAAAGGCAGCTGCCATTGGATTAGGGCCTGCCCTAAATCCAGGACGATCTCATCTTGAGATCCTTAATCGCATCTGCAAAGACCCTTTTTCCAAATAAGGTCCCATTCACGGTTCCGGAGCTGAGACCGTGGACATCTCTGTTTTGGAGGCTGCCATTCAATGCCCCCATGCTGCTCTATAGGTTCCTTGGGATGGTGTCCAGCTTTGCTCGCCCCTGAACCCTAGAACCCCGCTGCCCTGGTGTGGCAGTTTGTCAATTTCAGAGCATGAATGCCTTTATCCATTGGTTCAGGAACAAGGCCTGGGCCAGCTCCTGTGACAGAATCAAAATACCCGTCCCACCAGAAGCCACTTTCGTGGAACCTAACTGTCTGCCAGGAGAGATAGGCCAGCTCCTCCGGCAGCTGCAGTCAGGTGAGGAGATAAATGCTGCTGGGAGGACCTGGAGCCAAGGCCCCAGCTGCGGGGCGGAAAGCGGGGGTGCGGTGGGGGAGGCATCTGGTGAGGGGGAGAGGTCCCCAGGACAGGGGTATGGGAGGGAGGGAGCCTCGTGCGCAGACCCCAGGGAGAGAGTGCTGGCCCTGGAGGGTCAGGTTCTAGGCAGGGCGCTTGGGAGCTGGAGGAGGGGAGGGAGGTTGGGGCTCTTCTCGGGAAGGGCCTCAGATGCCCAGGCTCCTCCAAGAGCCTATAGATGGGCATTCGGGACCGTGAAGGAGTCTGTGAGCCCGAGTGACAGAGACCAACTGGTATGGCAGGAAAAGTTCACCTGGCGGTAAGGAGGGCATGGTGAGGCCAGCCCAAAGACTCCAGCACTGCCGCAGGACAGGCGGGGAGCGGAGCTGAGGGCTGGGATAGGGTCTCCACTCACCCTGCTTTGAAAACTGGCAGCTCTGTGTTCTGAGGCCCACTCAGTGCTGGGCAAGCTGGGCTGTTGGTCCCGCTGTGGCCGAAGAGTCTCTAAAAACCTCCTGTCTCTGCTGCCAGTCCCTGCTCTGGGACTGAGATTTCCTCACCTCTGACTCCTCCCGCTGTGGCAGTGACCAGCACATGGTAGTTGCCTTCCACAGGTGCTGCCTGGAGAGACGCAGGCCCTGGTAGAGGATGCAGGGGCTCACTGAGCGCTGTGGCCTCCTGACACTAGTGGAGTTCTCGGTCACACCAAGGGAGGCAGCACAGCACCTGTGAGGGGGGCTGAAAGAGGGCACCCCCTTGGCAGGACTCCCAGGGCCCACACTGTCCTCTGCAGTCCCCACAGCTGGGCTTCCCGGTCCTCCCTGGGACCTCCACTGCCAGGCTAAACCACATCCAGGCAGAGGCCGACCTGGCTGGAAGAGGGAGGCTTCGAGGGCTGCAAGGAACATCACGGCCTGGGCCCTGCCCAGCCCCACCAGCCCCAAGCTGAGGGCCTGCTGGGACACTGCGTCTACCCCTGAGCCCTGCTCTGTTCCAAGCTGGGCAGAGAAGGTGGGCTCAGTTTAGGACAGGGTGGGGTGGGGTGGGAGGCTGGAGGTGGGCGTGGCTCCACTCAGCAAAGCCATGCCATAGCGTTAGCAGCCATGGCACCGATGCCCACTGTGTCCTGAGGCTCTCTCTGCCCCAGGAAGCCTGTGGCACATTCTATGGGATTTTGTGTCTTTACAAAGCCTGCAAAGTGGGTATTATCAGCCCGATTTGACAGGGAGGCAGCTGGTGCTCAGAGGAGTCACCCTGTCCTGGTGACTCAGCTGGAAGGATGTGGATCTGCCTCCCTAGCTTGGGGCAGACACCCTGACTCTCTGCAGGTGGGCTCCAAGGCCTGAGACAGGGTCTGCGGGGCAGGGGCTGGTAAAGATGTTTCCAGGGCAAAGCCTGGAGGGTCAGCGGGCTGCCCTCATCTCGTGGCCTCACCTGGTAAACCTTCAGATCCCCTGCTTCCTTCAAAGCAGGAGATCCTTCAAAGGGGAAGAGAGGGCTGGGCCTCCTGGGAGGAGACACCCCAAACACAGGCCCACAGGGCCTAGGATCAGGAGAGATTCCCATTTCTGGTCCCTGCCTGGGTGACATCTGCTGCCCAATTCCCGGAGACAGCTGTGGGGGTTAAGCGACAGCAGCACCAGCACACCCAGGCCCAGCAGGATCCTCACCAGCCTGCAGCTGTGGAGCTCATGTTTCCAGCCCCCCATATACCTGCCATGCTTCCAGAGGGGCCCCCAGTTCCCTGCAACAGGAAGGATGAGGGATGGGGGCCCCTTCTCAGACCTCCTGAACCAGAAAGTCCATTGTTGGACATTTTTGTTATAAAATGATGGTAATGAGCACTACTGTAGCTGAATCTCCCCCACATCTGATTATTTCCCTAGAATGAATGCCTGGAAGAGGCATTTCTGATCAAGGATTATTCATTCTTATGCTTTAGCTAGACTGCCAAATTTTCCACCACAAAGACTGGGCTAGGCTCCACAGAGGGGTCACTGGGGACACTTTGGGGGAGGCCTGAGCCTCCAGGAGGCAACAGGAAGCGACGGGTGATTTTAGGGGTGGGAAAACGGGAGGGAGCCACTGGGACCTGGAGGGGCAAGACAGCCCACTGCACTGGTCCTGTTGCTGCTGTGCTGGGCTGGGATGGCACTGGTAGGCACTGGTAAATCCCTGTTGCTTGTAGGTGATGGGACCCAAGTTGCTTCATCTCTAGCGGTCACTGAGTGTCCCTGTGTTGGTGGGTCTTTTGGGCTCAGAGGACCTGGAAGAAGAGGGACTCTGGAGAGGTGAGGTCAGAGGGGGAGACAGGCTGTAGGGCTGGACAGTCTGGATGTGATCCCAACTCAGCCACCTGTGGGCTATGTGGTTTTGGGCATAGCACCAGGCCCCCAGATCTCAGGGTCCTGAGAAATGGGGGTGATGGTATTGGCAGAGTGGCCAGCAATTGAGTGTCCTTCCCCCTCCAGCACTGCTGGCTCTGTGGACACTGCCCTGCACCATGTGGGCATTTAGGAGGCACGGAGGTGGGCATGTGAGGCCACCTCCCCGCTACAGACCACGTGCGGCCTCAGGTTCTTCTAAGAGGCAGGATCCCAAGGGCAACACGTGGCAGGGAAGGTGGAGGTGCAGGTGCAGGAGGGCCACTCTGCTCAGGGACTCAATACCTTGATGCAAAGGCTACCGACACGCAGAACGCTCACTGTGAGCCCACCGGGACCAGGCAGGCAGAGCAGCGGAGGCCCCCGGAGACGTGGCTCTCACCAGGCTGCACTTTAGAATCACCTGGGTGCTCTGAACCACCCAACACCCAACCCGCACCCCTGACTGACTGCACCGGAACCTCTTTTAAAAAATTCTTTAAAACAATTGTGGTAAAATATATAGAACATAAAACTTAACCTGCTTTAAATGCGCAGTTCAGTACTGTTAATGCACAATTCACATTGCTGTGTGACCCGTCTCCAAAACTTTTTCATCTTCCTCAACTGAAGCTCTGTCCCCATGAAAAACTAACTCCTCATTCCCCACTCCCCCAGCCCTTGGCAACCCCCATTCCGCTCCACCATTTCACTGCTCCAGGGACCTCAAATAATTGGAATCACACAGTACTGTATTTGTCTTTTTGTGGCTGGCTTATCTCACTCAGCATAACGTCTTCAAGGTCATCCGTGTTGTGACGTGTGTCAGGATTCCCTTCCTTTCTAAGGCTGAGTACGAATCCATTGTATGGACGGACAGCATTTCCTTTCTAAGGCTGAGTACGATTCCATTGTATGGATGGACGGCATTTCGTTTATCCATTCATCCATCCAACAACACGTGAGGCGGCTTCAGGCTTCGGAGTTGCTGAAGCTCCGAGTTCGGGATGTGCAGCTGTGGTGGAGCCAGGGGCTGGGCACACCCCTGGCTCCTGGCCTGGCAGCGTCATCATCGGAGTCACCTGTCCCTCATGCCAGTGGTGCTCTCTGCTGTCATCAAGACCAAACACCACTGTAGGAAGTACCCCCACTCCCGCCTCCAACCCCCACAGGGCCTGCCAGGTCTGCCCCCAGTGGGCCCCCTGGTGCATCTGGGCCACCCAGGGCCAGCCTCAGCAGGGGCACTCGCGGGGCTGCGCCTGCGGCTTCCCTTACTCCAGTCTGGAATGTTGTACACACGGATGAGCCAGCAGCTCACGCCCACGACTGCTGGGGTCTCCGGACTCCCTCATCAGCCTCCTGCTGTGCTGTGTACAAATCCTCCTCCTGCATGAGGCCCCGCTGTCTAACTCAGCAGGGGAGAATGGGAGGAGCCAAGGGAATCCGTGCTTTAGGACCAACACCAATACTCATGGTGGGACGACGCTGCGATATTTGAAGTTGGGAGTGTGCAAGAAATGTTACTCGGTTGTTCACGAATGCATTCATTTATTCAATGAACTTCGCGTCAGCCACTGGCTGTCATCAGTTACCGACCTGATTGAGGGCTTCATGGAAGGGATTTGGAGGAGCATTCATCTAAAACCACAGCACGCTGCGACGCTCAGCCCTGCAGTGGGCCCTCACCAGTCCCCGCGCCTCCGAATCCACCCTCCCGGGGCTGCTCGTGGCTAGCGGGGGGCACCTGCGGGGACCAAGCCAGCCCGGCCGAGGCCCGGGTCCCGCCCGCCACGGCCCTCGGGGCCCCGCCCACATCTGGCAGAAGCCACGCCCCGTCCGTGTGGGTGGGGACGGCCCGCCGGACCGAAATTCCCAGACTGCTGCCTCAGGCAACGGGCTTTCCGACTCCTTGGCTTCTTATGTGAGGAAACCACAGCGCGGCCGGCATCCAGAGAGTCGGTTAGCCGCGAAGTTCCCGCCGGACGAAGGGACCAGCCAGCGCCCTGCTAGACAGCGAGGCCGGAAGCGGAGGCGTGGCCCCTGCGCGGCCCCGGAAACCAGTGAGGCCGGCGCGCGCCCGCCGGAAGCCGCGACCCCGACGCGCCCCCCATTGCCCTCGGCGCCGGAAGTGGTCGCGGGTCGTTCTGCTTCCTGCCCGAGGGGCGTGCGCGGGTCAGGGGCGGCCGCGGAGGCGGAAGCATCCATGGCGGAGGGCGGCAGCCCAGACGGGCGGGCAGGGCCGGGCTCCGCAGGTAACGTGCGCGCGGCCACTGGGCCGCGGGGCGTGTGGGGATGGCGAAGGGCTGGCTCCGGCGTCCCTGCCGAGGTCCTGCGTCCTCGTCCCGGGCTGGCCGGGTCCACGGGGCAGCCAGGGAGCCGCACCCTGCAGGCCGGGGGTGGGGTTCAGCGCGGCTCGCAGTGCTGGGCGACCCCACCACGGACGCGCTGCCCTCTCCTCGGCCTCGAGTGCAGTCCCCGCGCTAGATTTTCTTTCCGGTGGAACTTGCTCGTAACTTCCTTCCCGTTAGCCGATACAGATTTGATATGACCCAACCGCAAAAGTAGGACGTGGGCCACCTTCCAGCTCTGAGCGCACGGATCAGGAAAGCCAGCCAGAGGGTAGCCCTAGGGAGGGCA
Organism: Homo sapiens; assembly: GCF_000001405.40. Taxonomy (NCBI): domain Eukaryota; kingdom Metazoa; phylum Chordata; class Mammalia; order Primates; family Hominidae; genus Homo; species Homo sapiens. The sequence continues at coordinate 238,427,505 of NC_000002.12, forward strand.
GGCACTTTTTCACCATTCTGCCGCCCACGGCGTGTCCGGTGGTACAGCGGGGGGCAGCCTTCCCACCCACCACAGGCACAGACCAGGGACAACGGGGACGCCGTCTCCAGCGAGCTCGTCAGTGACACAACATGTCCAGGGGCCTTTGGCCCACCAGCAAGGGAGGCAGATAGAAAGGCTCACACCCACCTTCCAAAATAACTGTCCTACTTAGGGTCTCCACCTTGCAGTGTCCCTACCATGCAGATGTGAAGGAAGCGGTCAGGACAGGTTCCCGTTTCCCGGTGGTGTGGTGGGAGTTCCTTCTTGCTGGATTTCTGAGCTTGCCATTCGCGCCAATAGTTTCGTGTGTTCTGGGCTTTCTTTACATGCCTATATTTGTCTTTGGAGGGGTTCCTCTCCTACTTAGTAATAAACCAATACATTTCTTAAACATCTTAAAAGATTGACTTGGAGACTGGTGCAGATAGGCTTTTCCATCCATCCCTCCCTCTGCACCTCCTTCCAATCATTTAACAGACTTGTATTGAAGACCTGCTGTTGGCTAGACCCAGCAGAGGATACTGCAGTGACCAGAAAAAGCCAGACAAAGCATCTACCATCCTGGGCTTTGGTTGGCGTTGACTTTGACTTCAGAGACAGCCAGGACCTTAGGGTCTAGGATGTCATCTCATGTGAGAGTGAGAGACGGAATGATGCGTGTTCCGTGGGAAAAAGAGGACCAACAGCTACTTCCCAGTATAAAGAGAGTTCCTGGGGAATAAACACTGGCTTTGTCGGCTGCACAGGTCTCCTTTTTTTTTGAGACGGAGTTTCGCTCTTGTTGCCCAGGGTGGAGTGCAGTGGCGTGATCTCGGCCCACTGCAGCCTCCGCCTCGGGGGTTCAAGCGATGCTCTGGCCTCAGCCTCCCTAGTAGCTGGGATTACAGGTGCTGGCATCATGCCCGGCTAATTTTTGTATTTTAGTAGAGACGGGGCTTCACCATATTGGCATATTGGCCAGGCTGATAGCGAACTCTAGACCTCAGGTGATCTGCCCGCCTCTGCCTCCCAAAGTGCTGGGATTACAGGCGGCAGCCACCACACTCAGCTGAGGGCTCCTTTTTATATCCTCATGCACTGCTGTTTTGTTATTCAGTGTGTTTCGGCCTCGGGTAGAGGGGCAACAGATTTTCAGTTGAAGCTTAAGTGCTATCCTGGGGCAGTTGTGTTGTCATTGGAGTAGTTGATCAGCGAAACACAAACTTGAAGTTGCTTTTGAATCTGGAGCTGGGGAAAGATTCTGAGTCTACTTTGAGCAGGGCCAGGAATGGATAGCACAGAGGCCAGCAGAGGGGGCCCAGAAGAGGGCTCAGCAAAAGTCCTGTGGCCGCCATTTACCTGTTGGTTATTGCCCTACACCTGAATCTTTCCCACTCCGACTTTGAACTTTTTCACTCTGTAGTAACCGCAACTGTGGAGTAATTACAGGGGAGGATAGTTACTGAAGGAAGACTGGGGTGGTGGCTTAAAGAGCTGTTCATGCCGGCTTGTTGATCTGCGGCGAGTCTGGTTGTGGGATCAGCATGAGCAACTCAGTGGACTGTCAAACCCTGCAGAGCCGGGACACTTACTCATCACCCCCGTTTCACCTGTGGTTGAGTCTCATGTACAGTAGTACTGAAAAGAGATTAATTTTAATATAAAAAACAATGTCAGCATCTGGAAAGAGCCCCCTTATGGAGGGGGTGCTTTATACCTGCCTGTCTGGTCTCACACTAGGACAGCATGGCAGAGCAGGGACTTGAATCCAAGTGGTCTGAGTTTTTGCTCTTTACTTACACACGAATCTGTGTAACTATTTTTACAAAACTCTTAAATCTTCAGGAGTTTATTTTGGGTTATGATGTGAGGTGAATAACTCAATTATTTCCTAATAAGTATCTGATTGTACAAATGCTGTTTGTTGAATACTCTTTTCCATTCTCGCTGATTGTGATGCCGGTTTATCACATTCAGGCATACCTTGGGGATAGTGTGTGTTCAGTTCCAGAACACTGTAATAAAGTGAATACTGCAGTAAACCAAGTCACATGAAATTTTTGGTTTCCCAGTGCATATATAAGTTATGTTTACATGATACTATGATCTATTAAGAGTGTAATAGGCCAGGCGCCAGTGGTTCATGGCTGTAATCCCAGCACTTTGGGAGGCCGAGGCAGGCAGATCACGAGGTCAGGAGATCAAGATCATCCTGGCTAACATGGTGAAACCCCTTCTCTACTAAAAATACACACACAAAAAATTAGCCAGGTGTGGTGGCGGGTACCTGTAGTCCCAGCTACTTGGGAGGCTGAGGCAGGAGAATGGCGTGAACCCGGGAGGCGGATCTTGCAGTGAGCCGAGATCACGCCACTGCACTCCAGCCTGGGCCACAGAGTGAGACTCCGTCTCAAAAAAAAAAAAAAACCAAGTACAATAATACCATTATGTCTAAAAATGTACACGTTTTAATTTAAAAATACTTTATTGCTGAAAAATGCTAACCATCATCTGAGCTCTCAGTGAGTCACAATCTTTTTGCTGGTGGAGGGTCTTGCTCCAGTATTGATGGCTCCTGACTTATCGGGGGCTATGGTAATTCTTAGATGACAGTGAAGTTTGCCATATCGTCTGGCTCTTCCTTTGATGAGATTTCTCTGTAGCATGAGACGTTGTTTGATGGCATTTTACCCACAGTAGCGCTTCTTTAAAAATTGGAATCAGTCCTCTCTAACCCTGCTGCTGCTTAATCAACTAAGTGTATGTGGCCTTCTAAATCCTTTGTTGTCATTATGACAGTGTCCACAGCATCTTCACCAGGAGTGGATTTCATCTCAAGAAACTGCTTTCTTTGCTCATCCATTCAAGTTTGATCATGCGATTGCAGCAGTTCAGTCACATCTTCAGGCTGTAATTCTAGTTCTCTTGTGATTTCCACTGCATCTGCAGTTACTTCCTCCATTTAAGTCTTGAGCCCCTCAAAGTCATCCATGTGGGTTGGAATTAACTTCTTTCAAACTCCTTTTGATATTTTGACCTCCCATGAATCACAAATGTTCTAAATGACATCTAGATTGGTGAATCCTTTCCAGAAGGCTTTCAGTTCATTTTTGCGCAGATCCATGAGAGGAACCACTACCTATGGCAGCGATAGCCTGACAAAATGTATTAAATGATGATAACACGTGAAAGTCAGAATGACTCCTTGATCCATTGGCTGCGGAATGGCTGTGTTCGCAGGCATGAAAACAGCATGAATCTTGTACATCTCCATGAGAGCTCTTCGGTGACTAGGCATATTGTCAGCGAGCAGTAGTATTTTGAAAGGAATCTTGTGAGCAGTAAGTCTCAACATTGGGCTGAAAATATTCACTAACCATGCTGTGAACAGATGTGCTGCCACCTGGGCTTTGTTGATCCATTTATAGTGCGCAGGCAGGAGTTTTGGAATGGTGAATGAACACTGACTTCCACTTAAAGTCACCAGCTGCGTTAGCCCCTAACGAGAGTCAGCTTGTCCTTTAAAGCTTTGACGCTAGGCATTGCCTTCTCCTCTCTAGCTATGAAAGTCCTAGATGGCATCTTTTTTTCCAATAGAAGGCTGTTTCTTCTACATTGAAAATCTGTTGTTTAGTATAGCCACCTTCATCAATTATCTTAGCCGTGTCTTCTGGATAACTTGCTGCAGCATCCACAGCAGCACTTGCTGCTTCACTTTGTACTTTTGTGTGATGGAGATGGCTTCTTTAAACCTCGTGAACCAACCTCTGCTACCTTCACTCTTTGCTTCTGCACCTTCCTCAGCTCTCTCAGGCTTCATAGAATTGGAGAGAGTTAGGGCCTTGCTCTGGATTAGGCTTTGGCCTAAGGGAATGTTGTGGCTGGTTTGATCGTATCTCCAGACTACTCAGATTTCCTCTATATCAGCAATAAGGCTGTTTTGCTTTCTTATCAATTGTGTGTTTACAGGGGTAGCACTTTTAATTTCCCTCAAGCTCTTTTTCCTTTGCATTCACAACTTGGCTGTTTGGCACAAGAGGCCTATCTTTGAACCTTCCCAGCTTTCCACATGCCTTTCTCATTAAAATTAATCATTTCCAGCTTTTAATTTAAAGTGAGAGATGTGTGACTGTTTCTTTAACTTGAACACTCAGAAGCTGTTGTAGGGTTATTAATTAGCCTAATTTCAATATTGTGTCTGGGGAACAGGGAGGCCTGAGGAGAGAGTGGGAGCAGCTGGTTGGTGGAGCAGTCAGAACACAGACCACGTTGATGGATTAAGTTCATTGTCTCATATGGCACAGTTTGTGGCACCCCAAAACAATTACAATAGTAACATCACAAATCATTCATCACCATAACAGATAAAATAATAATGAAAAAGTTTGAAATATTGCAAGAATTACCAGATTGTGACCCAGAAGACACAAAATGGACACATCCTGTTGGACAAATAGCTCCAAAAGACTTGCTCAGCACAGGGTTGCCACAAACCTTCAGTTTGTAAAAAAACACAATTACGTGTGAAGCTTGATAAAGTGAAATGCAGTGAAATGAAGGCTGCCGGTATTAGGTTGTTTATACTGAGATCTTTCTGGGCAGCTGATGGTTTGATTTTCTTTTTTATTCTGATGAGTGTTCTGTTACCTAGTAGGGTAGGTCTTTTCTCTGTACACTTACTAAAAACCAAAAAAGTTCTTCTCCCTTATATTTTAAAATAAACTTTAGAATATTTTTTGTGACATCTGATAACAAAATCCCAAAGAAATGGGTCACGCTTTATTTAAAATTCCTTGATTATTGAATCTTTTAATCCAAGTACTTGGTGTTTTTTCTGCTTATTCTGTTCTTTTGTGTTGTTTTTGAGTTTTATAGTCTTCATTAAATGGGCTGGATTTATATTTATGTACATGTGTTTTTAACCTTCGTTTTTATTGAGGTGGGACTTCTCTATGGTCAAGTGCACCTGTCTGAGGAGTTTCTTAGGCAGGCCTCCCTGTGGCCGTTGCCCAGGGCAGCGTGGGAGGGAGTCACCCGTGTAGCAGATAGCAGCATTTGCTCAGCCGTTGGATTTTGCCGTATGTCTTTTTTGTAGTGAAGGAGATGACTATGTTCTCCTTCATAGTTGCCCAGTATTAAGATATTCCCAAATACCAGTACTAAGATATTTGCTAGATTCTTTGATACAATATTGATTCAATCTGCTGATATTTTCTTTTTTCTTTTTCTTTTTTTTTTTGAGACCGAGTCTCACTCAGTCGCCAGGCTCTGGAGTGCAGTGGCGCGATCTTGGCTTACTGCAACATCTGCCTCTGGGTCCAAGCAATTCTCCTGCCTCAGCCTCCTGAGTAGCTGGGACTACAGGTGCGCGGCACCACGCCCAGCTAATTTTTTGTATTTTCAGTAGAGATGGGGTTTCACCATGTTGGCCAGGATGGTTTTGATCTCTTGACCTCGTGATCTGCCCGCCTCGGCCTCTCAAAGTTCTGGGATTACAGGCGTGAGCCACCTCACCTGGCTCAATCTGCTAATTTTTTCTTTAGGATCTTGCATCCGTATTCTTCAGGTTTGCCTTATCAGTGGATTCTTTGACACAATATTGATTCAATCTGCTGATATTTTCTTTAGGATCTTGTTTCTTTATTCTTCAGTAGGTTTGGCTTATAGTTCCTGGGCCCCATCAACTTTTAAAAAATTATTCTTGTCAGCGTTGGTGTCAGGAGTGTGCTAATTTAATAAGGGAAGGTTTCTACTATTTTCTGTGATTTATTTCTTTTGTTTTTACAGACAGGGTATTGCTGTGTTGCCCAGGCTGATCTTGAACTCCTGGCCTCAAGTGATCCTGCCTCAGCCTCCTGAGTAGCTGGGATTACAGGCGTGCCACCATGCCCAGCTTGTGATTTATTTCTTGAGCATTTGAAGGTGCCCCGTAGCTGGGAGAGGGAAGGCTCGCTGCAGATGGCACCCCCTTTTGGTTAGTCTTGGCAGGGCCTCCATGAGCTAACAGGAGCCCCTCTCTTCAGTGCAGGTCGTAATCTGAAGGAGTGGCTGAGGGAGCAATTTTGTGATCATCCGCTGGAGCACTGTGAGGACACGAGGCTCCATGATGCAGCTTACGTCGGGGACCTCCAGACCCTCAGGAGCCTATTGCAAGAGGAGAGCTACCGGAGGTGAGCGGCGCTGCCCAGGGCTGGTCCGGGTACTAGGGCCCTGAAGGTCTGTGTGAAGCTGAGCCCCACAGTCGCTGTGCAGATGAAGACCTTGATGTTGGGAGGAATGTGTTCCAGTTTTAGAGGACGGGGATAAAGGAGACTGAGGCAGCATGGTCAGAGTTGTAGGAGACAGCCAGACAGTGTGGGCAGGGAGACCTGAGTTCAGGTCCTGCTCTGCCATTAACCTTAGTGTTTTCTGGCAACTTCTGGCCTTCTGTGGGCCTCAGCCTCCTGATGTCACTCCTGAAGGTACCACTGTTTCCCTCTTCAGTGGCGGCCCTGCCCCATCTTGGGTTTCTCGTGGCTCTTAATTGCAGGCGCTTCTGTACATTCACCCTGCTTCACCACCTTCCCTAGTGCCCTTTCCTCTAGCTTCTCAGGCCCTCAGTCATCTGCCCCCGGGACCTGGGCCTCAGCCTTAGGCCCTTTTACCTCATCAGCCTTCTCCTTTCTGTTCCCCTCATCAGTGGTCCCCTGTCCTGGCCTTGCCAAACTCTGCCTGTCCCCACAAAATGGCTCCAGCCCTTCCTTCGCAGCAAGTGATGCTTGCCCTTCCCTCTCCCTGCTCAGGACACCTGGGGGAGCAGAGTCTGCTTGCTCTCTGGACTGTTCTCTGATTGTTCTGCGGGTCTAAGGTTGCAGTCCCAGCTAGAGCTTAAACTCAGTAGCAGCCAGGAACTATCCATGCTGCTGTTGTGTTTCCGCGTTCCCTTCAGGACCCAAATGCCAGTGCGGTGGTAGAAGCAATGCCTACATGTTGGCGCCGAAACTAATGCCACAACTTTTCTTTGCATAGTTCCCAAGAAAAGGATTTCTAACAGTACAGGAATGTATTTCTTCATTTCCTTCTAGTGTCTTAGCAGTATTTCATCAAAACAGATATCAGTATTTAAAAGAAAAATACCAGAAAGGACTGTCATAGGAAGACAGATGGATTACGCACAGATATTTAAAGTGGGTGACTCAAGCCCAAAGAAAACCTTAATTCAACTTGCAGATGTAACAGAATGAAATAGAGTTCGGTGAGGTCTCAGCCCAAGTCTTTCTATATTGCATTTCCCAGCACTGTTTCTCCTCCTTCTTTTACTCAGGCTCAGGGCATCTCTGGTTCTTTACATTTTCCCATTGCTATTTGCTTCTTTGGTGATGAGTTCCTGGAGTGTTCCTCGACTTTCCTGGGCAGTCAGAGCCTAGGCGCAGCTGGCGGAGGAGCCCCGAGGGCTGGCTTGGGAGCTGCTTCCCCTGCATGTTCCTGGGCCCTGGTTTGGTGCTCTGGGCCTCTGAGCTTTGTTCTCAGTGACACTGGGAGCTCGCTGTGAACCCGTTGCGGTCGCTGCCTTGCTGGGTCGGTGGGTGGGGCAGGCAGTTGCAGTCTGATTGTGACATCTGCCGAGAGCTGAGTCTGGACAGGTTCCTCTGCCGCTCTTGGCCAGGGGTGTAGCCCCCGTGCCACCTTAGTGATTCCTTCAGGCCATCATTTGTGCAGTGTTAGAGGTTGGGGGCCTACATAGTCACCTAGTCCTGGTGAGGATGCTGAGGCCTAGAGAGGCCCAGCCTCAAGCCTTCACAGATGGTAACTGGGGAAGAGCAGCCTAGGGGCTCTTACCCAGACTCCCGGGCGAGTGCGCTGTTCATTTGGCACTGCCTCCCAGGCAGACCCTTCCCACCTTTGTAGAGGAAGGCACTTCAGATGGCAGTCAGGAAATCTAAGAACTAGAGATCTTAGTTTTGGTGCTGATCATTCTGCAGGTGCCTTGAGTTTCCTGTCTCTGGAATGGGGCTCGTAATGCCTGCCCTGCCATGCCCCGGTCCCGCAGGGGAAAGGTGTGAGAGCATTTCAGAAGGCAGAGCCCAGGTGGAGGCGTTATTAACCAGAGGGGGACCGTGTCCATGCTGCCAGGGTGAGGGGGGCAGTGCAGCCCGTCCCTGTCCTGCGGCTGCCTCTCATGAGCCCCCTTGTGTTCCTCCTGCAGCCGCATCAACGAGAAGTCTGTCTGGTGCTGTGGCTGGCTCCCCTGCACACCGTTGCGAATCGCGGCCACTGCAGGCCATGGGAGCTGTGTGGACTTCCTCATCCGGAAGGGGGCCGAGGTGGATCTGGTGGACGTAAAAGGACAGACGGCCCTGTATGTGGCTGTGGTGAACGGGCACCTAGAGAGTACCCAGATCCTTCTCGAAGCTGGCGCGGACCCCAACGGAAGCCGGCACCATCGCAGCACCCCTGTCTACCACGCCTCTCGCGTGGGCCGGGCAGACATCCTGAAGGCCCTCATCAGGCCAGTACTGTGGAGCTCGCCTGGCTCCTGCAGCCACTTTATTTTTCTTCTCTGTATTTTGCAGTTTTTCTGTCTTTAGAATTCGGCTCTTTAGATGACTCGCCTGTTTTGCTGGCCTTTGTAAAGAGCTGCCTCTTGGCTTTATCAGGTCTCTTTGTTTTTTGGCTTACCTGTTCCTTTATATTTACTTTTATCTTTTTCTAATTTTTAGTTTTTTTTCCCTTTTGAGTTGACTGCTTATTCATTTTTTCTTAAGAATGCAAACTTGCAACGTTAATTTACCTTTTACTATAGTTTTGACCATCCTCTCTAGGCTTTTTCCTTATTATTTAAATAGCTCTAATTGAAGTTGATTTCCTCTTTGTTCTTAGAGTTATGGAAGATAAGGTTTTAATAATGCTTTTTGTTGTATTATGCTCAGATAATATGGACCAGATAGTTTTCATTTTGGGGATTCTTTGACGTAAAAAAATTATTATTATTATTATTTTTGTTTAGTTTTTGAGGTGGGGTCTTACTTTGTTGCCCAGGCTTGAGTGCTGTGGCGTGATCATAGCTCACTGCAGCCTCAAACTCCTGGGCTCAAGTGACCCTCCTGCCTTAGCCTCCTTAGTAGCTGACACTACAGGTGTGCACCACAATGCTGGCTTCTTCTTATTTTTTAATGTCAGACTACATTGTTGTGAATGCTTGAAACAAGTACATGACCATGGGTGTTTTGTTTACATATTATACTTTGTTAGGTTAGCACTCTCTCTCTCTTTTTTTTTTTTACATTTTTGTCATTGGATCTGCCAGAAATTTAAAGAATTCTGTTAGTCTCTGATCACATTTTTGATTTTGCCATTTTTTCCCCTTGTACTTTGAATAGGTTTTGCTTTGAAAATTTTGATGCTAATTGAACTCATAAAAGTTCCTGCTTACATATTATGCTCTATCAAAACAAGAGTACTATTAGTTTTATTTAAGGCCCATTTACATGGCATTATGTAATATTTAGTTTTAACCCTAGGGAGTTTCAGTAGTTCTGTTTGTGCTTGTGTAGAACCATTTGTCTAGGAGTTTTTGCTTTTTAATACAGTGAACATTATTGCTATAGCTGATGTTGGGGTCTGTTTCTGTTATCTTTCTGTTTTGTAACTGTTTCCATTTGATATCTTTTCTTCTTATATGTTGTTTTTTTCTTTCCTCTTCCATTATACTAGGTTTACAGTCTTATTTTATTTTATTTTTTTTGAGACAGAGTCTTGCAGTGTTGCCCAGGCTGGAGTGCAGTGGCGCGATCTTGGCTCACTGCAACCTCCGCCTCCTGGGTTCAAGCAGTTCTCCTTCCTTAGCCTCCTGAGTAGCTGGGACTACAGGTGCCCACCACCATGGCCAGCTAATTTTTGTATTTTTGGTAGAGATGGGGTTTCACCATGTCAGCCAGGATGGTCTCGATCTTCTGACCTCGTGATCCGCCCGCCTCGGCCTCCCAAAGTGCTGGTATTACAGGCGTGAGCCACAGTGCCTGGCCTACAGTCTTATTTTAATCATACTAACGGTTGCCTTTTTTTTTTTCTTTTTCAACCAGATTGTTTTTATTTTTCATGTTTCTAGTGACTTCTTTCCAGCAAAGATGCTTTTTTCCCTCTTTTACTCTGGAGACCAAATTGCTCTGCATTTGGACAGGGTGCAGTTTAGGTAGCTGGTTCTCAGGGAAATTTTTCTGTATTGAAAAGGATTAGGTAAGGGTTCTGTTGTTATAGGCTGCAGCCAGGGTGGCTCTGATGAGCAGGGACCTGGGATTCCCTTTACCCAGCACAGAATATGGTCTTTAAATTAGGTACTGAGAATATGTTTTTCCTGTTGAAGGGTTTTATAAATTAAATAGCTACACAATTGGCTTTTGGGAGGCTAAAGAAATGAGAGTGGTAAGGTTGTTATGTTAGAGGGTGATAAAGCTGCAAGGCTTTTTCCCTCTTTTTAAGGATTTCTAACCTGATTATCTAAGCTACTTCAGTCCCTTGTCTTTGCACCTTGGAGAATGTAAGCTATTAATTTGGAAATGCTTTTGAGTAGGATCAATCAGTGAAATTCCATGTTGGTTCCAGAAAGCCCTTTGGGTATTTCAGTCAATTCATGATGCACAACTGCTTTGAGTTACCTGCAGGCTGCCCGAGAAGTACATATACAGATGCCCTTCATTTTTTTTTTTTTTTTTTGAGACGGAGTCTCACCCTGTCGTCCAGGCTGGAGTGCAGTGGCGCTATCTCGGTTCACTGCAATCTCCGCCTCCAGGGTTCACACCATTCTCCTGCCTCAGCCTCCCAAGTAGCTGGGACTACAGGCACCCACCACCATGCCCGGCTATTTTTTTTGTATTTTTAGTTGAGACAGGGTTTCACCATGTTAGCCAGGATGGTCTTGATCTCCTGACCTTGTGATCCGCCCGCCTCGGCCTCCCAAAGTGCTGGGATTACGGGCGTGAGCCACCGCGCCCGGCCACAGATGCCCTTCTTGCGAAAACGTTACTAAGACATCTTACTCCCTCACTGGAGCACGGGACATTACTTTCACAAGGTGGTACCAAGAACATATATTATTCTATTAAAAAGTTTTCTATATTCTAAATTCTAAGATAATTGACACTTGGATAGTAGAGTGATACGGTTAAGTTACTGAACAGTGATGTTTTCTGGAAATAACTTAGCTTCTGCCTTCCCTGTGCCAGTTCCCCCTTAGGGCTCTCATCTTTCACTGTTGCAATTTTCTGTCCCTCTGTAAGTCACCTCCATTTTGTTATTTGTAAATTCACTTGATATGTATTGCCCATATTTTAGAAAAAAGGTACAGAGTGGTATTTCTGTATGTGCAAAAGTTATATTGATTTATTGAGTTCTCCCAGTGCTTCCTTGCCAGTGATATTAAAAGCAATAGAGGAATTTGGAAAATATTCAGGATTAAAATTAACTGGATCTCATCCAGTATATTTTTATGAGTGGATGAAGGGCTATCTTTCCCACAGCTCAGCTAATACCAGATTGTCATATTGCCCAAAATTACAAACGTTTTGGAAGATTTTCCCTAAGAATAAGCAGAAAAAAACCATCACTGCTTGAGATCTAGTTTTCCTTTGCTTAATTGGTTGGGTGTATGAAATGAAATATCAATTTCTTGTTGGCTCTGTGTGTTTTAGAATACTTCCCCTGTCACTCCTAGAATGTCTTTGAGAGTGGGTGGTGTTTGTGTTTGTAGTGGAAGCTTCATTGTCATGTGAGTGTGTTGGTTGGAGAGTGGGTGGTGTTTGTGTTTGTAGTGGAAGCCTCGTTGTCATGTGAGCGTGTTGGTCCGTGTGCTGGTCCTCAGGCCTGTGCTTCCTGAAAGCAGCAGTTTTGGTTCCAGGGGAGCGTTTCTCTGGACACTCAGGATGGTGCTGAGGAGACGGTTAGAAAGCGTGGCTGCTGGCCTTACCTGTTGGCGAGCGCTGTGATTGCGGCATGGAAGGTGACGCAGTTCTGTCCTCCCTGCACCCTGCGTGTTCTGGTCCCGTCATCGCTGCTCCCCACATATTGTCCTTTCCTATTACAAATGAAATACTTTGGTGGTGACGAATCTTGTGAGACATTGTGGGACTGTGTGGGCTGATGAAAGCTCAAGAAAACAGGTGCCAACTCTAATGTTGACTCAGATTAGAGTCATGTCATGCGTTTTGGGCAGGAATCGCAAAGGGAGGTTGTGTTCGCATTCCCCTCTTATCAGGCTGCGTGTGATCGCAGTGTGTCCATTACTGCCGATACTCACTTCCGTTATTTGATTAAGGTGGTGCCTGCCATGTTTCGCTCCCGTAAAGCTATTCCTTTTCTCTCTGTAAGTAGTATTTTGAGGAGAGGTGCTTTACAACCATGTATATGTCCTGTTCATCTCAGATTTTTAATTTGTTCATTTATTAATTTGTTAGTATAGACTCATGGTTTCTGATATTATCCAATGAGTTATAATTCATTATTATTGTTACTTATTTTGATATTCGTATTGTCTCAGTTTGTCTACTGAGAGCTGCTTCAAGCCATCTCTGTCCTTTTAACATGACCTTAGTCATTCTGTGAGCAGCTCCTCACTTTCTCCTGTAACAAGATATTCTCGGCTCATCTTGCACTTTGACTGCCTCAGTCCTGGAATAAGTCATTTCTCCTAGGAGTCCTGGTTTCTTTTAGTGAAGAATGGTGTGCAGAACCCTATATTTGGACACTAGGAGTGCCTATTGCTTTTGGGGTATCACTGTTTTCATGCCCTCCTATTGGACCAAGCTAAGGTTGTATGTACATTCCACATTTCTGTTTATATTTCTTTATATACATGGACAGGAGTTCACCTGGCTACCTTTAATCCAGGCTCATGCCACAAGGTTCATCCTAGTTTTCTGCCTTTCGCGTTTACTATTCTCCTTTCACCAGTGAGAAACCCAGTTCCCCTGCCCTCCACATACTGCCTGTGTTGTCCTGTTGTCCCCTGTGTGGCACCAGCCAGCCCCCCTTTTGCTGCCTCTTCCCATACATGGCTCCTGACCTGTTTGGGCTCTCACCTCTCATGCCAGGTGGCCTTCTCACCTTGTCAGGACTCTGACTCTGAGCCAGGGCCCCCTCATTGACTGATCCCTGTTCAGAGTGAAAATGATTGGTAGTTTGCACTTGCCCTGGAAGAACCCTAAACGTCTGATAGAGAGCCGTATATTTGGTCATCTCTGAGTACAGTGACAAGGACAAGTAAAGTAAATGGAGTCATTTAGAGATTGGCTTTGGTGGAGAATGAGGCTTCTAAGTCAGGTGGCTCCTACACCTGCCCTATGTGAGATTTGTTTCCTCCCATCGGGCTGTCACTGGGGATTAGGAGGGGCGGCCTAGGGGTTACCTCACTCATGGCTGTGTACATGCCCACGTGGAGAGCTGTGTGACGCTGCCCTGCCGACAAGCTGTGCGTCCTGGCCTGGGGCCTTCCAGGTGAACGTGACGCTGGGAGTGGTCTGTGCTAATCATGGGAGTCTGGATGTTTAGTGTGCCTGAAAAGAAAGATGTCCTAGTGGGCAGCGCATCATGGCGCCAGCTGGATACCTGATTGAGTTCATGCGTTTCTTTTTGCTTTCAATTTTTTTTTTTTTTTTTGAGATGGAGTCTCGCTCTGTTGCCCAGGCTAGAGAAGTGGCATGATCTCAGCTTACTGCAACCTCTGCCCCCTGGGTTCAAGCAATTCTCCTGCTTCAGTCTCCTGAGTAGCTGAGATTACAGGTGCCCGCCACCACACTTAGTTAATTTTTGTATTTTTAGTAGAGACGGGGTTTTGCCACGTTGGTCAGGCTGGTCTCGAACTCCTGGCCTCAAGTGATCTGCCTGCCTTGGCCTCCTGAAGCGCTGGGATTACAGGCATGAGCCACCGCGCTTGGCCAAGGTATAAATTTTTGGAAATCTAGCTTGTATCCTTGTCTCCTTGATCCTGTTCTCTCCCTCCCCAGTAGATAACCATTTAAAAAGTTCCATGGTTTACCATAAGCACACTGCAACCTCCTCCCCCACAGAAACAGTAGTGGACTGTACACTTTCACTGTGCTGCTTTCCCTCCCTCTTCCTGTGCTCGGAGGCTGCTCCGGAGCAGTGTACAGCGACCCCCTCACTCCTTTTCAGAGCTGCACAGCGTGGCGTTGTGCAGATGAGCTGCAGTTCATTCAGCCAGTCCCGTTAGTGGACACGTGGGTGGTTTACTGTCTCCAGCTGTTAGGGATGGTGCTTTAATGAATTGCCTTGTGCATACATCTTTCCATAGTTTTGCAGATGTATTTTGGAAATAGATCCCGAGCAGTGTGATTGATGGGTCAAAGGGTAAATGCATATGTAATTTTGCTAGCGATTGACAGATTGCCCACTCCACAGGGGGAAAGTTCACTTTTCATTGCTCAAACAATGAATGAGATTTCCTGTTTCCTAAAAGCCTGGTCAATAAATTTTTGGATTTTTCCCAATCTGATAGGTGAGAAGTGATATCTCAGAATAGTTTTAATTTGCATTTCTGTTCCGAGTGAGGCTGAGTGTGTTTTCATGTGGCTAAGAGCCATTTGTAGCTGTCCATCTCTCTAAATTTTTTTTTTTTTTTTTTGAGATGAAGTCTCGCTCTGTTGCCCAGGCTGGAGTGCAGTACCATCTCAGCTCACTGCAACCTCCGCCTCCCGGGTTGAAGCAATTCTGCCTCAGCCTCCCGAGTAGCTGGGATGACAGGCACACCCACACCCGGCTAATTTTTGTGTTTTTAGTAGAGATGGGGTTTCGTCATGTTGGCCAGGCTGGTCTTGAACTCCTGACCTCAGATGATCCACCTGCCTTGGCCTCCTAAAGTGCTGGGATTACAGGCATGAGCCACCACGCCCCGCCCCATCTCTCTAATTTTTCTGTAGGGCTATTGATCTTTTTCTTCTAGAAGCTCTTTATACGTTAAGGGTATTAACCCTTTGTAACCTTTTCCCCCAATTTTTCATTGCTTGTTTTACTTTTACTTACGTTGTTTTGTCATGCTTATGCTATGCAAGAGTTTTTCTTTTAAAAATTTTCATGTTAAAAACATTTTATTTGTGGATTTTGTGTCAGAATTAGGCAAATTTTACTTAGAGGTTTTTTTCTAGTTTTTGCATGGTTTCATATTTTACGTTTTAAGTTATGGTCAGTTTGGAATTTATTCCAGTATATGCTATGGTGAATGGATATACTTTTACCTTTTTCCATATGGATGTCCAGTTACCCCAAAAAACACTTAGTAAAACATCTACACCCTCCCTTGTTTGAGATACTGCCTTTATCATATATGAAATTTCTATGTGCAATTTGGCCCATTTCAAGATTTTCTGTAAAGTTCCATCATTCTGTCAATTTTGTTCACATACCAGTGCCACAGTTTTATTTTTAGCCTTTATAATAAACTTCACTTATGGTGTGGCTACCTCCCACCACCCCCTTCTTGCTTGTCTTTTTCATATTCTTTCATCTTACAGATGAACTTTATATATCAACTAATGTAGCTCCGGGGATGCTATTTTTATTTATTTATGTTTGTAATCAACTTATTTAGTTCTAGTAATGACATTTTCATTTATAAAATAAATTTAGGGAGAATTATCTTCTTGATGTTGAGTCTTAATCAGTACTGTGCTATGTCTTTCCATTCTCTTAGGTCTACTTTTGTTGACTTTAAGTAGTAGTTTATCATTTTTGTTATGCAAATTTTGGACATTTATTATTAAGTTTATGCTTAGATATGTCATAGTAAAATTTATTTTGCTATCATAAATGGAATTTTCCCTTCTACTTTTTATATGAA
The DNA here is from genome assembly GCF_000001405.40 of Homo sapiens. Classification (NCBI taxonomy): domain Eukaryota; kingdom Metazoa; phylum Chordata; class Mammalia; order Primates; family Hominidae; genus Homo; species Homo sapiens. The sequence continues at coordinate 238,443,352 of NC_000002.12, forward strand.
GCCTATTGGTTTGACAACCTGCTACTTCAATAAGTTCTCTCATTGCTTGTTAGTTGTTTTCCCATATTATTTAGGGCTTTTCAGACACATTGTATCCTCTGAAAATAGGAAATTTTTACCTCTTATTTTCCAACTTTATGCATTTAATTTCTTCCTCTTGCCTGATTGCACAGGGTACCTTTAACACCAGTGTTCAACAGGAGGCTGGAAAGCAGGAGTCTGTCTTGCTCCAGCTTTGGCCGGAGTGCTTCTAGCCTTTCCCTGTTAAATGAGATGCTGACTTCTGGCCTGAGGGAGTATGTTTTATCATGTTAAAGAAAAGCCATCACTTTCTGTTTTCTTGAGCATTTTTAAACATGCATAGCTCTTGAGTTTTGTCATATGCCCACCTTTTTTTTTTTTTCTGCATCTGCAGAGATAATCAGAGGATTTCCCCCTCAGCCTCATTTTACAATGGATTATATTAATAGAGTTTCTAATATTGGAGTTACCTGTGCATTCTTGGGATAACTCCCATGAGGTCATGGTATATTGCTTTCTTAATATACTTAAGGATTCTCTTTGGCTAAAATTTTATTGAAGATTTAAAAGTTGGTATTCCTAAATGAAATTAGCTGGTAGTTTTTCTTATGCTTTGGCCCTTGTTGGGCTTTGGGGTTATTGTGCCAGTTTCATCAGATGAATTTGTAAGTTTCTCTTCTTTTTCTTTGCTCTGAAATAGTTTAAATAGCCTTGGGATTATTGGACCTTTAATGGTTTGAAGGACTTCCCTTAGGAATTTTTCTGTGTGCGGGGATTCCAAGTTCTTTCCTGCTACCTTATCTTGCTGAACGTAGTGAAGCTATCTGATCTGTGGAGTCTCCTACAGCGCCTGGTGTCACTGAATCAAGGCCTTCTGCTCAGGGTGGCTGTGGGATTTGTTGGATCTGTGGGATCTGTGGGCTGTGGTCAGTCCCCTGCACAGTCTGACTTTCCCTTTCTTCCCTGCAGGTACGGGGCTGATGTTGACGTCAACCACCACCTGACTCCTGATGTCCAGCCTCGATTCTCCCGGCGGCTCACCTCCTTGGTGGTCTGCCCCTTGTACATCAGCGCAGCCTACCACAACCTCCAGTGCTTCCGGCTGCTCCTCCTGGCTGGCGCGAACCCTGACTTCAACTGCAATGGTCCTGTCAACACACAGGGATTCTACAGGGGCTCCCCTGGGTGCGTCATGGATGCTGTTCTGCGCCACGGCTGTGAGGCAGCCTTCGTGAGCCTGCTGGTAGAATTTGGAGCCAACCTGAATCTAGTGAAGTGGGAATCGCTGGGCCCAGAGTCGAGAGGAAGAAGAAAAGTGGACCCTGAGGCCTTGCAGGTCTTTAAAGAGGCCAGAAGTAAGTGGCTTGAGTTCAGCTCTGACTTGTGGGCTGGGTTGATTGAATGAATCAAGATGTAGCAATAAACAAAAAACAAAAACCTCCACCTGAGCACTTGGCCAAAATCTTCAGTTAGAACTCGCAGTTTTCCAGATGGTTGTTCAGATTGATCTTCTCTTTTTAAATTCCTGAATACCAAGAACTGATATCAGGGAATCTCTAAAAGTACATGTGTGTTGTCAGAACTCCTAGAATTATGCTCGCGCTCTCTTTTTTTTTTTTTTTTTTTTGAGGCAGGGTCTGGTTCTGTCACCCAGACTGGAGTACAGTGGTGCAGTCATGGCTCCCTGTAGCCATGACCTCCTGGGCTCATGCAATCCTCCCACCTCAGCCTCCCAAGTAGCTGGGACTGTAGGTGCACACCATGCCCAGCTAATTTTTGGGTTTTTTGTAGAGATGAGGTTTTGCTGTGTTGCCCAGGCTTGTGTTGAACTCCTGGGCTCAAGTGATCTGCCCGCCTCAGCCTCCCAAAGTGCTGGGATTACAGGCACGAGCCACTGCTTTGGCCTAGAGTTATATTCTCTTTATCCTTTTGCTCTGACCTGTGGCCCCAGATTCTTATAGACAGTGACTTCTTTTATGCCTGGTTTTTAAATGAGCCCTTAAAACAAATTGCAAGCGGGGCTTTCTAGGGTTCCTTACTCTCCTTTCTTCAATTCCACTCAAGTATCGCTACTTTGGATTGTGTGATAAGCCTAAATTTTGTAACAATAAAGTTCCTGGTCTGCTTATTTATGAAGAAAGATTTTGTTAACGATTAATGCATCAATAGCACCAGAGATTGGAATTGATCCATAGCTTGGTCTTGTTATCCGAGGCTCTCTGGGATTCAGACATTGACCTCATGTGTTGTCTTTAACCTCCTGCCCACATGTCACCCCCTCCCACCGCTCCCAGTCTGGGTCTTGAGACATCCAAGTTGATAACCTCTTCCTTCTCCCTGCCTCTCAAAGGACTTTAAATTCATTGTGTTTTTGTTACTGGATTTCCCTAAACCAGTTCATTAAAGCATGCTCCTGTGTAGCCTTCCCACAAATAGTTAATGAATGGTCAGCTGGGAGCTGTACTGATAGAAGCAGCAGCTTGCGTTCAGGACTGTTCCACTCCTCAGCTTCCTCGCTAATCGAGACAGAACTTGGCTGCGCTCTTTTCATTGGGGGCAAAGTCGTCAGCCTGTGCCCCTCAAGCAGTGCTCAGCCTGTGTTCCCCAGGCACTGGTGGAGCTTCAGGGATTGACTAAGGGAAGGGGCTGACAGAGGCTGGGCGTCCGCGGCCCGCACCTGCTGGGGCCTTCAGTGGTCCACTCTGATTTCTTTCTCTAGTGCATTAAACATGGTCGAGTTGTGATCCAGGGAGCAGATGCCCTGGGTTAACGAGGCTGGAAAGGTTTCGCTCTTTCCTGCGACAGAAGGAGCAGATAAGAAGACCTTCCTCCCTGGGGCCTGCTCTCCTCATCCATCAGGAAAAGCCATCACTTTGTGTTTCACTGAGCGTTTTGAAGTTGGTAGTGAGCATTGGTGCACTTCTGGCTGGCAGTCCCAGCTGCCTTTTCTCTCTATAACTGGAATAGAATGAACCTTCCTCTATCCCTCTCTTTCTTCCCACGGCCTTCAGGTGTTCCCAGAACCTTGCTGTGTCTGTGCCGTGTGGCTGTGAGAAGAGCTCTTGGCAAACACCGGCTTCATCTGATTCCTTCGCTGCCTCTGCCAGACCCCATAAAGAAGTTTCTACTCCATGAGTAGACTCCAAGTGCTGCGGTTGATTCCAGTGAGGGAGAAAGTGATCTGCAGGGAGGTGGACACCGAGCCCTGAGTGCTGTGCTGCTGCTGGTCTCCTGATGGCTGTTGCTGCAGAAGATGTCCTCGTAGACTGTCATTGCTCCTCAGGTGCCTGGGCCGCTGAACAGTCCTTGGGTCATTGTCAGCTGAGAGGCTTATACTAAAGTTATTATTGTTTTTCCCAAGTTCTCTGTTCTGGATTTTCAGTTGCATATTAATGTAACGGGCCATGGGGTATGTACATGTAGGGGCTGAGGTTGGAGGCCTACTAATTTCCCTGTAGGGAAGACTCCCAGCACTTCTGGAACTGTGCTTCTCTTTATTTTTCTACTTCTCAATTTGATGGTTCGATTAAAGCCTTCTAGTATCTCAATGAAAAGGGAGTTTCGTAAGCAAAATAGAGGACAGAAATGCAGTTCATGAACTTGCTGGTTGGTTTTTCCTGCTCCTGGGGTAACACATGCGCTTGTCATACACGCCCCTTCCTTGCCCCTTCAGTATTCTCTCTTTGCGATGGAGGTCTCATAGTGAGTGTCTTCACTCAAGGGTGGTTTCCTGGCTGCACGGCACCTGTTCCAACACCTACTGTGCCTCTCATCAGGTGTCACGATTTTTCTGCCACTTCACCTTAGGGAGCTTCCAGTGATTGATTTTAGGAGGCCCACACCAAACTCCCCAGGAAATGACTGCCTTCCTTGGGACCAAGGACCGTTCCAACAGCATTCACTGCCAGTTCTAATAGGCGAGGAAAATGCCCGAGGCGCTGTCTTCTGTCCCCCACACGTACCAGAAAGTGAAAAATGCAGCGAGTCCTCTGGGTGGTTATGAGCCTCCAGGCGCATGCTGTCCAGTGGACAGAACATCTGGCGGTTGGTTGATTGCTCTCTTTTGTCTTGGTCGCTGCTTCTAGAATCTATGCAGGGGATAGCAGTGAGGTCAGAAGTCTTTCCCGGGAGAGAGATGGCCTGGGTTATCATTGCTGATAGCTTTGGCTGCATGAGTTGGGCTTCCCCTTACCCAGGGCTGCACAGCCAGGTGTGAGGGTCACCGGCAGGTGGGCTGGTGGCTGCAGCCTCAGAGCCCTCCCAGGTTGCTGCTGTTTCCAGTGAATCACATTTCGTCATTTGAAGCCCATGAGGACCATTGTGTGGATCCATGGTGATTCTAGACTTCAGATATATTTAGGAAGGCGCAGATTTCAAATCTGTGTTTGATTTTCTGTAATAAGAGAAATCCAATTTGTAAAACTTGAACAATGATACCGTTTTATTTACTTAGTAGCATCACTGTGTGTCTTAGCAGGCAGGCAGTGTCTGGCCATTATTGCGTTCTACAGCCAGAGGATAGAATTCTATACCCCCAACCCCTTGTGTCACAAATGGGCTCTGTGTGGGTCACCCCAGCTGACCCGTGTATGTGCAGATGCAGTTCCGAAGGGAAGAACAGTCCTCGGGTGATTCAGAGGGGAAAATGCAATCCGGGAGGTGTTTCCTCAGCTGAGGTGACACTGTTAGAAGCTGTGATGGTTGTGTAAATGTGGGCTGTGTGCTGTTCCCGAGGGGAGCTTGGGATTGGGTCCTGCTGAAGCCAGGAGGGTCTTCCCAAGATAGGAGAGGAACCGCAGGTGGTGAGCGGCTGGGGAGGGCCAGGACAGCCGGGGCTGGGTGCTGCAGGGGCTTCAGCCCGGGAGAGGGGGTGGGCGTGTTCTTTGTGGTACCAAAGTGGGACTAGGACAAAAATTGGGCTGTGGCTGGGGCAGGAGCTATAGGGAGTTAAGGAATGATGATACGGAAGTTGGAGCCACCACCGTGGACTGGGCCTTGTCACTGGAGGTCGTAGGCAGTGGCTCATCACCCTGGTAGGGCTGATAGGGGCTTTCAGGGAGGCTGGTTAGCTCCCTGCACTCTGGCTCTTTACTGGCTTACTGTTTAGCTCCTCCCACCTCGAGGCTCTTCTTCCTGCCACCCTTTGGGCTCAGAGGAGGGTGGCTTTTTTCGAGGTGAGCCATGTTGTAGACACATGATACGCTCTGCGTCTGCTCTACTGAGTACTTTCTGCAGGGGCCTGTTAAGGACGAGGCCTCCCCAGCCCTGCCCGGTGCAGGAGGTGGCTCAGTTATTGAACCTTTTGGGAAGCAGCACCTGGGAATGCTGCCTCGTGGGAGTCCCATGCGTGAGTGTGGTGGTGTGACCTTCAGGCTGCACAGAGGCAAGGACCCAGATGTGGCAGCATGGGCGTCATGCTCCTTTGCACAGCCCAGGGCCTGTTTTGGAGGGACCAGGTCACTGCCCCTGGTCTCTCTAGGAGGAGTGGACTGAATGGATCGTTGCAGAGAAGACTCACCCAGACCTGGCCAGGGAATGATGTATCTGGGGAGAGAATGAGCTGGAGGAGGGGGCCTCTCATGGCCCTTCCCTGGCCTGTGGCCCAGCCTGGCTGGCCTGCAGGTGTCTAGGGTCTCAGCTTTTCATTTGCAGAGGACATGTTCAACTTCCTCTCTGTTCAAGCCAGCCTTTGCCAATTTTTTCAGAATCCAAACAATTTGGAGGTTTGGTATCTTGTTTCATAGCTGCCAAATATGAATCTGAAAACAGGGTGGGTAGCTAAGGTCATTCCTCCTGGGTTTTAGTGGCATTGCCTTCCTTCACTAAAGCTCCCTTTTTTTTCTGTTGGCAAGGACAGGTTACAGAATAGGAAGAGTAGCACTTTCCGCCTAAGCACTTTAGGAAATCACCTTTCTAAGCCCTGGGGCGCCCAAGTCCCATGGGACAGGGAAACGTGGTCCTCAGTGAGGCTGCTGCCTGGCTGGCCCGGAGTCCTCCCTAGGAGAGGGGCTCGATGGGCTGGGGGAAGGAGCCTGAAGGTTGCCCCTGGTTGCATCCCAGAAGCATCTGACTGTCACCACTGCCAGTGGCTGTGGAACAGTCCTGGGCCCTGGGCCTTGGCTGCTGTCAACAGATGGGCTGGGCTGGGCTGTGGTGGGGTGGGGGACAACGTTGGTAACTCTGAGAATTCAGCTTTGGAGTCCCGGGTGAGGGGTTTTAGATAAACCCATCAATATCACCCACATTCTGTGACTCTTTGCATCACTCGTGTTATTTATTTATTTATTTATATTCTGCCTTGTTCCAGAAAAGTGTTTAAGGCAACAATGCTTGTTTTTTGGTGTTTTCTTTTGACATTTGAAAATTTAGTACATTGTTAAAATGTACTTGTTAAACAGGTAATTTTAAAGAGAAGGAACAATTGTTTTTAGTAAGTTTTCTTTTTCCTTTTTCAATGAATTGATTCTTCAAATTAAAAGTTCTTGAGAGAAGGAGAGGAAGATACAGCAGACATAGGACTGAGCCAAGGAAGAGTCTGCCTGAGAGAGACGCTTGGCCTGTGCTTTGCTGCCATCCGTGCGGCCTTGGCCACATCCCTATTAACAGAGGCAGCTCCACTTCAGACAGGGACAAGGCTTCCTGCTGTGCCTTTCTGGCAGGGTTTTGTGGGGTCACATGGGAAGCAATGTGTTACGCAAGCAGTCTCCATGTGTGTGTAAACTGCTGTCCTGGTGACTTGTCCCTCTTCTTAGTGGAAATGCATTTGAGATGGTGACAGGGCTGGATGAACGTGTGACCCTGGGAGATCCGGGCTGGACTGTGGACCCCGATGGGCCAGAGTCCTTGTGGCCCACAGCATAGCACTGGGGACAGAGCGCTCTATGCAGGTGAGGCGTATGAGAACAGCATGGTAAATAATTGATGAAGTCACATTTGTTCAACTTAAAGGATTGTTCTTTATTCTGAAGTTATTTTCTTCCTTATTTGGATGATAAAATTTCCTTTTATGTAATGAAGGTAAAAGTAGAGGGCAATATTTTTGCTTTTTGAAATGCTCTTGGTTGCAAAACAAAATGTTGGTTGCTGTTTGTCAGCCCCAGAATTTCTTCTTAAGTTCGCCTGTCTCTGAAATCCCAAAGTCACGGAACCGCAGTCTAGCTGTGGTGCATGTTTACGTATTGGTGAGAAATTCCTCTTGGGTTCTTGAACAGCCTGTACGCTGGCAGGCAGCACTGCAGCATTTCTGCTGCTCATGGCCAAGAACGAGTCTGGAGATCGCTGCGTGCGGTTTTAGGAAGTGCCAACACCCGTGGTGATGGGCCTCTGGCCACCCCTGGATCCATGGGACACACTCACAGGAAGCTGATGTGGCCTTCTCGGTGAGGACTGCACCTTAACCTGGGCACTGGGAGCCTGTGGCCCCCCTGTATGTTGGTGATGACACTAGTGTGGGTCTTCTGGCTCTGGGGCTACAGCTTCTGCCTCCTCACCTGGCCGTCGGTACTCGGCAAGCAGGCCTGGCCTCCCGGGGCCTGGATCCCTACCGGCTGGGATTGGCCTCCTGGAAGTACCTGTTTGGGCCATGTGACCTCCTTTCTCACTTATGCCTCACTCCCCTCCTCCCGCTCCAAACCCGAACCTCTCAGTGTGGAATGAACGCTCCAAACCCGAACCTCTCAGTGTGGAATGAACGCTCCAAACCCGAACCTCTCAGTGTGGAATGAAACAGTTTAGATGTGTACATGATGCACGTGGGTGGGATTCACATCCCAGGAGAATTCCACGGAGAGGAATGTGCAGATTTTGAAGTGTACAGTGATGTGTGGAATAAATACTAGAAATTCTCAGCAGACAGTGGGATGGAGAAGTGAGTGGGGGCAGGAGGGGGATTTCTGTTGCCTTGACATGTCGTTGCTCAGTGCCTGGATTGCAGGCGAGTCTCTCTTTTTTATGTTGCTTTGATTTCAAGATCTCTTAGATATACTAGGTAGTGTATGAATGTGCATAAATCCAGTTTGAGAATGGTGTTTATGAAGAAGCTGTTTCGTGTGTACAGTTGCTGCTGTAATTTAGCCAGCAGTGCCCTGCCCTGCCCTGCAGTGTCTGCTCAGCTCCCACTGCTTCTCTTTGCTGTTGGGCATGTGAGGCATGACTTGGAGGGGGGCCTGGTGCCTGGGGACCTGCTGAAGAGAATGCTCACCACCAGCTCTCTGTTTCCCTTTCTGCTTTGGTAATCAACACGTGTTTGCCTGCAGTGGCCGGGACCGTGACTGTTTCTGCCCTTGTGCCTAGTTAAGAGCCTTCAAAAGCATAATGAACACTTTTGATATGATATTGTAACTTTAGTAAATGCTTTACTTCCCTCTAATTGCCCCCAAATGCCTTAATTTTGTGGACTGTTTATTTCAACAGGTGGAAGTGTTGGTCGTGCGAAATCTTGGTATTCGCATTTCAAGAAGGGAGTTCTTTTTTCTTTCTTCTTTCTATGGAACGTTTCAAGTGATTGGATAGAAAGAAGGGCTCTGAAGCAGGAGTTTTCACCTGCTCTGAGGGAACTTGGGGCTCCAGGGACGTACCCCAAATGTTGCCCAGGTTGAAACTCCCTGACAGCCTGTTCTACGTAGTGGCTCGTGGTTTCCAGTTTGAAGAGAGTTGTGCCCCTAAAAGTGTTTGAAACCTGTGGCTTTCAAGCAAGGTACCGTTGTCCCCACAGTGTTCCGTGGGGTAGGGGGTGATGGAGACTGTGGGCAAGCCTGTTGTTTTTGGCCCCCTGTTGTTACATGGGACCTGTTTTGACGGTGGGAGGGTGAGATGTGAAGATGTGGGATGAACCTGGAATGAACGAATTAAATAAAGACATGCATCCATCTGTCAGCGACTCCTTGTGTGTTCTGCCTCTTCATTCCTTGTCCCGGAACCTCTGCCACCTCTCCTACTCTCCTGCAAAGGCGGCTTTTTATCACGAGCGGTCTCAGTCTCTCTTTGCCTTGAAACTAACTGGATTTATGTGGCAGAGATTGCTAGTTTCCATTCATCATCCACTCTCTCCATCTGTGATAATACAACTCAAAGTTTTTAGCTGGACACTTGGATTCCCAGAATAAAGGCTTCATTTCCCAGCCTCCTGTACAGCTAGATGTAGCTGTTTACCATTGCTTCCTCCTGAAATCCCATTGATATGACAGGGAATTTTTTTAAAACATAAATCCACCAGGATGATTAAAAATAGCAACAAAATTGGGAACCTCTCCAGAAAATAGGTGAATGGTAGTTGACTTAGAAACACCTGAGAAATCTACATTGTAAGAAAGAAATGGGAACATCCGAGCGTCCGAGTTGTCTCGCAGAGCTCCCAGAGGATTTGGAATTGGCACTTCTAGGTACCCCTGGAAGTAGTTGTGAGATAAGGTGAAACTAGTAGTCGAGGCCTGTTTAAGAAGCCGTTAGACTCCCCATTCCACACAGTTGGGCAACCGTGCCTACTTCAAACTCGTGAAAGACCAGAGGAGGTGTGCCGCTTTCAGCTTTCAGTATCTAAAATCCATAGCTCAGTAGTATCCTCTAGCAAGAAATAAAGCAGAACGAGACTTCTTTGAGGAATCTCACCAGCCTAAAAGGAAAGACCTAAAGTTAGCCATCCATAACATGGCCCAGGACATACCCTCACACATAACGTGGCCCAGGACATGCCCTCACACGTAACGTGGCCCAGGACATGCCCTCACACGTAACGTGGCCCAGGACATGCCCTCACACGTAACGTGGCCCAGGACATGCCCTCACACGTAACGTGGCCCAGGATATGCCCTCACACGTAACGTGGCCCAGGACATGCCCTCACACGTAACGTGGCCCAGGACATGCCCTCACACGTAACGTGGCCCAGGACATGCCCTCACACGTAACGTGGCCCAGGACATGCCCTCACACGTAACGTGGCCCCGGACATGCCCTCACACATCTTTCAATGCATCCCAGCAAATAAAATAATTCTGAGAATGAAGGCTGTCAGTTTCCGGATTACAAGGGCTCAGCGCACCTAGTTTCAACGCAATGGAAGGAGAAAGCACCCTGCCTTCTTCCATTCCTTATCAGTGTGCACATCCAGGCACATGAGTGTGAGATTTCAGAACACCGGGGAACGGCTGGAGGGAATGAACAGTACACATGCAGAGTATTAGGAATCAATAACTTTGCAGTCCTCAGATGCCACATAGGAAACACGGAATGTGGGCCTTCTCCAATTCTGAAGGAAGATTATTTCCAGATAGATTAAAAGGCATGCCAAAAGACTTGTAGGCTCCTTAAAAATGTATATTCCACACACTGTTTTATTTATTTTTATTATTTTTTTGAGACAGGGTCTCTCACCTAGGCTGGAGTGCAGTGGCACGAACACTGCTCACTGCAGCCTTGACCTCCCAGGCTCAAGTGATTTTCCTGCTTGAGCCTCCCAAGTAGCTGGGACCACAGGCATGTGCCACCGTGCCTGGCTGATTTTTTTGTCAAGACAGGGTTTTGCCATCTTGGCCAGGCTGGTGTTGAATTCCTGGACTCAAGCTATCTGCCTGCCTTGGCCTCCAAAAGTGCTGGGATTGCAGGTGGGAGCCACCGTGCCTGGCCTTTACACGCCCTTTTAAATAAAAGGACTAGAGAATGTACTCCAAAAGGAGAAAGCATGGCATAAAGGCAATGGGAGATCCAATGCAAAGAGCAAGGTGACTCCCCAGGAGCACAGCAAAAGGAGGTTCCAGGATGGCAGCCGTGCACTCAGCATAGAAGGCAGCCAGGTTGGGTTTAGTGCTGGCTCCAGAGAAGATAGCTTAACTATTAGGACACCTGTTGCCTCTGAACATATTGAGGGTTTACATAGGAGCTGAGATTGAATTATTGACAAGTACCTAGGAAACCAAGGGACGTAACTCCAAGGAAAATGGGTAGGAAAGAAGAAGTTACCGCAGTAATACTATCATATAATTTAGTTATGAATAGTATTTATATAGTCCTAAAATATAAGCACTGAACAGTAACCATATTATGATAGAAGCCTATTAGGAGAATGGAGGGCGGGAGGAGGACTGATGGGAAGTGTGTGTGAGCAAAAGCTGAATAATCGTCATTTCCATGGGGAGAGGTGAAGAGAAAATGCCCAGTCTTGAAAAGCATTTTGCCCCTGACTGAGTGCCAGAGAGCACACCCTGGGCAGAAAGCATACCCATGAGAGGCATGTGGGAGAGGCTTTGGCTTCTGTTTAAACCAGCCCAGAAGCAGCACAGCAGAGAGAAATGCTGCAGGAGGGCCGAGGGCAGGGCCTTGTGGAAAGCTGTGGAGTCCACACATCGTGGAAGCCCTTAGGGTGAGGCAAGGATGGGACCCAGCACTGGCCTCTTCAGCAGCAGGCCGTCACGGTGAGGGGAGCCACACAGGAGCACCGAAGTTGGGGGAACCTTTCACCTGGAAAGTATGGCATGTTGAGGGGGCCATGAGCTGCAAATGCACAGTTCAGCACCAGAGAACCCGAGGACAGGGAACCCAGTGCTGGAGAAAGGTCTCATGAGTGCCGTGAGTGTGGGAAGTTTCTTAGCCACAACTCCAGCTGCAAGCTGCATTGAACACTGGAGAGTCCACTGTGGTGCTGAGCCTTGTGAGTGCAGCTGATGTGGGAAAGCATTCAGCAAAGGACTCTCCTTTCTTTGGTGCCGGAAGGTTCACAACAGAAAGGCCTTGTTCATGCAGTAAAGGTTGGAAAACCTGTAGCCATATCGCTAAGTTCATTCAGCATCGGGGAGTTCACACTATAGAAAGTCCTTACAAATGCACAGAAAGTGTTCCGCCAAAGGTCTGCTCTGATTTAGCCCTGGAGGATTTTCAGCTTTAAAATGGCGGTATAGAATCAAGCTGGCTTCACATCCCCAACAGAAAACCAAAATAAATATACAGTGTGAGATTTTCACCAGCAACAACCCAGGACTCAAAAAGAGTATGAGACAGATTCTGGGGCCACAAAGAAGTGAAAAAACTCCAGGCAGATGGTAGGAGAGCCAGACTTGCGCACCCATGATGCCCCTTCCCCGGATTCTGCCTAGCAACAATTGAGTGGAGAATCTTTCCCTGACAGTATTAGTACACTGCTATGAAGAACTGCTTGAGACGGGGTAATTTGTAAAGAAAAGAGCTTTAATTGACTCACAGTTCTGCATGGTTGGGGAGGCCTCGGGAAACTTACAATCATGGTGGAAGGGGAAGCAGGTGCCTTCTTCACAAGGTGGCAGGAGAGAGTGTGTGTGTGAAGGAGGAAGTGTCAAACACTTATAAAACCATCAGATCTCATAAGAACTCACTCTCACGAGGACAGCATGGGGAAACCACCCCATGATCCAATCATCTCCCACCTGGTCCCTCCTTCGACACCTGGGGACTATAATTCAAGATGAGATTTGGCTGGGGACACAGAGCCAAACCATATCACCGACTCACCGGTTTTTACACTGGGAAGGGTGAGACTGAGGTGGTCAACCAGCTTTCCCACCATGCTAGAATCCCTGGCAGGAGACCTGTCCTTGCATTAACCGACAGGCAGCAGCATGACTGCCTGAAGAGGGAAATCTGTGGGGACAGGCAGTGACAAATGGGGGAGGGGGAACTACCATCCCCAGCCCTGGAGAGACTGCTCTGTAACAGCCACAGGAGATGCCAAATCAGAGTGGCTGTTCAGCAGCAGCCACTGGAGGAGGTATGTTTCCCAGCTCCCTTGGGCACAAACCCCTCACCAGCCTTGTCACACTGCTGGGATAATTCCTTTGGGACCTTCCCAGTTCAGGACAGGCAAAGCTCCCATCATGTTCTGGAGTTGAGGTGAGCCTGGGCTTAACGTGCCATGTGGAGCTGAAAAGGAGGCAGTGACCTAGTGGTAAAGACTTGCTAAGCAAAAATATCCAATAAAACCCAAAACAAGCCAGACAGAGAAAACTGGAATAAATAATCCTTCAATGCAAGGACAGATGTATACTCACAAGAAACAACAGCAAACAGGGAACTGTGACCTCTTCAAAAAGGACAAAGCAAAAATCTAGTGACCCTAACGAGAAGACAGTTTGTGAGCTCTCTGACCAAGAATTCAAAATAGCAGTTTTACAGAGACTCAGGGATCACCAAGAACACAGAAAATCACTTCTGAAATTTATCAGAGAAATTTAACAAAGATGGAAATAATCAAACAGAAATCTTGGAACTGAGAAATACATTTGCTGAACTGAAGAACTCATTAGAGGCTCTTAACAGCAGAATGGACCAAGCAGAGGAAAGAATCAGTGAGCTTGAAGACTGTCTCTTTGAAAATACACAGAGGAGAAAAAAGAATGAGAAGGAATGAAGATCACCTACAAGAGAGAAAATTACCTCAAAAGACCAAATCTGAGAATCATGGGTGTTCAGGATGCTGAGCAAGGGCAAGGGGTAGAAAGCAGATTCAAAGAAATAATAACAGAGAACTTCCCAAAGCTTGAGAAGGAGTTAAACATCCAGGCACAGGAAGGTCTAGAACACCAAACAGATTCCACCCAAATAAGACTACCCTAAGGCATACACTACTCAAACTCTCAAGGTCAAGGACAAAGAGAGGATCCTAAAAGCAGCAAATAACATAAATGAATGGAGCTCTGATTCATCTCACAGCAGAATTCTCAACGGAGAACCATACCCTAACCCTAACCACCTTTAACTTGGGGGGTTTTGGCAGGAGGGAATGGAATGGAATTTTCAAAATGCTTGATGATTTAGTCCTGGAATGTGCATCACCCAGAGCGTTGCTCGGAGTGCAATGAATGGAAGGAACCTCCTGCCAAATCCTAGGCTTGCGCTGCATAAAAGCCATTCAGTACAGCCTGTTTGGAAGAGCTTTAAGTTGCAGGTCCAGCCTCTCACCCTCGGCAAAATCCCATCCAAGGAAGACCTCATGAATGCAGATATAGGGGAAGGCCTTCTACCACAGAGACCTCCTCATTCAGCACTGGAATAAATGTTCACCAGAGACCCAGTCCTTATGAGTGCAGCCAGTGTGAGGAAACCTTCAGCCAAGGGCCCCACCTCACTCTGCACTAGAAAGTTCTGGCTGGAGGAGGACCTTAGGTGTGCAGGGAATGTGCACTGTCCTTGTTTGACTTAACAGCGCATGCCAGAGAGGAGATCTGAGAGCAGAGCCTTTGTGGGGATGGCCTTGAGAGCAGCCTTTGTGGGGATAGCCTTAGCCAGAAGTTGAACTTCTGTTCACATGTCCACATTGGGTGCTGCTCATGCATGGTGCTGGGTCTGTGGGAAGCTTGCAGGAGCTACATGGCATATTCCAGCCTGCCCAGAGCCCTTGCCAGAGTCATATCACTGTCCTCCTCTACCAGCTGCCGGGGACTCCTGAGCCACCCCACTATGCTCTTTCCAGTCCCTTGAGGGAAACCCACGTAGCCTGAGCCCCCATTCCCTTCTCCCTGATTGGATGGATGGGGCGTGGACATGACCTAGCTTCGGCTAAGGGGACCTTAGCCAGGGTCTTTTTGTGGCTCACAGGGACGGTTTACATTTTTTCATGGATGTTGCTGGCCTCATATGACTCTGGGTGGATTTGTCTGGCTTCCACCTCAAACTTCTAAGGGAACTGCCTGCCTCATTAGGCTACCTTTAACTTGGGGGTTTTTGTTTATTATGTGGAGTGGCTGAGAACAGAACTGGGATCTGCCATCATTGGAGGTAGGGATGGGGTGTGGAGGCAATAGGATACAGGGAAGAGCTCTCAGTCCATTTGGCTGAAGTTTGTTGCGTAAGACCTGGGAATGACTGAAGGGCTCTGTGTGCAGCTCAGTGCTGTGGCCTGGATGGATGTCAGGATTGTTTCTGGGCCCAGGCCACCCTGAGGAGAGAGTGGTTGGTAGGACAGTCCCAGCACGTCTTGGGGCATCCTGAGCTTGGTCCCTTGTATCCAGGGATGTGTCTCACACATTCCAGTTCCGTGTGGGGAAGCTTTTCCCTGGGACTGCCAGGAGCCAGGTGCCCTGAAGTGCAGAAGCTGGTGGGCGGTGTCATTGATGGTAAGACTTGCTGGGGCCACGTAGGAGTCATAGTGCAGGAATACTAGGTCTGAATAGTTGGGAGTGGGGGAGACTGCAGCAAACCTAGGGGAGGTGCCCCTTCTAACCGGGCATTCACACATGTTCAGTAGCTGCTCTGTGAGATGACAGTGCACAGAAATGCTGAGGACCTCCAGACCTGTGTCCCACAGCCACTCTCATGGGCGGAGCGAATAATCGAAAGCAGCCTAGTCCAGGGTGGAGAAGTTCACTGGGTTGCCCTGGGCCAGGGCTTCATGTTTGGTAGGGTGAAGCTGTGGGCAGGAAATTACTTGCTGGGATGCCAAAGAAATTTGCGGGACAGCTGCTTGCAGGGCATGCTTTTGGACTTGCTGGGAAGCTGGAGCAGGCTGGGCTCCCGGGGAATGCTGGGCGGCTGCCTGTGGGGCAGCTGAACTTTTTGGGAGGCCTGGGACAGCCGCAGAACTCAGCCAGGATGCTCCGTGTTGGGTGCTGCTGAAACCTGCTGGAGGTAAACTCCACTGGCGTCCCACATACCCGCGAGTGCCAAGGGAGTCGGAAGGAAGGAAAGCACAGTGGAACTAGGAAGAGAAACCCCTTCCTCTTACCAGTGTCCCTCCAGAGCCGCCCACTGACAGGCTCATCAGCCCTGTGCCAGCTGGCAAGGAAGGTGTGCTCCTGGATCCCGGCAGAGCACTGGGGAATGATCTGCAGGCTGGAGGAGGAGGCGTGTCATGTGCTTGAAGCAGTGTTGCAGGCTTCTTCCTCAGGGGACCCAGCCTTACTTTCAAGAATCTTGGCCTGTGAATTGAGCTAGGTCTGGGAACTGGGAGAGAGGCTGTTGCTATCCACAGCTGTGACTCAAGTCAGATTTTTGGCTCCCAGACCTAAGGTTTTCTGCTTTATTCCGTCAGTCAGTCCTCTTGTATTCCTAGGGATACCATGTTCAATTAGCCACTGGCAAAGAGCCCTGCGGACCAGGGTGTTTTGATCCCCAGCGTGTGTCTGCTCCCTCCCTTGGCAGACGCAGCCGCCTGGTCTTTGCTGGTCAAGTCCTGGCATTTGGCCTCTGCTCCTTTGGAACCCTATCATCCCCATTGAAATCAGAGAGCCCAGCTCAGTGGCAGTGTCCCTGCCATCGCACCTGCCTGCCAAAGAGAGCAGTTGCAAAGCTTCTCAGGGATGCAGGTGCTCCCAGGCATTTCTCAGTGCCCAAGTGAAAGTGAGAGTGCTTTGGAGCCTTCTTGCAGTGTGTAGTTGAGAGAGAGGTGTGCGGGTCACACATGTTAAACCCAGTCCAATGGTCCCATCTCCCTACGCCTCTGGAATCCCTCCTCCATGCTGGGAAAGCTCTAGCATCTCAACCTTGTTAAGTGTAGGTCATTTCTGAGTTCAAGTTTCAGTCAAACAATCAAATAAGCAGTTAGAGCCATGTGGCTTGTTCCTGGGGCGTGCCTCATTGATGGATCCAGTACGTGGAGTGGTGTGAACCTTCTGCTTCAAGGCGAGAGACCACAATTGGTGGTGATGTCAGGTAATGGGATTTTTTTTTTTTTTTTGAGACAGGGTCTGTCTCTGTCACCCAGGTTGGAGTGCAGTGGCGCAATCTCAGCTCACTGCAGCCTCTGCCTCCCGGATTCAAGTGATACTCAGTCTCCTGAGTAGCTGGGATTACAGACGTGAGCCACCATGCCTGGCCAATTTTTGTATTTTTAGTAGAGATGAGGTTTTATCATGTTGGCCAGGCTGGTCTCAAACTCCTGGCCTCAAGTGATCCACCTGCCTTAGCCTCCCAAAGTGCTGGGATTACAGGTGTGAGCCACCATGCCTGGCTAGTACCAGGATTTCTTACAAGGGCTCTTTCTAACCCACTGCCTTTTGTTGGAGAAATTGATGTTATTGGCATATTTTAAAAATCATGTCCAAATGCAGCTACAGAACATGAAGAAAATATTTTCTAGAGTGAAATGCTTCAAAGAGTGAACAAGGAATCCATCTGCTGCCATTCCCCCAATCCGCTCTGTCCCAGTCTCCAGGCTGCGAGGGGGGCCAGTGTGGTGTCTGATGACGCTGTAAGTCATCCTCAGGGACAGCTCCAAAGGTTTAGCATCACGTTTGATCCAAATGTTCAGAACGTCTCACAGATGGGTGTCATTTCTGAAAACCTGTAACTGTAGGCTAAAATTTTCTGATTTAGTTTAAAAAAGGAATAAAAAAGAATAAGCAAAGAAACTGCCTGGAAGTGAGACCTGTGCTTTAGCTGGACTTAGCCATCACTGAACCAGACACAGATGCTTTGGTGAAGGGTGCAAAAAGGTCATCCCTTCATCCCTCTCAGAAATGAAAGTGAGGTAGTTGACAATAATGAAAAAACGTTTTATTTATTAAAATGGGTGATCATTAAAAATGTCTATTTAAAATGAGAAGTCTGTGTTTGTGAATGCTGAAAGCTGAGGAATATTACCATTGGTCAGTGGTTCTTAATTCTGGCTGCACAGTGCCTGAGGTGTGTTAAAAAGCTCCCGATGCCTGGGCATTGTCTGGATCAACTGTGTGTTAGTTTCCTATTGTTACTAACAGATGACACAAGCTTTGTGGCTTAAAACAAGACAGATTTGTTATCTTACAGTTCTATAGGTCAGAAGCCCCACATGAGCCTCACTGGGCCAAAATCAAGATGTGGGCAGAGCTGTGTGTTTCCTGGAAATGCCAGGGAGACTCCATTTCTTTGCCTTCTCCAGCTTCTAGAGTCTGCCCACATTTTTGCCTTGTAGCCCCCTCCTCCATCTTCACAGCCAGCAACAAAGTCCTGGCTGGGGGTCCTCCCCACACCACATCACTCTGAGCTCCACTCTGCTGCCCTCCTACACTTTTTAGGACCCTGTGATGACACTGGGCCAACCAGATCATCCAGGATGATCTCCCTCTCTTAAGGGCAACTGAATAGCCACACTAATTCCATCGGCAACCCCAGTTAGAGCAGCATATTCACAGCTTCTGTGAACTAGGATGTGGCCATCCCCGGGAGCCTCTTACCTGCTGACCACAGCCGTAAAATCGGAATTTCTGGGAGTTGAGCTTGAGCCTCAATAGTTTTAGAAACCCTCCCAGTGGATTCTAATATGAGGCCATTTAACTAGGACTGGTTATGGGGAACAGCTGGAGGGTTTCAAGAAAGGAAGTAATGCAGCCCAATCTGTATTTTAGAAATACTGCTCCAGTTACACTGTCAGGGGTGGGCTGGTGGGGGAGGGAGGACTGTGATGGGACTTGAGTCAGTGGACAAGCGACAGCTGTGGGGATCAAGGCAGTCTTGGTTTTGCTAGCCATTCCTCAAAAGGATCAATGTCCACTACGTGAGTACTGCCCTGGGGTATGGGAGATACACAAATATTTTGAGGAGTCTTGGACAAGACCGAGCCACAGTACGAGACACCCAGTACAGCACCTCCCACCCGCAGAGGTGTTTTGTTTTTTTTTTTTTTTTTTGAGTCAGGGTGTTACTCTGCCACCCAGGCTGGAATGCAGTGGCACGATCATAGCTCACTGCAGCCTTGAACTTCTGGGCTCAAACGATCCTCCTGCTTCAGCTTCCCGGAAAGCTAGGACTGTAGTTGCTCACCACCACATCTGGCTAATTTTTAATTTTTTTGTTTTTGGTGGAGACAGGGTCTTACTATGTTGTTCAGGCTCGTCTCAAACTCCTGGCCTTAAGTGATCTTCCTGCCTTGGCCTCCCAAAGCGCTGGGATTACAGGTGTCAGCCACCATGCCTGGACCTCCTCCAGAGTTCTTGAGCAAGGCCATGCCATTGGTGGCAGCGAATTACATGCCTTTGTGGAGATACAATCACACACCATAAAGTTCACCATTTTAAAGTATGCTACTTTAAAGTGTAACAGTTTTTAGCGTATCCACAAAGTTGTGCGCTGATCACCACTGTCTAATTCCAGAACATTTCCATCACCCCCAACAAAAAACTTCATATCTATTCGCACTCACACCCCAGTTCTGTCCCTGCCAGGGCCCGGCTACAATTAATTTGCTTTCAGTGTTTATGGATTTATCTATCCCATTTATACTTATGTAAATGGAACCATATAATATGTGGCCTTTTGTGAGTGGCTTCTTTCACTTAGCATGATGTTTTTAAGGTTTGCCTATGTTGTAGCATGTGTCAGAATTTCCTTCCTTTTCATGGCCAAATAGTATTCTACTCTGTGGATGCACCACATTTTGTTTATCCATTTATCAGTCCATGGACATTTGGGTTGTTTCTATTTTTTGGCTATTGCAAATAAGGCTGCTATGAACATTTGGGTACAAAGTTTTATATAGATACATGTTTTCAGTTTTCTTCAGTATATACCTGGGAATGGAATTGCTGGGTCATATATTAACTCAATATTTAATTTTTGAGGAACTGCTGAACTGGTTTTCTCAGTGGCTGAACTATTTTACATTCCCACTGTCAATGCACAAGGGTTTTGATTGCCCTACATTCTTGCTAACACTTGTTATTGTCTGTCTTTTTGATTTTACTCCCCCTAGTGGGGATGAATTGGTATCTCACTGTGGTTTTGATTTGCATTTCCCTAGTGAGTGATACTACCACACATCTTTTCATGTGCTCTTTGGCTGTTTACATATGTCCTTTGAGAAATGTATGTTTAGATCCTTTGCACGTTTTAAAATTGAGTTGTCTTTTTATTGTTACTTAGAAGAGGTCTTTATATATTTTGGATATGATTCTCTTATCAGATATTTGATTTGCAAATATTTTCTCCCATTCTGTAGGTTTTCTTTTAACTTTCTTCATGATGTTCTTTGAAGCACAAAGGCATTTAATTTTGAAGAAGTCCAACTTATCTATTTTTCATTTTTACTTGTGCTTTTGATGTCAGATCTAAGAATCCATTGCTCGATCCAAGATCATGAAGGTTTACTCCCATGCTTTCTTCCAAGTCTTATAGTCTCTTAGTTGTTACATTTTATGTCTTTGATCCACTCTGAATTAATGTGTACATATGGTGTAAGGTAGGGGGCCTAACTTCATTCTTTTGTATGTAGATATCCAGTTTTCCCAGCAATTATTTTTGTTGAATAGTCTATTCTTTCCTCTATTGAGTTGTCTTGGTGCCCTTGTCAAAAATCAGTTGACCATGGCTGGGTGTGGTGGCTCACACCTGTAATTCCAGCACTTTGGGAGGCCAAGCCAGGTGGATCACCTGAGGTCAGGAGTTTGAGATCAGCCTGGCTAACATGGTGAAACCCCATCTCTACTAAAAATACAAATTAGCTGGGGGTGGTGATGGGTGCCTATAATCCCAGCTACTCGGGAGGCTGAGGCAGGAGAATTGCTTGAACCCAGGAGGTGGAGGTTGTAGTGAGCCAAGAGTGCACTACTGCACTCCAGCCTGGGGGACAGAGGGACACTCCATTTCAAAAAAAAAAAAAAAAAAAAAGGAAAATCAATTGACCATTAATATAAGGTTTTATTTTGGACTCTCAATTCTATTGATGTATTTCTAACCTTATGGCAATACAATACTGTCTTGATTACTGTTGTTTTGTAATAAGTTTTGAAATCATGAAGTATGAGTACTGCAAGTTTGTTGTTTTTCAAGATCATTTTGGCTATTCTGGGTTTCTTACATTTCCATATGAATTTTAGGATCAGCTTGTCAATTTCTTCAAAAAAAGGCAGCTGGGGTTTTTATAGTAATTGTGTTGAATCCATTGAGTATTAGGGGGAATATTTCCATCTTAACAATATTAAGTCTAATAATTCATTATCCCAAGATATCTTCCAATTTATTTAGGTCTTCTTTGATTTCTTTCAGTAATGTTTTATAGTTTTGGGGGTGCATGTCTTGCTCTTTTTTGTTAAATTTATTTCTAAGTATTTTATTCCTTTTAGTGCTATTGTAAATGGGATTGTTTTCTTAATTTCATTTCAATATGGGAAGCATAACACAGTGCTTGCCTGGTAGGGTTGTTAGGACAGCTGGATGGGCCAGCAGGCAGGCACCTTACGATGCCTGTCTTTTGAGAGATGCTCAGTGAGCACTGGCTGTCATGGCTCCTCCACCTCTCTTCCCGCTCCCCGCCACACCCAGGACCCTGAATGAGGGTGGTGCTGTGGCATCCTAGTTAGAGCTTGAGGCTTCAGAGCCAGCGGGGCTAAGATTATGGTGCTAATATGCCCTAGCTGGGGGGCCTTGGGAGCGTTTTATAGCTGACTGAGCTTCTGTTTCCTCATTTGCAAAGTGGGGCTGCCAATGCGATGTCGTTTGTGGGATGTTGTGAGGGATAAACGACGCAATGCAGCTCAGACACGGAGCATCATGTCTGGCCCACGCTTCACTGCATCCGGGATACCAGTGTTGATAAATGACATCACTGACTATGCCAATCACAGTTGACACCGCCATCGCTGGTGTGACGCACCCTGGCATCAGAGGTGGTAAAATGTGGACCCCATGTCTCTTGGCATTGCAGAAATGCAGGATTTCTATCATGCAGTTGCCTCTTCCACACAGTGCATGGCCTGGACAATCCCAGCAGGCTTTTCCTATGTGACTCACTTTCATGTACATTTAAAAAAATTAGGAAAGAAGCTTTCTGTGACCCCCAGGTACTCCAGCTTCTGTTGGTGGAAGTCAGGAGATGTTACAGGCCTAACGGAATCAAGGCCTCAGGTATTTAAGCTATTCTTTGTTTCCTACAGGAAAGAGAACTTTATACACAAGGTGGGTCCCCTGAAGATTAGATTATCAGTTGGAAACCTGAGTTCCAATGTATTCCCACTGTTGGATCTCTGAATGCTGTGCTTTTGACCGGGGTCTCCTGGGCCCCATATTCTAATGGTCAGTTTCAGGTTCCTCTTCTTTCACCTCTGCCTGTGGAGGCAGGAGGCATGCAGTGATCATCACCCTCCTTCTTCCAGTGTTTTCAGTCTCTGCTCTCCAGGGACCAGTCTTCTGCATATCATGTCTCCTGGTTCCATCACAGCCATGTGAAAGCACAGTCACCCTGGAGAGGAACAGAAGGCAGAGTCAGCCCCTACCTGTCTTACGTGCGCCAGGGAAGAACGGACTCATGGCCCTTCTGAGACTTCAACCTGAGGGTCGGTGAATGTCAGAACAGCAGCAACAGCGAGGGCTGACTCCGGCTTTGACCTTCAGACCCTGAGCAGCCAGTGGAGTCTAGCTCAGTCTCGGCTTTCACTGTGGACACTGAGGCTTAGGGAGGTGAGGAGACACAGCTGGCTGTGGTGGGCCCCCGCCCTGGCGGTGCCAGGACCAAGCCCAGGGCCTGTCTCATGCCGTGCCCTATGCCTTCTGAGCTGAAGAGGAGCCTGTTCGTTGAGGAACTAAGAGTGGATTAGAAGAGTAACGGATGCTTTCTACAGAAGCAAGCGGCCTGGGTTTGGAATGAGGCAGCCTGTTCGTTTGCTGTGCGTCCTTGTCCCTCTCAGAACCTTCCTATAGTAGGCGCTTTATCAATGCTGGTCAGTGAAGGAATGAGTGAATGATGTTTTTCAACAAAAATGAATTCATTTTGTGGACTAAAATAGCCTCTGGGGAGCCCATTGCAGAGACCCTGCCATCCGCGCGCCCCGGGCTGCCTGTGGCTCTCCCAGGCTGCTTTCCCTGCAGGTCTTGTACGTGGGAGTCTGGCCATCCAGCATCCCTGGGAAGGGGTTTTTGGGAAATGTGCATTTATGGATTTGAAATCCCAAACAGGATATCCACACTGCGTTAGAAGGCACAGTTGGGCTCTGAGCCAAGCTGTGGTGAGCCCTGGGCTCCAGGGCGGCTCTAGAGGACCGAGGGGCCCCGGGCGGGAGAGGTCGTGCTGCGCTGAGAGCTCACATTTCACGGCTTGTAAAACCCAATCGGAATTCCAGGTGTGCAAACCACATTTGATGTCCCAGTAACCAGGTAACAGCAGGATGGAGGACTTGGGGAGAGACTTGAGAAGCTTCCTGAGGAGGGTTGCCAATCCACTGGCCCTCGCCTTCCCAACCCATTGCTGTGGCCAGCCAGCCCTGTGCCCTGTCTCCTGGCCCCAGCATGGAGAGCTGTGCACTTCCCCTGACCACACGGCCTGCTCATTGCACAGCTGTGCAGGGCCCTTCCTCTCTCTTGGATGCCCCACTTCAGATGCTGCTTCTGCCAGGAAACCTTTCCCTCCCCTCCCAGCTGAGTGGTGACCCCACCCCAATCTCTCACCAGAGGCCTGTAATCTTAGACATGCCTAGCAACAAACATTTGGGGGAAGGGTCTGTGTACAGGTTTGTCATCTTCATGCCTGGAGGAGGCGGCAGAGGTGATCAGTGAACAAGTACAGGTCAACAGCCAGGGTAGGGAGGTGTGCTGGAGGGGGGGTGGTGGGTCCTTCTTGTGTAGAGACCCGTAGCTGATCTCTGCCCGAGTAGCTCTAAAGCCTTCTACTTCTTAAGACCACTAGAAGGAGATAAGTTTTACCCTTCTGAGTTAAAACTTTAAAAAAGCCCCCACAATATCCTAATCTATGTGTCAAAAGCCCCCACAATATCCTAATCTATGTGTCTTAGTCCATTCCTGCTGCTGTAACACAGTCCCTGAGACTGGATAATTAAAAATCATAGCTATTTTTCATAGTCCTGGAGGCTGGGGAGTTCAAGATCAAGGCACTGGCAGGTTCAGTGTCTGGTGAGGGCCAGGTACTTCTACGATGGTACCTCGTTTCTGTGTCCTCACATGGCAGAGGGGGAGGAAGGGCACTTAACTAGCTCGCTGGAGCTGCCCCCCCATTTTGTTTTCTGGAGACAGAGTCTCACGCTGTCACCCAGGCTGGAGTGCAGTGGTGCAGTCACAGCTCACTGCAGCCTTGACTTCCCAGGCTGAAGTGATCCCCACCACCTCTACCCCCCTGAGGAGCTGGTACTACAGCCATGTACCTCCACACCAGGATAATTAAAAATAAATTTTTTTGTGTGGATATGGGGTCTCACTATGTTGCCAAGGCTGGTCTCAAACTCCTGGGCTCAAGCAATCCTCCTGCCTCAGCCTCCCAGCCCCTTGGCTGAGATTACAGGCATGAACCACTGTGCCCAGCCCTGGAGCCCTTTTATAAGGGAACAAATCCATTCTTGAGGGAGGAGACCTCATGACTGAATCACCTTCTAAAGACCCCACCTCTTTGGGTCTTAGGTTCCAATATATGAATTTTTGGTGGGGAGGCACATACATTCAAACCATAGGATCATGGCAATGAGGCATTTCTGAAGATGGACTTTTATTTATTTTCCAACACTGATGATAGGAAATCCTGTAGGATTAAATGATGCCCACTTACATTTGACTTTCAGATAAATCATACGTTTTATTATAATTATGTCCCATGCAATATTTAAATTTAACTGGTCCTCCTGTATTTTTTATTTGCTAAATCTGGAAACTGTATTTGGAATAAGCTCAGGAATAAAATTCAAGTTTTTATGAGTATGTAATGCTCTCTGTGGAAAATCTGACTCATAAATAGGGATGATGATATTTTGAAAAGCAAACAAAGTAATCAGAAAGACATTTTTTCTTTACAAAACCTAAATAAACCCCTTCTAAATTAGCTTTTTCAAACAACCTAAAAAGAATTAGTGATTTCCCAAGTACTCATTGTCCATACATCTGTTGATAGTAACCATTGCAAGGGCCTGAAAAAACATACATGTTTTGTAAAATGTTTTCCTAAAGCCTAATTTCTTGTATTTACCCATTTTTTTTTACCCTTCTTATTGTTCTGTTTTCATTCCTGATGTTTCAAGATTCCCTCTTTTATCATTTCCTTTCCATTTCAAGAGCTTCCTTAAGCATTCTTTGAGGATAGGTCTTGTGGTGCCAAATTTTCTTAGTTTTTTTTGAATCCAAGAGGGTCTTGATCACCCCCTTCATTTCTGAAGGATATCTTCATTGACAGTTCTTTTCTTTCAGAATTTGAAAAATTTTCTGCCGTTTCCTTCTGGCTTCCATGGTTTCTCATGAGCAATCTGCTGTCATTTGAATTGCTTCTTTCACATAGGTAAGGTGTTGATTATCTCTCTGTTTGTTTTTTTTTTTTTTTTTGAGATGGAGTTTTGCTCTTGTTGCCCAGGCTGGAGTGCAATGACACGATCTTGGCTCACCGCAACCTCCACCTCAAGTGATTCTCCTGCCTCAGCCTCCCAAGTAGCTGGGATTACAGGCATGCGCCACCATGCCTGGGTAATTTTGTATTTTTAGTAGAGACGGAGTTGCTCCATGTTGGTCAGGCTGGTCTCAAACTCCCGACCTCAGGTGATCCACCCGCCTTGGCCTCCCAAAATGCTGGGATTACAGGCATGAGCCACCGTGCCCAGCCGATTATCTCCTATTTCTTTCAAGATTTTTCTTTGTTCGTAGTTCTCAGGAGTTTCATTATGATGTATCTTTGATGTGAATGTCTTTGAGGTTATCCTGTTTACCATTTGCTCAGCTTCTTGTATCTATAAGTTTGTGTTTTTTTGCCAAATTTGAGAAATTTCAGCCATTATTTCTTTGAGTACTTTTTCAGTCCCTCCCTTTTTCTCTTCTTTTCCCAGGACTCTCATGACATAAATGTTACATCTTTTGTTATAATCCCACAGGTCCCTGAGGTGCTGTTCATTTGTTTTTCAGTCTGTATTTTTTTTCTCTGTTGTTTAGATTGTATTGTTCTCTCTTTCAGTTCACGGATTCCTTCCTCTGTCTTCCCCATTCTGTTGTGGAAACTATTCAGTGAGTTTTTGTCTTTGTTTTGGTTATTGTATTCTTAAGTTCTAATATTTCCATTTGTTTCTTTTTCATATTTCTATTTCTTTGCCAAGGCTTTCTGTTTAAAAAAAATTTGTGTCCAGTATGTTTCCAATTCCTTGTTGAAGCATTTTTATGATGGCTGCTTTAAAATCTTCATCAAGATATTGAATATTATTAACACAGAAAAATGATAAACATTTGATGGGTATGTTATTTACTTGAATCTGATCACATTATATGTATTGAAACATCACTATGTACCCCATGAATATGTGCAATTATTATTTGTCAATTAAAAAATAAAATTAATTGGCTGGGCACAGTGGCTCATGCCTGTAATCCCAACATGTAGGGAGACTGAGGCAGGCAGATGATGAAGTCAGGAGATGGACACCATCCTGGCTAACACAGTGAAACCCTGTCTCTTCTAAAAATACAAAAAAAAAAAAAATTAGCTGGGTGTGGTGGTGGTGGGCGCCTGTAGTCCTAGCTACTCAGGAGGCGGAGGCAGGAGAATCGCTTGAACCCGGGAGGCAGAGGTTGCAGTGAGCCGAGATTGTGCCACTGCACTCCAGCCTGGCGACAGAGCGAGACTCTGTCTTAATAAATAAATAAATAAATAAATAAAATTAACAAATAAAAAAACCCTCATCATGTAATTCCCGTGTGTGTGTCATCTTGATATTGGTGTCTGTTTACTAGTTTTTTTCATTCAAGTTGATTATTTTCCTGGTTCTTGGTATGACAAGTGAATTTAAGTTGTATCCTGGACATTTTGGGTATTCAGGATCTTATTTAAATCTCCTGTCTTTTCAAGCTTCCTCTGACACTTTGTCACCTAAGAAAGTGTCAGGAGGAGTGGAAGTCCAAATTCCCCTCTCAGCTTTTATTGCCACCCAAAAGGATGAAGAAGGATGTTTTACTACTCCTGGGTATGGGTGGTGGTAGACATTTAGGCTTTACTGTGCTTCCTTTGACACAAACCCAGTGGGGAGGGGAAGGGCCACCTTTTACTGCCAGGTGGGGATGAAGATTTGACCTACTCACGTGGCCTTCTCTGATGCTCTGGGGAGTTGGAGGCATTGCTTTTCTTGATCTTAGTTTGGGAGATGTCATCTCAGGGGAAGCGCTACATCCAATGTTGCCTTGTCACTGATACTAAAAAGGACCTTAGATTTCAAGCATTATCTTTTAGACTCCATAGAGATTGCCTTTTATTTCTTCCTCTTGCCTAATTGCTTTGCCTAGGACTTCCAGTCCTGTGTGGAATAGGAGTGGTGAAAATGGGCATCCTTATTTTTCCTGATCTTAGAGGCAAAGCTTTTATCTTTTCCCCATTCGGTATGATGTTAACTGTAGATTTATTGTTTCAAGGTATATATATATATCTTGTTTTCAAGATATATTGTTTCAAGGTATATATATTCAAGATATATTGTTTCAAGGTGTATATATATATATATATAAATACAAGATATATATATATCTTGTATTTATTGTTTCAAGGTATATATATATATCTTCTATACCTAATTTGCTAAGAGTGTTTATCATAAACGAATGTTGGATTTTCAAATGCTCTGTGTTTATTGAAATGATCATTTTGTTGCCTTTTTTTGTTACTGTGGTATATCACATGTATGGATTTGCATATGTTGAACCATCCTCATGTTCCTGGGATGAATCCCACTTGATCATAATGATCTTTTAAATGTGCCTTTCAATTTAGTTTGCTAGTATCTTGTTGAGAATTTTTGCATCTGTGTTCCTCAGAGATATTGGCCTATAGTTTTCTTTTTTGTTGTGTTCTTATCTGGTTTTGGAATCAGAGTAATGCTGGCCTCATAAAATTAGTTAGTAAGTTTTCCCCCCTCTTCAATTTTCTGGAATGTTTTGAGCAGAGTTGGTATTAGTTCTTCCTTAAATATTTGGTAGAATTCAGCAGTGAAGCCATCAGGTCCTGTGCTTTTAAAAATATTTATTTATTTTTTTCTTGGAAGACTTTTTATTACTGATTCAATTTTCTTACCTGTTACTGGTCTGTTAAAATTTCCTATTCTTCATAATTTAATCTTGATAGGTTATATCCAGGAATGTATTCATTTCTTTTTTGTTTACAAATTTTTTGTTGTATATGTGTTCATAATAGTCTCTTATGATCCTTTATATTTCTGTGATATTATTTGTAATGTCTCCTTTTTCATTTCTGATTTTATATATTTGTGTCTATCCTCTTTTATTCTTAGCCTAGCTAAAGGTTTGTTGATATGGTTTATCTTTTCAAAGAAACTGACTTTTTGTTTCATTGATCTTTTGAATTGGTCCTTTTTTCACACTCTATTTTATTTCTGTTCTAAGCTTTATTATTTCCTTCCTTCTACCAATCTTGGGTTTAGTTTGTTCTTATTTCTCTAGTTCCTAGATGTTCATGGCAGGTCATTTATTAGAAATATTTCTTCTTTTTTGATGTACAGGTTTATCACTATGAACTTCCCTCTTAGAACTGCTTTCGCTGTGTGCCATAGGTTTTGGAATGATGTGTTTCTATTCTCATTTGTCTTAAGGAATTTTAATTATTATAATTTGTTTTTATTTTTTACAGACAGGGTTTTGCTCTGTTGCCCAGGCTGGAGTGCAGTGGCACAATCATAGCTCTCTGTAACCTTGAATTCCTGGGCTCAAGTGATCCTCCTGCCTCAGCCTCCTATGTGCTACCATGCCCAGCTATTTTTTAAAAATTGCTTATAGAGACAATGTCTCACTATGTTGCCTAGGCTGGTCTCAAACTCCTGGCCTTAAGTGATCCTCCCACCTTGGATCTCAGGGAATTTTAAAATTTTCCTTTTCATTTATTTATTAACCCATTGGTTATTTAGGATCATGTCGTTAAATTTCCATGTACTTTTAAGACTTCTGAAATTTTTCTTCTTGTTGACTTCTAGTTTTCCTTGTCATTGACTTCTGTTATGGTCTGAAGAAATACTTGATATGATCTCTATCTTGTTAAGTTTAAGATTTGTTTTGTGGCCTAACATATGATCTATCCTGAAGAACATTCCATGTACAGTTGAAAAGAAGTTGTATTTTGTAGATGTTGGATGGAATGTTTTGTAAATGTCTGTTAGGTTTATTTGGTCTGTGGTATAAGTTCAATTTTTTGTTGTTGCTGATTTTCTGTCTAGATGATCTGTGTTCACTGCTGAAAGTGGAACCCTGAAGTTCCCTACTATTTTTGTGTGGTAGGCTATCTCTCACTTTAGATCTAATAATCTTTGCTTTATATATTTGGATGCTGTGATATTGGGTGCATATATATTTATAGTTGTTATATCCTCTTAATGAATTGCTTCCTTTATTATTTTATTATGACCTTCTTTTACTCTTTTTACAGTTTTTGACTTAAAGTCTATTTTGTCTGATATCAGTATGGCTATTCCTGTTTGTTTTTGGTTTATGTTTGCATAGAATATCTTTTTCCATGTCTTCACTTTCAGTCTGTTTGTCTTTAGCAGTGAGGGGAGTCTCTTGTAGGCAGCATATAGATGGGTCTGTTTTAAAAAAATCAATTCAACCACTTTATATCTTTTAGCTGTAGAATTAATCTGTTTACACTTAAGGTTATTATTGGTAGAAGAAGACTTACTCCCACCATTTTATTAATTGTTTCCTGGTTGTTTTGTAGACCTTTGTTCTTCTTCTTCTCTTTTTGTTTACATCTGTGGTTTGGTGGGTTTTTTGATGTTAAGGTTTCTTTCTCTTTCTCATCTGTGTATCTGCTGTAATTTTTTTCTTTGTAGTTACCATGGGTCTAACATAAAGAGTCTTGTAGTTACAGTACATTTTTTTTTTTTTTGAGACGAGGTCTTGCTCTGTTGCCCAGGTTGATCTCCTAGGGCTCAAGCGATCCTCCTGTTTCAGCCTCCTGAGTAGCTGGGACTATAGGTCCATGCCACCATGGCTGTTTTTGAACTCCTGGGCCCAAGTGATCCTCCTGCCTCAGCCTCCCAAAGTGCTGCGATTACAGGTATGAACTACTGTGCCTCGTGATATAATACACTATTTTAAGCTGCTAACAACTTAAGTTTGGTTATATAAAAATACTCTAGACTTTCTCCTCTCCCCCTACAATTTGTATTTTAGTTGCCTTAATTTACATCTTTATCTTTTGTAGTTGATATTTTTGACCTTTTTGATTTTTAAATATCAAACTAGAGGATTGAAAGATTTACATAGCACCATTACAGCACTGGGCTATTCTAAGTATGATAGATTTACCTATACTGGTGGGTTTTATAATTTCATGTGTTTTAATGATAGTAATTATTGTCTCTTTGTTTCTAGCTATAGCATTCCCTTAAACATTCCTTGTAAGGCCAGTCAGGTGGTGAAGAATTCCCTCAGTTTTTGCTTGTCAGGGAAGTTTTTTATTTCTCCTTCATTACTGAAAGACAGCTTTTATAGATATAGTATTCTTGGCTGACAGTTTTTTTTTTCTTTTAACACGTTGAATATATTATCCCATTCTCTCCTAGCTTGAAAGGTTTCTACTGAGAAATCTGCTGATAGTCTAATGGAAATTTCCTTATTTGTGAATTGATGTTTCTCTCTTGTAGCTTTTAGAATTCTCTCTTTGTCTTTGACTATAATATTCCTCAAAGAGGATAATTTTTAGTTGAGTTTTATTGGGAATCTTTGAGCTTCTCAGATCTGGATATCTATGTCTCTCCCAAGACTTGGCAGGTTTTCAGCTATAATTTTGTTAAATAGGTTTTCTGTGCTTTTTTTCCCTCCATTTCTTCTCCCCGTAGCATTCCTATAATGTGAATATTT
The DNA here is from genome assembly GCF_000001405.40 of Homo sapiens. Classification (NCBI taxonomy): domain Eukaryota; kingdom Metazoa; phylum Chordata; class Mammalia; order Primates; family Hominidae; genus Homo; species Homo sapiens. Next base: position 238,474,075 of record NC_000002.12, read on the forward strand.
GTTCATTTAATGGTGTCTCATAAGTCTTGTAAGTTTCATTTTTTTATATTGTTTCTTTATTCCCCCTCTGATTGGATTATTTCAAAAGACCTGTCTTCAAGTTCAGAAATTCTTTTCTGCTTGATCTAGTCTGTTGTTGAAGCTCTCAACTGTATTTTTTTGTTACATTAATTGAATTTTTGAGTTCCAAGATTTTTTGGGGTTATTTTTTATGATGTCTATTTGTTATTTGAATTTTTTTTTTCAGATTGTGAATTGTTTTCCTGATCTTATTGAATCGTTTGTCTATACTCTCTTGTATGTTACTGAGTTTCCTTAAGGCCATTATTTTGAATTTCTTTTTAGGTATTTTATAAATATCCTTTTCTTTGTGGTCTGTTAACTGTATACTTATTGTGTTTCTTTGGGGATACCATGTTTCCTTGCTTTTTCATGTTTCATGTTTCTCACATCCCTACATTCATACCTGCACATCTAATGGAACAGTTGCTTTTTTGAATTTTATAAGGCAGCTTTTGTAGGAACCCACCCTTGTAGATGGGTTCTAGGGTGTTGGTTGGGAATGGTGCATTGGCTTTGGTTCTAAGAAGTCCCCCAACTCTGAGCAGATCCTGCTGGGAGAGACAGTGTGGCAGAGGCAGGATACCTCACTCACCTCTCTATGGTGCTGTCCTGGGCTTCCGTGCCCCACAGGGATTTCACCACGCCTCTGGTGCTCTCCAGTGTACCTCCTCAGTCACTGTAGTGGAAATATAGGTATCTGTTGTTTTGTTCCCTTTCTAGGTGGGTGGGGGGAAGTGCCAAGAAACTCTAGCTGGCCATCCTGCTGATGTCTGATACTTGCACTGTCTTCTAACATCATAAAAGTCCAGGGGAAAAAGTTTGCTGGTCATTGATGGAGCAACAAAGTACAAGTTGGTGTTTGGAGAGAAGGGAGATTTTCAGGTACTTTGGGAGAGGAGTCTTTGAGTCCTTTCACCTAAGTAAGAAAGTTTTTTAGAAAGCTACCAACCAGAAGCATAAGTCGGACCTGCTCTGATGAAAGACACAGTGATGAGAAAAGCCCTGGACACCAGCCTTGTCCCTGGGTGTGAGATGTCTAGACCTGCAGGCTCTGCCTGGCCTGACACTGTCAAGTGGGGACTGGCCCAGTGCTGCCTGGCCTCCCAGAATTTGGCTGTGCTGCTGGCCTGAGCTGGCCTGTTTGGGGTGTGTGTGGTTACAAACCTTTGTTTAGTCTAGCAGGTACATGGTACCTACAGGACAGCCAGGAAAGGGATTGCTTCTACAGCCCTAGGGATATTGGGGCCTAAGGGCATCTGTCTTCTGATGGAGGAACTCTAAGCAGGAACAATGCAGGCTTTTAATTCTAGCACAAGAGGACAATTTCTCAATAATCAGCTGAGAACTGATGGGAGTTCATCAGAGCCTCTGCAAGGTTTGTATCATTCTGGCCGGAGTGGGGACTGGGTAAGGGAGGAGGTTGGGAAGGGGCCCAGCAGATTTTTGCCCGATGTATGAAAGTCCTTGGAGAATGACAACTTTAGCTCCAGCCCCCACTCCATTTAATCCAGACCTTAACCAGGATTCCAGCAAGTTAAAGGTGACTTTCATCCTGAGTTTTATGGTTCAGATGTTGGTCCTTTATTATGTAATTTGGCCTGATGTAGGGCTGAGAAAATGCATTGTCTTATTTCACCCTTGACATTTTTATTGCAGGGCATTTCCAAACCTGTGGGAAAGGCTGTTCAGGCTGCTTCCTTGGGAAGTATTTAAAGGGATACAAGTCTGCTACTGAATGCAGGGAGAGGGGAAAAATTAGGGAGAAGAGACAAAGAGAAAATACAAGGGGAAAGGAATTAAATAAGAAGGAACCCAGTCACAGCATTTTATTTCTCCATTTGTTCTTTGTATCATAAGTTTCGAAGTAAGATGTACTTTCCCAATAGTTTTTTTTTTCTCTTTGTTAATCAGAAGTGAATTGAACTTTCTGTTCCTTTTCAGTGAGAGGGACCTGTCCCCAGCTCTGTGATCTTGGCCTGTCTCTTTATCTATAGAGGGAGATCAAGAATGTCCACTGCTTAAGTTTATTTCAAGGGTTAAGTGAGATTCATTGTCATTCAACAAGCATTTATTGTCTACATATACCTGCCCCTGTGCTAGGAGCTGGCTCCTGCTTTCCTGGGGCTTATCAAGGGGTACCCGAAGCAAAGGATGCTGTTTAATGAGGCAAGCGTCAAAGTGAGGGTGGGAGGGCTCCTTGTGGGAAGCTGCATTTAGCCAAAATCTGATGTCAAGGAGGAGTTTACTAGGAGAGGCGGCAAGTTGGACAGTGGAGGAAGAGGGGTAGCTTGTACAGAGCCCTGTGGTGGAAGGTCACCCAGCCCACTCAAGGGGCTGAGAGGAGGCCGGCCAGTGAGGCTGGAGTGCAGAGGGCTGGAGAGAGAGGAGCAAAATGAGGCCGGAGAGGCCAGAAGATAGAGACCATGGAGGCTTTCTGGGTCAGGTTTAGGCAGGGAAAGTCACAAGGGATTTGCATTTTGGAAAGAGCCTTCTGACTGCAGGAACTGGCCTTGATGTCTGAGGGAGGCTAAAAATCTGGCCATTGCTGGAGTTCAGCCTTGATACTGGCAGCTTGGACTGTGGTGGTGGTGAATGGCGGAGGGGAAGGAGTAGAAGGAGGCTGATGTAAGAATTAAGAGCCTCTGGGCCGGGCGCGGTGGCTCACGCCTGTAATCCCAGCACTTTGGGAGGCTGAGGTGGGTGGATCACGAGGTCAGGAGATCGAGACCATCCTGGCTAACAAGGTGAAACCCTGTCTCTACTAAAAATACAAAAAAATTAGCCAGGCGTGGTGGCAGGTGCCTGTAGTCCCGGCTACTCAGGAGGCTGAGGCAGGAGAATGGCATGAACCCAGGAGGCGGAGCTTGCAGTGAGCCGAGATCACGCCACTGTACTCCAGAGCAAGACTCCATCTCAAAAAAAAAAAAAAAAAAAAAAAAAAGAGCTTCTGAACTTGATGACTGACTGGATAATAGGTAGTGGGGAAAAGGAAGCTGTCAGGACGAGGTCTAGATTTCTGCCTCATACACTGGATAGAGTCTTGTTGTTCACTGAGATACAAGTTACCATGGGAGGCCTGGTCTTGGACATGCTGAATTTGAGGTACCTTTGAGATACTCAGTGAAAAATATGGACTAGGTTAGCAGGATGTACCATTTTGGCGTTCAGAGATGAGGTTTGGCCCCATTTTTTCATCTTTCCTGTATCCATAACAACTGCCATAATAGCTTTTCTTTTCTTTTTTTTCTTTTTGAGACGGAGTCTCGCTCTGTTGCCCAGGCTAGAGTGCAGTGGTGTGATCTCAGCTCACTGCAACCTCTGTCTCCTGGGTTCAAGTGATTCTGCTGCCTCAGCCTCCCTAGAAGCTGGGATTACAGGCACATGCTACCACGCCTGGCTAATTTTTGTATCTTTAGTAGAGATGGGGTTTCATCATGTTGGCCAGGCAGGTCTTGAACTCCTGGCCTCAAGTAATCTGCCTGCTTTAGCCTCCCAAAGTGCTGGGATTACAGGCTCGAGCCACTGTGCCTGGCCGTAATCCGTAATAGCTTTTCAGTTCCTCCCTTGAGAGGCAGAGTGAACTTTCCTCTTCTTTGACTATAGGTTCAACTATCTTCCATAAAAAGAACCCCAAATCTTCCTGACCCCAAATCCCTTTTGCTATGGTCTGAATGTTTGTGTCACTCCAAAATTCATATGTTGAAATCATAACCCACAAGGCGATGGTAATAGGAGGTAGGCTTTTGGGAGAAGATTAGGTCATGAGGGCTTAGCGCCCTTATAAAAGAGGCCCCAGATAGCTAGCTCACCCCTTCCACCATGTGAGGACACAGAAAGAAGGTACTGTCTATGAACCAGAAAGTGGGCCCTCATCAGACACCAAATCTGCTAGTACCTTGATCTCGGACTTCCTAGCCTCCAGAACTGCAAGAAGTAAATTTCTGTTGTTTTTAAGCTATCCAGTTTATGGTATTTTGTTATAGAAGCCCAAACAATCTAAAACACTCCTGTAGCTATATTCACCTTATCTCTCCTCCCATGCATGGTTCAAACGCCTCCAAGTTTGACGTCTTTGGGATGAAGCTCTTCGAGTACAGTTCCTGCTGTACAGTGCCTCTCCATCTTCAGGCCTGTGAAACTGAAGAGACAAATTATCTGCCCCCTACCTAATATACCACAGTGGGATAGGCATAATATAGCCATTATAGATATTCCTTTTGTAAAAGGGAAAAACGAGAGATAAAAAGTAGTCATTGGTCCATAACAATTCTGAAATCCAGCTGGGGAAATGTTAGAAGTTCCTCGATTATGTCTCGAGGCCTGGAAATGACTCTTCCTAGCACTTCCTTCTGCTCTCTGAGCTCTTGGTTCTACACCCTGAGTCATCATTTCTTTTCTTTTCTTGGTGAAATGTAGTGTGTGTTTGCAGTGGAGTAGTTTTCACAGCCTTCTTGTCAGTAGATTTTTTGGGGTCAAACTGCCTCCTTTCATTTAGTTCTATCTCTATCCTTTTCAGTTTAAGCTGGCAGTGTTTTTACTGAAATAAATCTCTCCAAAACATTGTGGGTTACAGTGAATTTCATTGCAGGTATACCCCATTAGACAGAAGCTTCAGCACCATAGGAAAGGTAATACAGAAAAATAGACAGAAGTTATATTCACAAATGTCTTCTGGATAAGCCCTTAAAGCTTTGTTTTTTCCTTCTTTGGGTTTAGTTTGCTGTTTTTGTCTATTTTCTTAAAATGGAGACTTTGATAATTGGTTTTAAGCCTTTCTTCTTTTCTCTTATGTGTATTTAAATTGATAAAAATTTCCCTCTAAGCATGGCTTCAGCTTTAATTTCATATGTTTATATGTTTTGATATGTTATATTTTCATGTCCATTCATTTCAAAATATTTCTAATTTCCATTATCGTTTCTTTTTTGAATCACAGGTTGTTTAAAAGAGTATTTGGGAATTTTAATTTCCCTACAATTGTAGCTTAATTCTACTGTAGTCAGAAAATTGAGAACATAATCTGTATTCTTTGAAATGGGAAATTCTTTGAAATTGTTGAGATTTCAACATGTTGCTCAAATCTTCTATGTGTTTACTGATATTTTTGTCTGCTTATTCTGTCCATTTTGGAAGGATATTTGTTAAAATATCCCATTTTGGTTGTGCATTCATCTATTTTTCTTTTTGTGTGAATATTTGAATTGCATATTTTAGGCCTATATTATTAGGTGCATATAAATTTGGAATTGCCATGGCTTTCTGGTGAGTTGACTCTTTTATTATTATGAAATATCCCTCTTTATCTCTATTCATGTTTCTTTCTTTTCTTTTTCTTTTTTTTTTTTTTGACAGAGTCTTGCTCTGTTTCCCAGGCTGGAGTGCAGTGGTGTGATCTCGGCTCACTGCAACCTCTGCGTCCTAGGTTCAAGTGGTTCCTGTGCCTCAGCCTCCCAAGTAGCTGGGATTACAGGCACCCACCACCATGCCCAGCTAATTTTTTTGTACTTTTAGTAGAGACACAGTTTACTATGTTGGCCAGGCTGGTCATGGTGTTTCCTTCTTTTGAGTTTAATTTGATATTACTGTAGCTTTGCTGGGTTTCCATTGGTTAGTGATTGCATGGTATATCTTTTCTTTTTTTAATCCTTTTACTTTCACATTCTCTGTATCCTTGTATTTAAGATCTCTTTCTTATAAATATAATAGAGTTGGACTTTGCATTTTTATCCATCTGTCTTTTAATTGATATAGTTAATAAATTTATATTTATTGTAGTTACTTTGTTATTTTTTCTTTGCTCACATGTTAAATATTTCTTGCTCCAAATTTCTCTTAAAATAATTTTCTGTATTATTTTATTTCTCTTTCTGTATTTAATTTTCTATGGACTTATCTTCTGGTTCTCTAATTCTCTCTTCAACTATGTCTAATCTGCTTTGAAAGTCATGTATTGGACTTATTTATTTATTTAGAATGATTAGTTCTCACTTTTCTTTTTCTTTTGAGGTATAACGTATTCAGTAATCCTAAGTATTTAGCCTGATGAATTGTTCCTCACACACAAACACATGCATGCATATCCATATCCATGTCTATTGTATCTCCATATCCAAATAATTATCACCCAGATGAAGATGTTTTAAGTTTCTAGTACCCCAAAGTCTCCATCATGTCCCTTGTATCTGATATTTCCTTCAAAGATAAGCAATTTTTTGACCTCTATCACCATGGATTAGTTTTGTCTGCATTTGGATTTTCTATAAATATATCCCATACTATTAACTCTTTTGTGTCTGACTTTGTTAACTCAGCATCATGCCTGAGATTTATTCATGCTGTTCTCTGCAGCAGTTTTTTATTGCTATCTATCAACCCATTATGTGAATATACTATATTTATTCATTCTGTTGTTGAAGGCCATTTGAATTGTTTCCACAATAGTATTATCTTGTGGCTTTTTTATCTTGGTGCTGTGTCCAGTGTGTCTGGTAACTTTCGACTGAATGCTGGACACTGTGATCATAAATTGTGCAGTCCTGAATGATGTTATCTTCCTCTAGAGAAGGTTTACTTTTGCTTATGCCAGGCAGTTAGATTAGGGGCAGGTAGTGGGCTGCCTTGAGGTGATTTTCAGTCTTTGTAAGGCCAAGTCTATTTCTGTATCATTGTTATTCACATGTGATGCTGCAACTCCAATTTTGCCACAGCATAGTGAGAGTGCCCCAAGCTCTGCTTGGCTTTTCAGGCACTTGACTTTTGCTTTCTCTCAGCCTTTGGGCTACTGTTTGCAAATCAGCAATGATTTTCAGGAGATAAGTGATACAGAGAGTTGGGCTCACTTTCTTGCATTTCCCTCCCTTGTTTCTTGAGGTTCTCAGCTCTTAGCTGACTTGATAACCTTGAACTCCATTCTTATTCCTCAGTCTTGTGAGACTAATGCAACTGCTTAACTTCTCTCATTTATAGTAGCCAGTTTCTGCTTGGGTTCTAATTCTCTCAACTCCATGCTGATTAGGAATTTTCAAGTACCTGGAGGGTGAAAGCAGCACATAATGTCAGGCTCACTTCAGTGCAGTTTCCTTCTTCCAGGGGCATTTGCCTTTTTTTTTTTTTTTTTTTTTTTGAGATGGAGTCTTGCTCTGTTGCCCAGGCTGGAGTGCAGTGGTGTGATCCCGGCTCACTGCAAGCTCTGCCTTCTGGGTTCATGCCATTCTCCTGCCTCAGCCTCCCGAGTAGCTGGGACCACAGGCGCCCGCAACCACGCCTGGCTAATTTTTTTGGTATTTTTAGTAGAGACAGGGTTTCATCATGTTAGCCAGGATGGTCTTGATCTCCTGACCTCGTGATCCGCCTGCCTTGGCCTCCCAAAGTGCTGGGATTACAGGTGTGAGCCACCGCGCCCAGCCGACCTTTGCCCTTTATCCAGTGTTTCTTCTTATTTTGGGCAGGGAGTTTGGTCTGATAAAAGTGACTCTGTCATACCAGAAGCAGATTGATGAAATAATTCCAGGCCACTTGTTTTAGTAGTGGTTTGCCTTAGTGTAATTGTCAATGATGTTAAAATGTGACTATCATAATAGCCTGTGAGGTAGTTAGCAGAGTTATTGTCCCCACTTTACAGATGGGGACACTGAGGTTCAGAAGGGTTAAGTGGTTGGCGGAGTTTGCATAGCTAATACATGGTAGACCACCTTCTTGACCCTTACTCTACACTGAAATTCCCTTGCACTGTACCTGATGCCATCTAGTGGGACCCAAACTGTACTCAGGGAACAGGAAACAGCACTAACTGAATTGACACCTTCAGGCGTTATATGTGCTTCTGGCGACTTGAGCAATGATATTTGATAATATTTCAACCTACCTTTGTAAATGATAGGTGTTTAATATTAGTTAGAAGACCTATAAGTATTAGTCTTCTTATTTGGTTATTAAACCTTGCTTTCTATTTTCCTGTCTATTAATTTTCATAATAAATGTAAATCGAGTTGCTTATCTATTATTATTTTTTAAAATTCCAGCATATGGCTTCTACAATGTCTCAAAAGAAAACAAACCCCCCCCAAAATAAAAAATACAGATGAGGGAAGATTGCTCAACGAAAAGTGGACAGATGACTACTTTTTTGTCAAGGCAAATAGTAAGGCACTCTGCTTGATTTGTAGGGAATTTGTGCCAGTTTCAAAGACTATAATTTGAAAAGGCATTATATGCAAAGACGTGCTGCCAAATTTGGTGCGTATCAAGGAATGTGTCGTAAGGACAAAAATAGCAGAACTGAAAAAATGTCTGTCTTCACAAAAAAAATTTTTTTTAAAGTTGCAACTCAAACAGTCTATTGTAAAAGCTAGTTATATGATAGCAAATTTAATAGCAAAAAGCAAAACTATTTACAGATGGTGAGTTTATTAAGCAACGTATGGGAGGCATGGCATATATCATTTGCCCTGATAAAAAAGAAGATATCTCTAAAATCAGTTTGTCTTGCCGGAATATAGCCAGGTGAATTGGAGAAATTGGAAAGTCTATGAAAAGAGCGTAAAACTGCTAATTTTAAATTTTGTGCTTTGGCGATGGATGAAAGCACTGATGCTACACATATGGCACAACTTGCCATTTTTATTAGAGGCATTGATGACGAATAGAATGTCATCATTATATAAAGCCATATAATGAAGAAATAATAAACCCATATAATGAAGAAATGGCTTTTTTAGTGCCATTAAAAAACAGAGTAAATCAAGAGATTTATACGAAGTAGTAAAAGATGCATTAAAGCAATTTTCTTTGTGCGTTGTGAACATACCTGGTATAGTTACTGATGATGCCCCTGCGATGGTACGTAAAAGAGAGGGAGTTGTAAAATTAATAGAAAATGATGCAGTTGCCGCCTGAAACTCACTTTTGATGATGTGTCATTGTATAGTACATCAAGAAAATTTATGCACAAAAGCTTTAAAAATGGATAACATCATGCAAATTGTCATCAAGGCTGTGAATTTCATAGGGGCCAAGAGATTGAATCATTGCCAATTCCAGGAATTCCTTAAAAGTATGGATGCTGACTATAGCAACATCATTTACTTTTCGGAAGTAAAGTCGAGACAGATGTTGAAAAGATTTTATGATTTGCGACATGAAATCGAGTTATTTATGGTATCAAAAACAAAATTTGTGCCAGAACTTGATGACGAAAACTGGCTTACAGATTTAGCATTTTTAGTGGATTTGACCACTCATTTAAATGAGTTAAACATGAATCTTCAAGGTGAAAACCAACTTCTCAATACAATGTTTCAAACCATAACAGTGTTCCAAATACAATTGAAATTATGGCAAGCTAAAATTAAGGCAAACAGTTTTACGGATTTCAACACATTTGCTAAACACGGGCTTGTCAACAGCAAAAAGTATTCTGCCTTGCTTTTTGATTTGATAAAGGAATTTGAAAACAGGTTTTAAGATTTCTGGAAAAATAATCAATATTTTGGTATAGTTGCAACTCCATTTTCAGCCAACATAAATATGTTACCTGCGAATGCATACAGCTGCAATGTGACATTCAACTTAAAGAAAAATCTCATCAGGCTTCTTTCCTGGACTTTGTAAGACCTATCTTCCCAGAGACAAATATCCCTCGCTTCACAGTCATGCCTTACTCATGTCGTCGGTTTTTGGCAGCACCATAGTGTGTTTGTGGTGTATGCTGTGTGTGTGTGTGTGGTGTGCGTTTGTGAGCAACTGTTTTCAAGGATGAAGCACACGAAGAGTAAAATTAGAACCAAAATATCTGAGGAGCACCTTGAGAACTCGCTGAGAATTGCAACTACTTCCATCGAACCAGATATTGATGCATTAGTTTCTCAAAAACAATGTCAAATATCCCACTAGTTTTATGTTGTCCTCTTTTACTTTTATAATAAAAATTATCAAAAAATTAATGACGTTTTATTACTTAGATACGTACATTTTCTATGTCAGTGATTGCAAAGTTGGGACCTGCTTGACGATTTTAAAAGACCCTCTGAAAGGGGCAGCACATGGTTAGATTATGATGTGAGGACTGTTTTGCTCATCTGTGGTGGCGGATATCACGAAAATTATGCAAGGACCTTTTTTTTTTTTTAAGCTCATCAGCTATTGTTAATGTTTGTGTATTTTATGTGTCGTACAAGACAATTCTTCTTCCAGTGTGGCCCAAGGAAGCCGAAAGATTGGACACCCCTTCTTTAAAATAGCAATGCAAGGATGGACTGACATAGGCAGCGAGCCCCTTTTGCTGGGTAACATTGTTATGGACTGAATTGTGTCCCCCCCAAATACGTATGTTGAGTTTTTAACCCTTCATGTGACTGTATTGGAGATGGGGCCTGTAAGGAGGTTATAAAGTTAAATAAGTTCATAAAGGCGGGGCCCTGATCCGACAGGATTGGTGCCCTTCTAAGAAGAGGAGGAGACGGGAGGTCTTTGTCTCTGTGTGTGCCTCTCCGTGTGCTCACAAAGGAAAGGCCATGGGAGGACGCAGCAGCAAGGCAGCCCGCCTGCAAGCTGGGAAGAGGTTGTCACCGGAACCAGCCTGATGGCACCTGGGGCTCGGACTTCCCGCTCCCAGAACTGTGAGAAAATACACTTGTGTGGGTCAGCCTCCCAGGCTGGGGCACTTGGTCATGGTAGGCCGAGCTGTCTAATCCACCTCTCTTTCAGGACCCACCGAATCCCGAAAAATAGAGCTCTTCCTTCCTCTGCTCGTACTGGGGAAACTACCAGCTATTTTCTGGTTCATCTTATAAAACCCAGCAAGTCCACTGACTGCAAACTTCTACCCTAGTGAGCAGAATACAGAACTTCAGCTTTCACGCCTGCACACACTCCACACACAGCATAACCTACACACACTGCACACCACACACCACGCACAGCACACACCACACGCGCTGCACACCACACACACTGCACACCACGCTCCAGACATACTGCACACCACACACTGCACGCTACACAAACACACCACACACGCACTGCACACCACACACAGCACACACCACACACACTGCACACCCCACATGCTGCACACCCCACACCACACACACCACACACCACACACCACACACACTGAACGCCACACACAGCACACACGACACACCACACACAGCACACACCACACACTGCACACCACACACAGCACACACGACACACACTGCACACCACACCACACACCACACACTGCACACCACACACAGCACACACTGCACACAGCACACACTGCACACCACACACCACACACAGCACACACACTGCACACCACACACCACACACACTGCATACCACACACAGCACACACCACACATACTGCACACCACACCACACGCACTGCACACCACATGCACACCGCACACCACACACAGCACACACCATACACACAGAACACACTGCACACTGCACACCACACACACTGCACACCACACACTGCACACTGTACACACACTGCATACCACACACCAAACTGCACACTGCACACACACTACATACAGCACTGCACGCCACACACCACACACTGCACACTACACAACACACACTGCACACTACACACACCACACACACTGCACACCACACACACACTGCACACCACACAGCACACACCACACACTAAACTGCACACTACACATACACTACATACAGCACTGCACACCACACACTGCACACCACACACCACACACACTGCACATTACACACACCACACACACTGGACACTACACACGCACACTGCACACCACACACCACAGCACACACCACACACCAAACTGCACACTACACACACACTACACACACTACATACAGCACTGCACACCACACACACTGCACACTACACATGCACACTGCACACACCACACACAGCACACACCACACACCAAACTGCACACTACACACCACACACCAAACTGCACACTACACACACATTACATACAACACTGCACACCACACACCACACACACTGCACGCCACACAGCACACACCGCACTCACTGCACACTACACAAACACACCACACACACTGTATGCCACACACAGCACACACCACACACCACACACAGAACACACCACACACACTGCACACCACACACACTGCAAACCACACACCACACACACTACACTACACAAACACACCACACACACTGCACACCACACACAGCACACACACTGCACACCACACACCACAGACACTGCATACCACACACAGCACACACCACACATACTGCACACCACACCACACGCACTGCACACTACACATGCACACTGCACACCACACACCATACACTACACACAGAACACACTGCACACTACACATACCACACACACAGCACACCACACACTGCGCACTGCACACTATACACGCACACTGCACACCACACACCACACAGCACACACCAAACTGCACACACACTACATACAGCACTGCACACCACACACCACACACACTGTACACTACACATGCACACTGCACACCACACACCACATACAGCACACAACACACCACACACTGCACACTACACATGCACACTGCACACCACAAAGCACACACCACACACCAAACTGTACACTACACACACACTACATACAGCACTGCACACCATACACCACACACTGCACACCACACACCACACACACTGGACACTACACACACCACACACACTGCACACCACACATCACATACAGCACACACCACACACTGCACAGTATACACACACACTGCACACCACACACACACCACAGACTGCACACCACACACAGCACACACCACACACACAAACCACACACTGCACACCACACACACACCACAGCACACACACTGCACACCACACAGCACACAGCACACACACTGCACACTACACACACATCACACCACACACACACCACACACACCCCCCCTCCACACACATATCACACCCCATGCACACACCTCCACGTACCCATTCCTCACAAGCACATCCAACCCCTCGCATGTATTCCCACACTGTTTGGGACGCGATCATGGATATGACCAAGTGCTTCCTTCCATTGTTTGAGTCCAGGTGCAGGGAGTGGACAGACGGGGAGTGGACGGATGCTCAGGGAAGGCCCCCTGCAGCCTCCTCAGCCCCACCTATGTGCTCATTCTTCCTGCGCAGGAGGCACTGGGGGCGGCCTTGGCAAGGTCCAGGGAGGCTGAGCACCTGAGAAGATTCCTCCTGGGGCTCGGACCACGTTCCTTCCTTCAGTCGATCGTGTAGGGGGTTGAATCGTGGCCCCCACGGGGGTATGTTGAAGTCCTAGCCCAAGTTACCCGTGAGTGTGACCTTATTTGGGAATAGGGTCTTGGCAGATGTAAGTAAGTTAAGCTAGAGTCATGCCGGAGTAGGTTGGGCCATAAGTCCAGTGTCTGTGTCCTTAAAAGGGAAAGGAGAGGGAGACCTGGAGACACAAAGGAAGAGCCACTGTGAGGATGAGGCCGAAGTTGGTATCCCGAGGGCTGCTGGCAGCCCTCAGACGTCGGAGCTGCTGGAGTGGGCTCTCCCTCAGGGCCTCCGGGAGGAAGCAGGCCTGCTGACACCTGGGTTTTGGATCTGGCCTCCAGAACTGTGAGAGGATGTTGTTTGGAGCCCCTTGGTGTGTGGCAACCTGTAATGGCAGTTCCAGGAAGCTGGCACAACCCCATGCGCACCTCCTGAGCGCCAGCCACAGTGGAAGGCTTTGGGCAAAAGGGACAGCCCTGATCCTGCCCTCCTGGGATGTTCCCTCCAGGGACCCAGAGAGAGATAAGGAGATGTAATGTGCAGGTGTCTTGCTGGGCTGTCCTGTAGGCCCCTGAGCAGGGCTCGGTCCTGGGCTGGGGATTCTGGCTCCCTTGGTGAAATGTCAGTGTCCTGGGGCCTACAGCCCTCATGAGGAGGCTGGGCCTCATCAAGGAGGTACCTTTGGATGCAGGAATTTTTCCAGAACAGTCTAGGGGGCCAGGGATGGGAAGGGTAGACAGATGGCTCCCTGCACAGAGGCTCTTGGCGTACGGTTCAGGTTGAATGCTAGCATCCTGCACATGGGCTGAGTCAACTCAGAGGACAGGGGCGCCTCGTACACTCCAGGTGGCTGGTTTCTGTTTGGAGGGGCCTCCCTCCCCGCCGCTGCTTGGTCCAAAAGTTGCTTCTAATTGGCTGCACCCTTGGCCTACATGGCACAGGCCTGAGGTGGAGTCCACATTCTTACCAAGTGTCTAGAATTATGGAAAGGTGAGAGAGGCCGCACTTTGACCACAGTTTGAGGGTTACTGGCTCTGGCCATCGTCAGTCTTGACAAACTTCTCCTTCCTGCCAACTCCCTCCCTCCCTCTGGGGCCCAAAGGCCGCCTCTCAGAAAGCCCTGGAGAAAGGCAGTGACCCAGGCAGTTGTTCCTCCTGGGCGCCCTTGGCCCACGTGGCTCCTGTCACAGCCTCGCACCAGTCAGCCTCCAGATGTTTCCCAAAGAATATGGACCCGGGAGAGTATGGATGCCCACTGCACTAATGCCCCCTTGGCGGGACCTGCCTGCTGATACATTGCCTGCAGCATTTTGTAGGAAGATTTGAAATGGGGAATTCTTCTGTCCCAGGGTTGACCCCCATCTGAAGGGGGGGTGCAGGTGTGACGCCCATTCCAGCGGCTGATCCAGCCATGGGAACTGGGTAGATGCTGGAGCCCCGGAAGGCCCTCAGATTCAAAGGGGTGTGAATAAATGAAAGAATGAATGAATGACTGGTGGGTGGGGAATAAATCAAATCAGTTTTTTCTTCATGACTTTGACCGCGATGCCTGGGGTCCTCACAGACTTGAGCTTAGCCCCTTCACTGCATTTTTCCAGCCTGGAGGAAGTTGCTTGCTTTGAAGGAAGTTCTCTAAATGTCTCAGTCCCCTCCATATGCACAAGGAGATTTTAAAAACATAGGGTCTTGTGGGACCGAAAATGAAGTGCTGTGATGTGCTCAGGCGCTCAGAGCTGTGCTCTCTGCAGGGGGCTGGCTGGGCTCCCCGCATCCACAGGAAATAGGAACGACCAGCTCTGGGATTCCTGAGCCCTTTTTCTTTTGGGCAAGATTTTTCTCCATCTTCTGCCTCCTCCTCTCTCTGCAGTGACCTACTCTGTTTGTAGTTGGATGGGCATCTCTGTGCCAAGCCTTGCTCTAGACACTGTGGTTGTGGCAGGGCCCTCACAGACTGCTGGAGACCCTGAGGTGGAAAATGTGCCCCTACGCTGTGTCTGACGTCCGGGCTCTAATGCCATGCTTCTGCAGGAGGATGAGAGTCCCTCAACCTGCCGGGCCACCCCAAGCTTACACTGGGGCCTGGATGGTTCTTTGGCCTGTTAGGAGAGGGAGCATGAGAGCCCCCCAGCTGCTCCAGGGCCTCCCCAAGGAATCTGCGGGGTGAAGGCCGAGCTCAGGGGTACCTCGGGCCACCACAGTGAGCCTGCCGGAGCGGAGACGGTCCTGCTCAGCCTGGGCTTGCAGACCTCCACGTGGAGCTAAAGTCCTCTCTGACGCCCGCCTTCCCTGTGCATTGGGCATGGCGGGGGCTCGTCATTGCCTTGAGCTCTGGTCCATTGCACATCTGCCCAGTCGAAGCTCCTTGGCTGCATTCTGGGATATTTATTCATTTGTACCTCTTGGAAGTTGGCTTTTGTGGCACGTGTGTGTGCAGGTACCGCTCTGATAAAGAAAACAAAAGGTAGATGTGAAGAAATGAAAATGGCTGGACACAGACAATTGTTTAAATGCTTCTACAGCAGTGGTTCTCAAGCCCTCTCAGTCCTATTTCCCTCTGCAGCCTCAGGTTCCCCTGCAGGCCCAGGATTCTGAGCAGGGTGAGACCTTGCTGTAGAGGGGGCAGGAAGGGATCACCTGGCCCACTGGAGGAGGCCAGTCCTGGATGAATGAGTGGGCAGCACATGTGACCTCTCAGCAAGTGACAATGGGGGCAGCCAGAGGAAGTGCTTCTACACTGACAGAGCTCAGCCACTCTGGGACCTCATAAACCAGCTCTGAGTAGAGGGGGCCTGCAAGACCATCCTCATGCTCAATGATTTACCAGAAAGGCTCACAGGACTTGGGAAAAGCTGGATGCTCACAGTTACTGTTTATTACAATGAAAAGATACAGATTTAAATCAGCAAGGGGAAAAGGTGCATGGGGTGAAGTCCAGGAGAAACCAGGCTCAAGCTTCCAGGTGTGCTATCCCAGCACACTGGGGTCATACAGAGGGGTCCGCTGTTCCACGCCATATTCCCGCTGTCATCCCCCGCCTCTGAAATCTTGTCTTCAGACCTGTTATCAAACCAGGGATGCTTCAAGATTTAGCATCCTCTCTCAGCTCACCTATTAAAAATTCAGATTCATTTTGTCCCCATGGCCCCTATTTTTTAAAATTTTATTTTGGAGACAGGGTCTGGCTCTGTCACGCTGGCTGGAATGCAATGGCACAATCATGGTTCACTGCAGCCTAGAACTTCTGAGCTCAAGACATCTTCCTGCCTCAGCCTCCAGAGCAGCTGGGAGTATAGGCATGCACCACCACACCTAACTAATTTAAAAAATGTTTTTGTATAGACAGGGTTTTGCTGCATTGCCCAGGCTGGTCCTGAACTCCTGGGCTCAAGCAATTCTCCCACCTTGGCTTCCCAGAGTGCTGGGATTACAGGCATGAGCCACTGTGCCTGGCCTATTTTAAAAGAGAATTTGATGTCTGAACAGCAGATTCTTTGAAACTGATCCCGCCTTACCCCTATTCCCATAGGGGAAGAGTGGGAGTTCAGAAATCACCTCTCTGATGCAAGGTAGCCATCTTGTTTTGTACACAAGCCAGCTGGTGGCTGGGGAAGCACTGACTGGGCTCGCCCAAGATCCTGTACCCTTTCCCTTCCCCTTCAGCTACTCGCTTCCCAAGACCCCTCTCCATACAATTACTCGGAATCCCTTTAGGACATCCATGCCTCACATGTCCTCCTTCCTACTCATGACTATGGGGCACTGACTCTTCCTTATTCTCACGTTCTTGTTCTTCATTTGGACTATGATTCTGCTTCCCACTGCAATGGTGCCTGCACAGGGAACTCTCAGACTGACCATACTCTGAGCCCATACCTTGGCCTCAGCTTAGGGGCCCATGAATCCATGATATCAGGATAGCCTCAGTGAGGCCAGCGAGAAGCTAATAGTAGTGACTGGCTAATACAAAACTTAGGCAGGTGGAGATGACTCTTTTACATGGTTCCCCAGTCATTCACCAGACAGACTCAGCCTCTTGGATTCAGGGGGCAATTTCAGGCTGCCCTAGTTTCTTGTTTCCCAGGTGATGTTCAGCAAGAGGCATATGGCTTTCCCCCTGATTTGAAGAGGTGGTACAAAGCCCTCTGCCAGGAAAAGGGATTCTACCCAGCAATGTGGGCTCTGCTTCCTCTGGTGGAGAGGGGCCTCATGAGCCCCTAGGATGGAGATTTTGACCCTTAGTAGTATGTGAGTGGGGCCACTGTTGTCCTGGCGCTGGATGCCGAGTTCAGACACGGTTGAACAGCTTTCTCTCTGCTAAACTGAATGAAGGGTAGAAGCCTTACTTCTCTGTATTTTCCTTTACCACTCTCCATTTTCGATATAATTGCTTTAAAGTATTTCCTTCAAATCTATTTAGAACCATATTATGCAGTGTTATAATTTCGTTTCAATGATGAAACATAATTTATAAAACTCAGGAGAAGAAGGAAAGCCTATTGTATTTATTCATATATTTTCTTATGTGTGTTTTTCTTCCTTCCTGATGTTCTCAGTTTCCTTCTTTTATTATTTTCTTTCTGATTAGAGCATTTTCTTTAGCCATTCTTCTAGGTAGGTCTGCTGATGACATATTCTCCTTATTTTCAATTTTTCCTTCCTTCCTGAAGGATAGTTTCCCTGAGTATCGGATTCTGGGCAGACAGTTTGATTTTTTCCCCCATCACTTGAAAAATATTTTGCTACTTCCTTCTGGCCTCCTTGGTTTCTGGCAAGAAATCTGTTACAATTTTAATTGTCTTTTTTTCCCTATAGTAAGATGTTATTTTTCTTCTGTTATTTTCAAGATTTTTTTTCTTTGTCCTTAGTTTTCAGAACTATGATGTATCTTGGCATGTATTTCTTTGGGTTTATCCAGTTAGAGGTTTTCTCAGTTTCTTGAATCTGTTGGTTTATGTGTTTTTCCAAATTGGGGGTGTTTTTGGCCATTATATTTTCAAAAAATATGAATGTTTAGCCTCTCCCTTTTTCTCTTCTCCCTCCAGGACGTCAGTGACATGAATAGGAGGTCTTTTGTTATTGTTCCACAGGCCCCTGAGACTCTGCCTCTCTGTCTGTCTCTTTTCAGTTCATTTTCTCTCCACTGTTTAACGTGGGTGATTTCTGTTGTGCTGTCTTTCTGTTCACTGACCTTTTTCTCTGGCTTCTCCCTTCTGCTGTTGAGTTTACCCACTGAGCTTTATATTGTAGTTATTACTTTTTAATTCATTAATTTCCATTTAGAAGGTATATTCTGTTTCTTTGCTGAAGCTTTCAATTTCCGTCTGTTTCAGTCATGTTTGTAATTGCTCCTTGAAGCATTTTTATCATGGTTGCTTTAAAATCTTTGTCAATTCTAGCATCTCTGCTGCCTCAGAGTCTGCATCTACAGGCTGTCTTTTCCCGTTTAGTTTGAGATCTTCCTGGTTCTTGGTATGATGAGGGATTTTTACTTGCAATCTGGACAGTTTCATTTTATGCTATGAGGGTCTGGATCTTATCTAACCCTTCTTCTTAGCTGGCCCTTTTTGACACTGCCCTGGCACCATTGATACTAGGGTGGGGGTGGCCTTGTTTTCCCCGGGTTGTGGTAAAGATCTCCCCTTCCTGGTTGGGGAGGGAGAGCTGTGCCTTTTTAAAGCTTCTTGAGGGTGGAAGCCTGGGGCTCCCCACTCGGCCCTTGCTCTCAGTATGAGGTGGGTCCACAGTCTTCCCTGCAGCGTTTGGCTGGAGAGCAGTTATCGTCTCAGTTTTCTGCCCTGTGAGGCTGCACCTTTCTTGATTCTTTGGCTAAAGAGAGCAAGCTTTTGTTGGAGTTCTTGTGTTCTGTGCCTGATGATATTTCTGGGTGGCAGACTTCTTTATCTCTAAGTCTGGGATATATAAGACAAAAAGAAAAGCCAGGGAACCCACCCTTGTGTCCTTCCTTGGATCCTAAGGTTCCTAGCTGGTCCACCACCTTCACTCTACCTTTCGGAGCCCTCCCCTCCCCTCCCCTCCCTTCCCTTCTTCTTTTTCTTTTTCTTCTTTTCCTGAGATGGGTTCTTGCTGTGTCACCTAGGCTGGAGTGCAGTGGCATGATCATAGCTCACTGTAGCCTGGAACTCCTGGGCTCAAGTGATCCTCCTGCCTCAGTTCCTAAGTAACTCAGACTACAGGAGTGCACCACCATGCCTGGCTAATTTTTTATTGTTATTTGTAAAGATGGGGTCTTGCTGTGTTGCCCAGGGGGTCTCGAACTCCTGGGCTCAGGCGATCCTCCTGCCTCACCCTCCCAAAGTACTGGGATTCCAGGCATGAGCCACCGCACCCTACCCAGGGTGTTATCATGTTTGGTTTATATATAACGTCCAGGGCTTTTAGTTGTACTTAGCAGAGGAAAACGGAAAGTAGGTCTGCTTCACCTTCCTGGAAGCTAATATCCACATACATTTCCTTGATAATCAGAAAAATTAAAATGCAATCGTGTTTCACCAAGTGCTACAGAGTAGTTAGGTTGAAGAAATTAGAGAATAAGCAGAAGGCTGCCTTAAAGCTGAAATGCATCTGAGCAAGGACTCAACGGGCCAGTGGCAACAGTTCTGAACCACAGCACAGCTCTTTTGCTTATAAACCTCTATGTAAATATTTTGGCCGGAATTTCCCATGCAGCTTTGTATGTTTCCATTCATTCAGCCCTAGGAGGGCTGATGCGAGGAAAGGAACAGAACAATCGCAACCCTGTGTATTTCACACAATTAATACCCGAGAAATGGAACCTGCGTGTCCCCCTTCGTATTTGGCTCTGGCTTTGAGCTGGTCCAGTGACTGTTTTTCGTACCAGAAGTCCCTCCCAGAAGGTCTGCTTAAGTGTTCAAGCAGATAGGGAAAGCGCAGGAGGTGAGCGTGCAGGTGGGCGAGGTGCAGGCTCTGCTCTCCCGGCAGCCCGTGCAGGCCACAGGCTTCCTGTCTCTGCTCATCTAACCTGAACCATCCTAGGAAGGGAGGCAGCGATGAGGTTTCCTGACTCAGAAGGAAGCTGAAAACGACCTTAGCCCTTTTTATTGCACTTCCTTTTCTGGGCCGCACAGGAGGGAGGCTGGGTCAGTGTATTCTGAAGATGAAATGTGGAGGTGGCAAGACCTGCGGAGTCCCCGAACCCTTGGCCCTCTCTCCGCACGCCTGCGTTTCTGCTCCTGTGTGCTTGTCTGTCTGTGACACAGGCCGCGGCCGCATGGCTGAAGAGAGGGGATCCCTATTTGCTCTCCTGTCATTATTGCTGTCACAAAGACCATCCATGCCATTTGCCTCTGGGGAACAATGATGTCGTTTGGGTTCCTGGATGCCCTCACGCCATTCATTCACGCATCAAACATGTGCGAGGTGCTGACTCGCAGACAAACTCCGCGTGCTCAGCATGCTGCTCTCACAAGATTCTCGGCTCTTCTCTGTCCCTCTAGTGACATTCTCATGGGAAAACATACAATTGCCCACCTCATATTCACAGAGAGGGTCTTTTCCATTGCCTGGCGGTCAAAGGGAGGCAGAGACTGTGATGACACAGAAAGGCCAGGCAAGCCCTTCCCCACACTGGGCCACTCCAGGGAACACTGGTTTTGATTCATGCATGGCAGAGTCTCCACACCCCAGGTCATTGTCCTACCACCTTTTTCAAAACTGGGGGAAAAATATGTGCCTGGATATTACCCCTACCACATATCCGCACAAATCAAGGAACCGGGTTCTATTTTGCCTGCATGTCCATGTCCGCTTCCTCCTCCTCGGCGTCTTCCTCCTTTCCCTGCTCCAAGCTGAGCAAAA
This sequence comes from Homo sapiens, assembly GCF_000001405.40. Taxonomy (NCBI): domain Eukaryota; kingdom Metazoa; phylum Chordata; class Mammalia; order Primates; family Hominidae; genus Homo; species Homo sapiens. Next base: position 238,495,244 of record NC_000002.12, read on the forward strand.
GCAGATGAGTATTACGTACCAGTTTCTTCCATTCTGCTTCCACCGATGTTACTAAAAAAACAATAAAATAGAGGAAAAAAGGGAATCACCCTCAAACCGCAGCTGTAATCTGATTCTGCCACTAGGCAGCTGTACTGGCTTGGGAAAGCCAGCCGCCCTTTCTGAACCTCAGTTTCCTAATTGTTACGATTAAAGGGCTGGACCTTCCAGGCAGCCCATCCTAAGGGCTCTCACGCTGGGCATCAGTCCAGATCTTGTTCTTCTCACCAGGACTCGGACTGAGCGCTTGGAAGACCCTTTCTTGTGCATAGAATATCTTTCAATCACTCAGATTCTCTTCATGCAGGTTTTAAGAACATCGCTCTCCACTGCTCCTAAGAGAGGTGGTGGGCGTCAGTCTGTGCAATTTGGTGTAAGTAGCCAAGCGTCTACTTGGAGGACGGTGTCTGGATGGAAGGTGCTGGAGCTGATGCCTCGGGCCTTTTCTTAGCACTGGTTCCTTGCAGAGAACTTCTCTTCTCCACTGATGTATCTCATTCCTGGGGCAATCTGAGCTTACTTAGCAAGGAGGACGTTCAAGGAAGACGAAGTTTTTTTTTTTTTATACTTTAAGTTCTAGGGTACATAGATTCATAGTAAATTCCTGACTTGAGAGACATATTTCTTTTTCAAAAACTAACTAAACATTTGGACTTTTATTCTGTGGGTGAATGGGAGCTCACAGGATGGTATAACCCCCAAAGCGCCAGGACCTGTTAACCTAAATAACAGACAGAGACTCTGAAAGAAAGTGGACTGTATCTCAGAATGGAGCACTGCAGTGGGAGCACATGTGCCAGAGTAAGCCATGTGCGCACTCAGGGAGGGAAAAGACACTGGTTACTAAAACTAGGAGGATTATGTCATTGTTTTGGGGTAATTATCCGTGGCTACAGAGATCAGTCACAAGGGTGATGCCAGTCCAAGGCTGGGCAGACAGTTGTAGGCAGATGTCCTCGCATAATTATTTTTTTGTGCCACAGCCTTTGTGCAAGGTGGTGGGTTTCTTTCTTTTTTTTTTTTGAGACAGAGTCTCACTCTGTCACCCAGGCTGGAGTGCAGTGGTGTGATCTTGGCTTACTGTAACCTCCACCTCCGGGGTTCAAGTGATTCTCTTGTCTCAGCCTCCCAAGTAGCTGGGATTACAGGCGTGCACCACCATGCCTGGCTAAGTTTTTGTATTTTTAGTAAAGACGGTTTCGCCATGTTGGCCAGGCTGGTCTTGAAATCCTGACCTCAAGTGATCCACCTTCTTGAGCCTCCCAAACTGCTGGGATTACAGGTGTGAGCCACCGCGCCCGGCCTGGGTGGTGGTTTTCACAGTCTTTTGTGATAGTTTCTGTTATCAGGCATTGTGCAGGAGAAGCCTCTCTCCATGCCCTTCCCTGGCTCTATTTGTCAGGGTTTCTTTAAACACAAGCAACTCCATTTTGCTTCTGACAACTTTCACGGTGCCTCACCATGGACATAGGTCTCTATGAGGACCCTTTGGGGAGGAGGCTCTGAAAAGGAGCGAGAGATGGGGAGAGGCTGCCACAGTCGTGGTGAGATGCTGGGTTTGGGTTAGGGCAGGGCAAGGAGGGCTGGGCGGGGGATCCCGGAAATACATAGGAGCTAAGTGAGCAGGGCTGGAGACCGGCTGGCTGAGGGTTGAGAGGCGCTGAAGATGAGAAGGTTCTGGACTGGACGGCAAAGCAGACAGAAGAGTGGGTGTTGCTGAGGACCAGATTTAGGGGGTGATGGAGGATGGCGTGCGGGTCCTGCTGTGATGCCCGTGGGACATCTGGGTGCCTCTGCTCCAGAGGACCAGGCTGGTTCTGAACAGTGGGGGGCAGTGAGGCTAGCGTGTGGATTTTTTTGTGTGGCATCGAGAACCGGGTGAGCTTATTGACCTGTGTGGGCTCGCTGGCATCTTGGGAACAGGTGAGTTGCTTCTCCACGCAGCTGGAAGGAAGAGGGTGTCAAGGAGGTGGCAGATCCCACGTGCTTCCCTTCCTGGCACCATAACCACCAACATCCCACAGAAAGGCAGAGGCATTTACGGAGAGAAGGAGGCAGTGAGCCTGTCCCCACCCTTCCCCTGACTCTCCGAGGGTCTCATGTGGCCATCGGTCCGGAGTAGACTCCTGGCTTCTTGTGAGGGTGGTGCTGGCCCAGGCACCCTGGAGGCAGCTGGTACCCTGATGGGTGAGGACCGCAGATTTGGAGAGCTGTCACTACCTGTCCAGGCGGGAGAAGCCACAGCCCGGGCAGGGTTTGAAATACCTGCTGACTTCAGCCTGTCCTGTAAGCTCATGATAATGTGCCCACCCCAATCCAGTTTAATATCCCCTCAAAAACACTCCTCAGGATCCCAGGGGGCTCAACTATGGACATCAACGAGCTCCCTGGAGAGAGCACGCAGGGAGTGGGTGGACCCTGGGGACACTGCCACTTAGGTAGCTTCACTCAGAAGACAAGAGGTTGGAGGAGAAGGCAGCAGAGGCAGACACAGCGAGAGGGCTGAGACCCTGAGTGGGCTAGGGGAGAGACCCAGGATGGGGCCGCATGGAGATGGGAAGGGGAGTGGATGGAGCTTAGGGAGACTGGCGAGTGTGGGTGGAGGCCTGCGACAGAAAAGCCCCTCAGCCTCTGAGACACAGGCACCTTTGCACATGGGGATGTGGGGACATGGGCCACATGGGGCTGGCTCTCACTGTCCGTCTTCCAGGCTGTGAAGGACAGTGAAAGTCTGGGCCTGCAGGGAGCTTGTATTTTAGTGGAAGGACAGAGGCTTCATGAAAAATAAGTGAAGATTGACTATCAGATGGGGTTAAGAGCTAGGAAGCAGGGTACGGGGTAGAGATGGAGCGAGTGGGGTGCTGAATGGAGGCCTGGTGGAGGAAGTCCCTCCGAGCCCTGCCCTCAGGGAGGGGTGGTCCTACAGAGGCCTGGGCAATTCCAGGCTAGGCCAAGTCCTCAAGGGGCCACGCGGGAGGGGGTTCCAGCGGAGGCTCCTGTTTCTCTGATGAAGGGGAGGCAGGGGGTTGGGGAGGAACTTGGCAGCATGGGGACTGGGGGAAAGGTGGGTCCCTAAGGGCACCAGGAGAGGGGCCGATCAAGGAGGTCTCGGGACTGTTCCAGGGAGGAGGCCAGCTGGACACGAGGCCTGCGATCCAGGCTCCCTGAGGCCACTCTTCACTTCAGGGAGTTTCTGACCTTCTGGACCCAGTTACCAGCAGGGGCAGGTGCTCTGTGCCGAGCTGGGGGGTGAATATGGAGCTGAGTGTGGCCAGGATGATCTAGGGCAATGGTGGACACTGCACATAAATGCAGGCCACGTCTGTTAAGGGCACCTGCTGTGACTTCTTGCTGTGTCTATGCTGCATTAAAACAGTAAAAAGAAACCGGGGCCATCCACTCTAACAATGTGTTTTATTAAACCCTCTGTTTAAAAACCCTCTGTGACAGCTTCCTTGTCTCATGTGCCTGGTGGCCTCCCATGGCTGGCGGCCGCCGTGTGGGATGTGCAGGTCCGAGGGTGAGATGGGGCTGGGCGAGGGGCAGTGATGCTCAGGTGGCTCCTGGGAGGGTGTGGTCCTGATGAAGAGAAGCAAGGCCAGCCTCTTTCGGGCAGGCCCCCCTCCCTCCGAGAGTTGGAGGGCACTGTGTTCCAGATGGATGAGCGGCCTCCTCCTGGGCGAGCTAGCTATGGGGCCGTGTTTCCTGGAATAAGCCCTCGTCTCTGGGGAGAGTGGCAGAACTCGAGGGAGCCACCTCAGCCTCCCCAGAGCCCACAGCCACACAGGAAGCCCCTTCCCACTGGGCTCTGGGCTCCTGCACGAGGGTTCTTGCCTCAGGAAGAAAGCGGGTCTCCCTTCGCTCCTGTGGGGCAGAGAGACGGGGCTGTGAGAAGTGAGTTGTGGAGGTGGGTGAGGCTGGAGGCCCAGGCAGCTCTAGGGGCGTAAGCTCCATGCCCCCTAGATAAAGAAACCTGGACACTTCCTGTAAGTCTCTCTGACTCCTGCAATGCTGGGTGTAGGAATACTTGCTTTGACTGTCCAGGTAGGAGAATCATGTTAAAAATGGCCATTTTTCTACCAAAAAGCAGGAACAGACCTGCTGTAAACGTGATAGCTGTGGGATCTTGTCTGTGTCTCATTTTTTTTTTTTTTTTTGAGACAGAGTCTCGTTCTGTTGCCCAGGCTGGAGTGCAGTGGTGCCATCTCGGCTCACTGCAACCTCCACCTCCTGGGTTCAAGCGATTCTCCTGCCTCAGCCTCCTGAGTAGCCAGGATTACAGGCGCCCACCAGGACCGGCTAATTTTTGTATTTTTAGTAGAGATGGGGTTTCACCATGTTGACCAGGCTGGTCTTGAACTCCTGACCTCGTGATCTGCCCGCCTCGGCCTCCCAAAGTGCTGGGATTACAGGCGTGAGCCATTGTGCCCGGCCTATGTCTTATCTTTAAATACCTGGTGTATGTTTCCTGGTGAGCCGTCTTTCTCCAGCTTGACCCTCCTGCAAACCTTACTTGTGAGTAAGATTCCTTTTCTCGGTGCGTGGTCTGTGTCCTCCTTTGACATCATTAGGGGATGAGCAAGGCGGAAGCAGCCCAGCCCAATGGTGCCATTGGCACAGCCAGGACACACTGAGGGGACCTGACCACACGCATGTGCCCAGTCCTGGGACCCGGTACAGGGGTGGCCTCCTTTCCTTCCTGTGGAATGGGGGTCCTGCAGTGCCATCCATAATGGCTGCTTTCTGTGACTGTGGAAGGTTGGCCACTTAGAACAGAGGAAAAGAGGTTTGATGCCAGGATGCAGCCGCTGCAGCCAGGCTCACTATAGGGACCCCCAGGCCGGCTCCCCTGGGGCGAGGACTGTGGCTGGAGGGCCAGGCTGGGAGGTAGGAGTCATCCTCCAGCAGCCCCTGGGGCACAGTGAATGGACCGTTTGTGTTTTATGAACAGCCCAGTATCACAGGAATGCAGCCCAGCCCCACTTTGGGGGCAAGAAGGAGCTGAGAGCTGAGAAATCATAATAAAACACCCCTCCCGGGAAGCACTCGCATGAATCACGGTTCAGGTAATAATAACCCTTTTGGCAAAAGCGTTTTCTCTGCCCCAAGCCACAGTATGTGCAGTCGCACAAAGGGCCCTGTGACCGGGCGGCTGTGCCGCCAAGTGCATGCTCTTGCGGTTCTTGAATTCTGCTCTTTTCACAGGGCTGGGGCTGGCGAGGAATTTAGAGGACTCCAAAGCTTCATGAAATAATACTCCGGGGCTGCATTTATGTAACAGATACATATAGTTATTGGGGTCCTAGTCAGAGCAAAATAAACTTTAAAAATCTTTATATTAATCTCATTTGTAGTTTCATATTAAGTGATTTCTCTTTTTTTTGACTAAGGGAATGGAAACTACCCTGCAGAATGCGATGTTGGCAGCCTGAGTGGGTTTAGGGTATTGAAAGAGCTAGGCCGGGCGCGGTGGCTCACGCCTGTAATCCCAGCACTTTGGGAGGCCGAGGCGGGCGGATCGCGAGGTCAGGAGATCGAGACCATCCCAGCTAAAACGGTGAAACCCCGTCTCTACTAAAAATGCAAAAAATTAGCCGGGCGTAGTGGCGGGCGCCTGTAGTCCCAGCTACTTGGGAGGCTGAGGCAGGAGAATGGCGTGAACCCGGGAGGCGGAGCTTGCAGTGAGCCGAGATCCCGCCACTGCACTCCAGCCTGGGCGACAGAGCGAGACTCCGTCTCAAAAAAAAAAAAAAAAAAAAAAAAAAAAAAAAAAAGAAAGAGCTATTGACCATGTCCTTCATATCGAACCCCGCTCCCTGCAATATGGTAACTACTGGGCGGCGGACACCGGCCCAGGCGGTACAAGATCTGCTGCCTCTATTTGCAAGTGCCGAGCTCGGACTGGAGACGTTCGTCTCACTCCTGGGCTGCCGAGTTCCTGGAGTGGGCGCCATGCTCTTCCTTCTTTCTCCACTCAAACCAACCTGGGCTCATCTTCAGGATCTCACTCTTCTCTCCAGGCCTCAGTTTTCTTATCTTTAAAATTAGAAGGGCTATCTGGGCTGGCACAGGCGAAGCCCTCTCTTGCCTTGGCCACCTCCCACACCAGAATAGTCACCATGGCCCATCAGTGACCTCACAGCCACCTCCCATGCCAGGACAGATACCACCAGCCTGTCAGCGACCCCACGGCCACCTCCTATGCCAGGACAGAGACCACCAGCCCATCAATGGCCCAACAGCCACCTCTCACACCAGGACAGACACCATCAGCCCGTCAGCAATCCCTCTTCATGGAGGACAGACTCAGCCTCAGGACCACTCTCTACAGAGCTCCAAGCTAGTGTGGAGACAAATCCTGTTGGCCATGAGGACACCAGGCCGTTCACTCATTCATTCACTCATTCACTGGCACAACCACTTTTCTGACGCCTTTACTGTATGCTCAGCTCTGTGGGGGCTTTAGAGGTCACCCACCTCTGAGCATACAGTAAATGTCCTGTGGACAGCTTCTGGCCTCGGGTTGTTGGTTAAGTTAGACTGTATTAGAAATAAAACAAAAATATGTGTGTTAAGTCTCAGATTAGTAAAGGATGCAATTACAAAGCCCAAAGTAGAATCTCCTGGGGACTTAACAGACGGAAGAAAATCATGATGTAAAGAATATATTATTCATTCATTTATTTAAGAAATATCTGTTTCCTGCCTGTGATCTTCAAGGCCCACGTTTGGGCTTTGTAAGAAACACAAGTGTAGATATGGATTGTGTTCACTGAGAGGGTGTGTGTGTGCACGCATGTCTGCACACATCTCTGTGTGCATGTGTGTGTGTGCATGGAGTGTGTGCGTGTGCATGAGTGTGTGTGCGCCTGTGCACGCATCTCTGTGTGCAAGTGCATGTGTGTGCATGAGTGTGTCCGTGTGCGTGTGTGTGTGCATGAGTGTATGTGTGTGCATGTGTATGTTTGTGTGCATGAGTGTGTGCGTGTGTGTGCATGAGTGTGTATGTGTGTATGTGTGCATGAGTGTGTCTGTGTGCATGAGTGTGTATGTGTGCGTGTGGATGTGTGTGTGCGTGTGTGCATGAGTGTGTATGCATGAGTGTATGTCCATGAGTGTGTGTGTGTGTATGTGTAGGCATATGTGTATGTGCATGAGTGTGTGTGCATGAGTATGTGTGCATGAGTTTGTGCATGCATGTATATGTGTGTGTGCATGAGTGTGTGTTGTGTGTGTGGCCAAGCACAGTTGTGCATGCAGGTCCAGGAGAGGGGCAAGTTGCTCCAGAGGCCCATGAGGTGTCAGCTGGGTGCTGGGCCAGGCTCTTCACGTGAATTGTCCCATTGACGCAGAGAGTCTGTCTCCTCTGTTTTTTTGGTGAGGAAACCGAGGCACAGAGAGATTAAGAAACTCCCTGTGGTCACTCAGCAAGTGACTAGCAGAGCCTCGCTGCAGCTGGACTTCTCTCACTGTGTATCTGTAAAGAATTCGGGCCAGGTGCAGTGGTTCATGCCTGTAATCCCAGCACTTTGGGAGGCCAAGGTGGGTGGATCACCTGAGGTCAGGAGTTCAAGACCAGCCTGACCAATATGGTGAAACCGTGTCTCTGCTAAAAATACAAAAATTAGTTGGGCTGTGGTGGCATGCACCTATAATTCCAGCTACTCAGGAGGCTGAGGGAGAATCGCTTGAACCCAGGAGGCAGAGGTTGCAGTGAGCCAATATTGTGCCACTGCACTCCAGCCTGGGTGAGAGAGGGAGAACTTGTGTCAAAAAAAAAAAAAGAATTCAATGTGCATCATCTCATCACAGTGAGTGCCACGAAGGGGTGCGATGCAGTGCCGTGCAGCTCAGGGTGGAGACGGATGTGGATGATCTGGGTGGGGTGTCTTGTAGGTCTTCTCAGTGGCCCTTCTCTGGGCCTGCTTGGATGGGAGGGCTGTTTCCAAGCGTAGGGGACTCTGGGCTGAGGTGGCAGAGGCCAAGCTGGGCTTTGTAGACATGTGTCCCGAGGCCAGGGCTTGCTTGGATTTCTATGGCTGTTTCCAAGTGCAGAGGCCTCTGGGCTGGATGGCAGACCCTCTCCCCACCCCCACGGCAGAGCTAGGCAAATGCATGGCCCACACAGGAGCCCGGCCTACCTTGTGACTTGGCACTCAGGGTGGGAGGTGGGCTGTGTGCGCCTGACCCTGACCCTCCCGCCCAGGGGCTGAGTGAGGGCAGAGCACACATCCCGTGGAGGTGGGGCTGCTGGGAGCCGTGAGCTCCACTGTCCCATCAGACTTCATTTACGAAACACATTCAAAGAAAATTATGAAGAATCTCAAGACAGTGACCACAGAGCTGTGGCCACCACGTGCGGGGCCCCTTCCGAGCATGGGAACTGCGGGCCTGTGTGGTCGCCCGCCCAGGCAGCTGGCCCTGTGGCTGAGGTGTGGACACAACGCCCTGGAACTCAGGCCACTGGGATGGCTGGAGTGCGCTCAGGTCTCGAACCTGGAGAGGTGACTGCTGAGGCCCCCCCCCCGCCACTGAGGCAAGCTTCTGTCACTGGCCTGAAGCAAGGCCCCCCATCAAAGGAAGCCTAGAGAGAAGCAACTTCTCTAAAATACCTGGGTTTACCTACTGGACCATTTTATTTTGCGATTCTGTCCTTTTACTACCTTTACAAAAACCACTTTTGCAAAACAGTAGAGAGAGTTCAAATTCTAAAGTGAGGGAGGGGTGGATTGAGGAGCAGATTGCCCAGTTTGTCCACAGATCTTCATGCTATTCTGCATCTGCTGGGAGTGGGAAAAGCTTGGGGGCTGCCACCCCTGAGGATCAGATATTTATGTGACAGATGAACCCTCCTGCTAACGCTGCTGTATTGAAAAGTCCCAAGAAAGAGCAGTCCCAAAGGGAGTCCAGCTGGGCCCTGGGACCTGCACTGATCCCAAAGCTGCCTAAAAGAAAACGCCTGGGGCGCACCTATAGCTCCAGGAGGAAAATGGCCAAGGGCGCGCAGCAGACTGCCGATGGGAAACACCTGTTCTCCGGGCTCGTGGGGGCTGGCCAGGCATTGTTCTCTATTTGCGTGTTTTGCTTTCAGCTCATTCAAACTCAATATAGTGGTGAAATTAAGTACATCATCAACCTAAAGCTACCAAACCAAATACATAAATGGAAGGATTTGAAAAATCTGTAATAGCTGGGGTGAGGCTGGCCTCGGGCCAGCTGGGCTGCCCGGACAATGGAGGCAGTATGAGTGCTTGGGCCACAGCGGGAGGGCGAGTTTCCACCCCGGGGTGGCCTGGGGATCTGATCCAGCCTGAGGAAGGGCTTGGGTGGAGCCCCGAGGGGGCTGGAGGGCTGCCGGGGTGGGGGGGCTCTAACCTGCAGACGTGAGCCCCCAAAGCCGGCTGTCATCATGCGGGCCGCGGGGGGAGCCATGCTGTGTGGGAAGCAGGGGCGGTGGGATCCGGAGGGGGAAGGTGTGGAAATTTGACACAAACGCAAATGTTTTACCTTCTAAATCACCTTGGTCTTGCAGTTGAAAATTCTCCCTGAACTTCCCACCCCAAATGTCTCAGGGAGGGGGAATCTGGGCAGCTTCTCGCTTTCCAAAGTCACAAGTCATAATTCTTTCTTCCTGCTGCAACCGGCGCAGGCTGAGTTCTGAATGTGGTGCTGAGATGGTGTGAAAATCTCCGAGAATATCTGGGGACCTTGCACCTCCACCCCCACCCAGACCCCGCAGTGACTGGGTGGACTTTCCAAGGCGGTTCCGTTTGGGGTTCTGCGCTCCTAAGGAACTCTGTTAGCCAGGAGGGCCAAGGCCCCTGCGCCCTCAGATGTGATTCACTGACCACCTTCAGCCTAAAATGGCTTTGGAGAGCTGGAGGCCAGGTAGTGTGTTGACCGAGGCCACACTGAGCACCCCTCACATCTGCCCTCTGTGCAATGCCTGTGCACACTGGTCACTGTGGCTTCCAAGGAGCCGGCCTCCTTTCACTGCCAGGTGTTCCAGATGCCTGGACACTCTTGGTGGACTCAGGGACTGGGACATGTGACCCTGCTTGGCACCCAGAGCCACCCCTGCACTCAGGAGCCAGAACTACCCACAGGCACAGCCCAGCCTGTTTCCTGGTTCCTTCTCGGTTCTCAGGCCCCTTAGGGCCCCAAGGCAGCTGCAGGAAGGCGCTACCCGAAGGCCACATTGCTTCCCAGGGTTGTGGCCACAAATGACCACACAGCCAGTGGCTTAAAACAACACTCATTTTCTCTCTTACGCTTCTGGGGTCAGGAGTCCACAGTGGATCCTTCCGGGGGCTCTAAGGGGAAAATACATTTCTTTGTCTTTTCTGGCTTCTGCAGACGCCTTCCTTCATCCGTGGCCCTCCCCCTCCTTGAGTCACTCTAACCTCTGGCTTCTGTTGCCACGTCACCGACTGCAGGGCTGTGGTGGGCTGTGTGGCTGCCTTCAAAGATATTCTCACCCTAATCCCCGGTCCCTGTGACCGTAACTTTAGATGGCAAAAGGATGTCTTAGTCCAGTGGTGTCCAACCGGGGACCAGTTTCGTGAAAGACAATTTTCCACAGACCCGAGGGGAGTGGGGATGTTTTGGGATGAAACTGTTCCACTTCAGATCATCAGGCATTAGATTCTCATAAGGAGAATAAGGCAACCTAGATCCCGAGCATGTGCAGTTCAGAATCTAATGATCTCACAGGAGGCAGGGGTCAGGCAGCTCAGGCGGTAATGCTCGCTCACCTGCTGCTCACTTCTTGCTGTGTGGCCTGGTTCCTAACAGGCCACAGTCGGGTACCCGTCCATGGCTGGGGGGTCGGGGACCCCTATCTTAGTCCGTTCTGGCTGTTCTAACAAAACGCTGCAGGTTGAGTGGCTTAGAAACAACAGAAATGTATTTCTCACAGTTCTGGAGGCTGGCAAGTCTAAGATCAAGGAACTGGCAGAGGCGGTGTCTGGAGAGGACCCCAATTCTGGTTCTCAGGCTAGTTACACACCTTCTCACTGTGTCCTCACACAGCGGAAGGGCCAGTGCAGTGCTCTGGGGCCCCCTTCATGAGGCTCTAATCCCATCCACGGGTCTGCATGCTTGTGACTTTGTCACCTCCCAGAGTCCTGCCTCCTAACAGCATCACACTGGGAGTTTATGTTTCAACACACGAATTCTGGGAGGACGCAGACAGTCAGATCACAGCAAGGGTCTTTGCAGATGTGATGGAGTCAAGGATTTCGGGATGGGGAGATTCTCCTGCAGGGGCCCTCCCGGCTGGGAAAGCAGGGAAATGCATTCTCCTTCGGAGCCTTCACGAGGATCCAGCCCTGCTGGCAACTTGACTGTAGCCCAGCGAGACTGATTTTTTATTTCTGAGCTTCAGATTGTAAGAAAATAAATTCCTATTGCTTTAAACTGTGGTAATTTGTTACAGCAGTGAGAAGAAACTGGAACAGGTGGCCTCAGCATTCCACATAGGAGGAACTTAGGGAGGCCGCTGAGGTTTTGGCCTGAGGCTGCCTGTACTTGCAAACGATTTTCACGGCGAACCTGTGTGATTTCGGGTGCTAGGGCCGTGCGTGTGTGAGATGAAGGTCCAGGGCCAATGCCCTCCCCAGTGCAATTGCCAACACCCACCCCCAGACGTTTGCACTTTCCTGCCAGGGCATATATTAAATCATAGCCATTGCTGAAAAGGCGCAATCTTTATCCCGGCTCTCACTCCACACCTACCTACATTTTTGAAAACTTTATTTCTTTAAAAATTTTCTTGTTCTTTGTATCAGTTACACATGCAGAGAATTTAAAGGCAAAGCAGCAGCCCTTCCACGGGGCTGTCCTGCAGTTCCTTCTCTGGGGCAAACGCTTTGAGTCTTTCAGCCAATTATTTTCGTATTTACCTGGATATCTTAGGATAACATGTTCATGTTGACACTTCTGATTTTTCACCTCGGGCATCGTCTACTGGCTTCCCTCAGGGCAGGCTCCCCTTCTCTCTTCACCCTTGACCCATATTCTGTCCTCTGCTCTCTCTCTCTCTGTCTCTGTCTCTTTGTGTGTCTCTTTCTTTTTTTCTTTCTGAGATGGAGTTTTGCTCTTGTTGCCCAGGCTGGAGTGCAGTGGCGCAATCTGGGCTCTCTGCAACCTCCACCTCCTGGCTTCAAGCAATTCTCCTGCCTCACTCAGCCTCCCAAGCAGCTGGGATTACAGACGCGTGCCACCACACCTGGCTAATTTTTGTATTTTTAGTAGAGACGGGGTTTCACCATGTTGGCCAGGCTGTTCTTGAACTCCTGACCTCAGGTGATCTGCCTGCCTCAGCCTCCCAAAGTGCCAGGATTACTGGCATGAGTCACCATGCCCGGCCACTCTGTGTGTCTCTTTCTAACACATACACACACACGCACACACGCAGACACACACACACATCCCATCCCTCCATTTTTCCAGCAGCATCTCACCATTTCACCAAGATGAATAGTTAGCGTTTACTATTCACAGCCAAGCCATTAGAATAATATGACCTCTTACCTGAACAACTTTTGGTTTTCTCCGGAGTTAATGATGTTTTCATTTGCATTGTTTTTATGTGTTTATCACCACGACAACCCCAGCCTCTCCCGTAATTGTAGAAATGTCCTTACAAACCATGTCTCTGTTTCCTCTTCGTGAAGAGCGTACTCCTGACACCATGGACCCTGCTCCAGGGAAGGTGGCTGTTGGGCGGTGGTCTTGGCTGGGGATGTCCCTGCCCCTGCACCCCCTCTGCTCCTGGCTGGGGCTGAGTGGTCTCCATTCTGCCTCCCAGCTTCCCTCTCTGCTGGCTGACCTGCTGGCTCTCTGGTGGCTCCTATCCTCCAGGAACCTCTTGAGAAAGGATGCAAAGGTGGTGACCTGGGAAGATCTTGCAGTTCTGAAAATATCTTTCTTTTCTACAGTTTGGGCTTAGAATTCCAGAGTGGAAATCATTTCCCTCGGAATTTTGCGGGCACTGCTCCTCGGTTTGTGGCTTTTTTTTTTTTTTTGAGACAGAATCTCACTCTGTCGTCCAGGTTGGAGTGCAGTGGTGTGATCCTGGCTCACTGCAACCTCCACCTCCCAGGATCAAGCAATTCTCATGTCTCAGCCTCCCAAGTAGCTGGGATTACAGGGGCACACCACCACACCCGGCTAATTTTTTTGTATTTTTTTTTTTAGTAGAGATAGGGTTTCACCATGTTGCCCAGGCTGGTCTGAAACTCCTGAGCTCATCCAATCCACTCGCCTCAGCCTCCGAAAGTGCTAGGATTACAGGCATGAGCCACCGTGCCTGGCTGGTTTCTGGCTTCTGAGGTTGTGGCTGAGAAGTCCCAGCATCTTCCTAGTTCTCAATCCATTGTGAAACCTCCTTGTTTTTGTCTGGAAACTTGTAGGAGCTTGTGTTTGCACCAGGGTCCTGAATTGCCACAGGACGAGTCTCTGAGTGGGTCTCCTTGCACGCCGCCCACAGGGCATCACGGAGCCCTTTGATGCCGGAAAGAAATGCCTCGGCTTTTCTTCCAGCTTTGTCTTTCCTGTAACTTGCTGCTGGCCCCACTTTTGTTCTCTGTCAGAGCTTTCCTCAAAACTGGGGTGCTCCTTGGCTGTCTGCTGTCACCTAAGAGAGAGATGTGAAAAAAACATGTATAAGCTGTGTGTGTGTGTGTGTGTGTGTGTGTGTGGGTGGGAGTAAAGTTGCCAGATTTAACAGCAACAAAAATTACAGAAAGCCCAGTTATATTTGGAATTTTTTTAGTGTAAGTATGTTCTAAATATTACATAGGGCATACTTATACTAAAAAATGATTTGTTGTTGATCTAAAATCCACATTTCTCTGGGTCCTGTGTTTGACCTGGCCACCCTAGGTAGGGTTGCCCTTCAGTAGCTTCAGGGTAGGGTGTTGGAGCAGTGCCTGGGGCTGGAGGGCTGCGGATGCAGCCACATCTTTAGGTCTTTCCTTATTGGAGGGGCGAGTCTGACTCAGCCCTGGGGAGCCCGCTGGAATGGAGGTGCGGGTCTGTGCACAGTGTGTGTAAGATCTGTTTACTCTGCTCGCCCTGTCCGCTCACCCTCAGTGTCACCCTCTCCAGGGAATGAAACAGTTGGTCTTCTGATCGGACACAGGGGACAGAGAGAGCCTGAAGCATCTTACACAGGCCTCCGACCACCCCTCTGCATGTGGCCCCCTTCCTGACCTCCAGAGGCAGTGGAGCCACCCTCGCCTGCACCTCCCAAGCCTCCCCCAGGTAGCCAGGCTGCTTCTGGGCTGCATGGGCTCCTGGCTGAGGAGTCAGCTTTCTTGGATCTGCTGGGAGTTCCCCTTGCACAACCCTGGCTGCTGCAGCCTCTCCTGGCTCTCTTTGTCTTTCTGGATTAATGCCATTAAAAGTCCCCTGCTGCTCCCTGCACTGGGCTTCTGGAGCGGGTGATTAAATGCTTTTGTTCCTTCCACCATCTATAGGAGCCCACCCTGGTTTCATTCCTAAGCTGGCCTGCTCTTCCCAGGGTGTGTTTCGTCAGCTGCATCTCCGAACAGCAGTAACTGCTGCCGTGTCGAGGCACTTCCCTCAGCCATCCTGGAGGTACGACCCAGGTCCCCAGTTTTTAGGTGAGAAAAGTGGCTTCAGTGAGTCCGTGGCTTCAGTCACACCCCAAGGTCCCACAGCGAGGGAGTGGGTGCAGGGCCCCTGCACTTGACTTCTGACCTGCTGCCCTTCTGGGGGTCTCTGTTAGTTCTCTCTGGTTGGGGCAGTTGGTCCTCCTCAGTTTCTGATAACACAGCTGGGTGGGCCTGCCTGGTGCCCGCTTTGCAGCTTGCTTGCTGGGGCAGGTGGTGGAGCATGAGCACCCATTTAACCTACTAGAAAGGGGTCCCTGGAGGTGGGTGCCTCAGGGAATGGGGAGAGGCAGGGGCTGTGCCCACCCTCCACCTCCCGGCCACCCCAGGCCCTTCTGTGCCACGGCCTGCTGGGGTGGGGGTCAGCATCGCAGATTTCGGAAGGCCTTACCACTTGGCTGCCCTCCTTCGGGTTTTTCATCTAGATTTCTTTTGGGAGGAGTCTAGATACTTTTAGTTTTTAAATAAGCCTTGTATCTTCTCACTCTTTAAACACCACAAAATGGGTGGCATTATTGAAATACAAAAACCTTCTCCAAACTATAACTTTCCTGTGCACAATGGAGAAGACTGATTGTGAAAGTGGAGCAGGTGTTTTCATGTTGTGCGGACTTAGTGTAAACAAACTGAGCAATGTGAGTAAGCCCGAGCGCCCCTTTGCTCTCATATTTGTGTCTAATGCTGACAGTTTTGTGGAAAAGCTGTTTTTATGATTCTGAAGTACCTGCACCCCTCCCTTGTGTAAAATTTAATCACATCTTATTGCATCGGGTATTAACACTCGTAGTTTATTGAGGAGTTTTCTCTGGGGCTTGCTGAGCATGGGGTTGTGAAATGATGCCTGGGTGCCTGGGAGGAGGGATCTGAAAGTCCAGACACCATACGCAGGGAATGAAATATTCCCCCGAATTCCGGGAACACACCAGCTCCCAGCGTCGAGGTTCCCATCTGGAGGGTCTCACCTCCCAAGGTAACAGCATCATTTTCCCAGCTTGAAGAGTGAGGTGTGAGACTCGGAGCTGGCCTTTCCTGTCTCTCCCACTGTGAGGGGCATCCATGGAGCTGTGTGCGAGCTGCTCCCGGAGCTCCTGGGATCAGATTCCAGGGGATGTGCTCCAGCCCAGTGGGGGCAAGTCTGCAGGGCCACATTCAGACGTGACAGCACCGGGGAGGGCCACACCGTGCATGGCCCTGTGGGGCAGGGCACCCCCGAGAGGCCACCTGGGGTTGGCTGGCAGATGGTTCCATACTCCACTCTCATCAGCACCTCTCGGGGGAGGACTGGGCCCTGGGAGAGGCTCTTGCAGGGAGGAGGGAGTCTGGCATACCGTGAAGGACAAACAGTGAAGTGGCTGCGCCTGCAACGTCAGACTGGCCTTCCAGAAGAGTGGCCAGGACCCCTGCCCGGTGTCCAGCAGCAGTGGTGAGGGCAGGCCTGGGTGTCCAGGAGCAGGAGATGCGGGGCAGAGGAGCCCTCAACGAGACCCGTGTTCTCTTGCGTTCGAGCAAGACCCCAGGCAGCGGCATGGAGGTCGGTGAAGCTGGACAGGCGCTTCCGTCAGGAGCTGGGAGGCGTGGGGGGGCCCTCTGTGGATCGGGAGTGTGATGGCCCTGTCTGGAGCTGGCAGGCGGGGGGCCCCTCTGAAGGTCGGAGTGTGATGACCCTGTCTGGAACTGGGCAGCCCCCGATCCCTGGCACTTCTGGGCATAGAGGACGCCTTGGCTGCTTCAGGGGTTGGCCTCAGCTACTCTTCCGGCCGTACTGGGAGCGAGGCAGGCTTGGGGGGGGCGCTGGCTCAGGAGCCCTGCCTGATGTTCTGTGATCATCTTGGGGACAGTCCCCTCAACCAGGTTGGTGGCCACCCTGTCTGGGTGTTGGGTGCCAGGCACTCGACTCCACTGGGCAGCAGAGGGGACAGAGCTTCTAGGTCCAGACTGCCGCGCACAGATGAGGCAGGTAGAATGGCGGCCCCGAGAGTGATGTGTATCCAGAAGGTGAGAATGGGACCCCATGGACAAAAGGGTCTGCACAGATAAAATTAAGGATCTTAAGATAATCTTGGATGAAGATGAGCCCTGAATCCAACAGCAAATGTCCTTGTAAGAGACAGAAGAGGACAGACACAGACATGAGAAGGCAATGTGAAGACAATGCCGGGTATGGGAAAGATGGGGCCACAGCCAGGAGTGCTGACAGCCCCCAGGAGCCAGAAGAGGCAAGCAGGACCCTCCCCAGGAGGGCGCACCCTGTCCACAGGTGTGCTCTCACCTGCAAACCTGCAGTCATCCCCAGGCCAGGGACCTCTTCCTGGGGAACTCAATTCATGATAGGCTGTAACTGGGCTTAGGGCTGGAACCATGCTGCAGAAGGTAGGGTGGGCTTCTGACCACCGGCTGAAGTGTTCTGCCTGGATGGCTGGGCAAAGCCCATCGTTCTACTGAGGCACAGACACCCAGCCCCGCCTTGTGCCAAGCCCTGCACTTTCGCGTCTGGAGCTGCTCCCATCCCACTGTGGCTGCTGGCTGAGGGCAGTGAAGGTACTGGAGGAGAACCAGCACCCAGTGAGGGATGATGTCATTTGCAAGGTTTCATGTGGGCAGAGACTTTTTTATTTGTCTGCCACACATTTTGCGCACTCTTTTACTTTCAGCTTTTCTGAGTTTGTTTTGTTTTAGGGCAGGAATCGGCAATGTTTTCTGTAAAGGGACAGATAGTAAATATTCTAGGCTTTGTGAGCCATTTGGTCCTTGTCACACATACTCAACTCTGCTGTATTTTGAGAAAGCCACAATGGGTGTGGCTGTGTTCCAATAAAACTTTATTTACACAGGCAGGAGGTGAGGCTGGATTTGGACCAAAGGCAGTTTGCTGAGCCTTAATGGCTGTAATTTTTATTTTTATTCTTATTTATTATTATTATTATTTTTTGAGACAGAGTCTCGCTCTTGTCACCCAGGCTGAAGTGCAATGGTGCGATCTCAGCTCACTGCAACCTCTGCCTCCCTGGTTCAAGCGATTCTCCTGCCTCCGCCTCCCTAGTAGCTGAGATTACAGGTACCTGCCACCATGCCTGTCTAATTTTTGTATTTTTAGTAGAGACAGGGTTTCACCGTGTTGGCCAGGCTGGTCTTGAACCCCTGACCTCAGGTGATCCGACCACCTCAGCCTCCCAAAGTGCTGGGATTAGAGGCGTGAGCCGCCGCGCCCAGCAGGGGCTGTAATTTTTAAATCACAGTGCTGATTTTCAAGAAGGTTGAATCTGAGTGTTTTTTTCCTTAAAAAGTTTAGTGTGGCAGATTAAAGATGGCCTCAAAGTCTTTGACATTCCTTCTATCAGGAGGTGGGGTCAACTGCCAACTCCCCACAAGTCTGGAAAGGTTCTATGACTTTAAAAAAATAATGGCTTTGTTGATATATAATTCACCACATGTGTCTAAGCTGATATCTCATACAACTTAGTCTGCTGTGGTCTGAATGTCCATGTGTCCCCAAAATTCGTATATTGAAAACTTAATCACCAAAGTAATGGTGTTAGGGGTGGAGTCTTTGGGAGGTGATTAGGTGAATGGGACTAGTACCCCTTTAAAAGAGGCCCCAGAGAGCTAGTCTTCTTCCTGTTTTCCACCACGTGGGGGCGCAGCTAGAAGGTGCCATGTGTCAACCAGAAAGTGGGCCCCTAGCAGACACTGAACCTACCAGTGCCTTGATTTTGGACTTCCCAGAACTGTAAGAAATACATTTCTGTTGTTTTTAAGCTACCCAGTTGTTGGTATTTTGGTCTAGCAGCTTGAACAGACTAAGATGCACCCCTTTAAATAATACAATTATGTGCTTTTTGTACATTCACAGAGTTGTGCAACTGCCATCATGGTTCATTTGCTAACATTTTGATTCTTCTTATGAGAGACGGGACTAGCTGGATTTCCTAGGCCGACTAAGAATCCATAAGCCTAGCTGGGAAGGTGACCACATCCACCTTTAAACGCAGGGCTTGCAACTTAGCTCACACCTGACCAATCAGGTAGTAAAGAGAGCTCACTAAAATGCTAATTAGGCTAAAACAGGAGGTAAAGAAATAGCCAATCATCTGTTGCCTGAGAGCACACGGGGAGGGACAATGATCGGGATATAAACCCAGGCATTTGAGCCAGCGATGGCTACCCCCTTTGCGTCCCCTCCCATTGTATGGGAGCTCTGTTTTCAGTCTATTAAATCTTGCAACTGCGCACTCTTCTGGTCCGTGTTTGTTACGGCTCCAGCTGAGCTTTCGCTCGCTGTCCGCCACTGCTGTTTGCCGCCCTCGCAGATCTGCCGCTGACTTCCACCCCTCTGGATCCGGCAGGGTGTCCGCTGTGCTCCTGATCCAGTGAGGCACCCATTGCCGCTCCTGATCGGGCTAAAGGCTCGCCATTGTTTCTGCACGGCTAAGTGCCCGGCTTTGTCCTAATCGAGCTGAACACTAGTTGCTGGGTTCCACGGTTCTCTTCCGTGACCCACAGCTTCTAATAGAGCTATAACACTCACCGCATGGCCCAAGATTCTATTCCTTGGAATCCATGAGGCCAAGAACCCCAGGTCAGCAAACAAGAGGCTTGCTGCCATCTTGTAAGGAGCCCACCACCATCTTGGGAGCTCTAAGAACAAGGACCCCCCCCCCCACCCCCAACACTTAGTTACCACCTCCTTAGCTTTAGCCTTCCCCACAGACCTAAGCAACCACGAATTTACTTTGTCTCCATAGATTTCCCTGTTTTGAACCTTTTATATGAATGGAATTACGTAATATACAGCCTTCTGTGTCCAGCTTTTTCCACTCAGTATAATGCTTTCAGGGTTCATCCATGTTGTAGCATGTATTGATACTTCATTCTTTTTTATGGTGGAATAATACTCCATTGTATGGACAGACCACATTTGGTTTATCCATTTGTCAGGTGATGAACATTTGGATTTCTAGAAATCCTTGTGGGTGTGAAGTGGTATCTCCTTGTGGTTTTGATTTGTGTTTCCCTGACGACAAGTGATACTGAGTATCTGTTCATGTGCTTACAGGCAATTTGTATTTCTGGTTTGGAGAAATGTCTACTTAATCTTCTTAACTCATTTTAAAATTGGGTTATTTGTCTTTATTATTGAGTTAGAAGAGTTCTTTATGTATTCTGAATACAAGTCTTTTATCAGACATGTTATTTGTAAGTATTTTCTCCAGTTCACTGAGTTATTTTTACTTTCTTGATGGTGTCCTTTGAAGCACAAAAGGTATCAATTTTGATGATATAAGGGAGAAAAACATCAAGTCTTTCACAGTCAAGTATGAACTTAGCTGTAAGTTTTTTGTAGATGCACTTTATTAAGTGAGGAAGTTCTCTTCTGTTTTCTAGTTTGTTGAGTGTTTTTTTTTAATCGTGAAAATGTGTTGAATTTTGTCAAAAGCCTTTTCTGGTTCTATTGAGAATATTATATGACTTTTGTTTTTTATTTTATTGATATGATGTATTATATTCATTTATTTTCAGATGTTGAACCAAGCTTGCATTTCTGGGACAAATCCCACTTGGCCATGGGTGTATGTGTAACTCTTTTTATATGTTGCAGACTTAGTTTGCTAGTATGTTGCTGAGAATTTTTTTGTTTATATTCATATGAGATATTGGTCTGTAGTTTTCTTGTAATGTCTTTTCTGGTTTTGGCATCAGGGTAATAGTGACCTCATAAAATGAGTTAAGAAATGTTCCTGCGGTTTTTCTGTTTTTTGGAAGAGTCGTGAAGAATTCATATTAATTTTTTAAATGTTTGGCAGAATTCAGTGATAAAGCTTGGGTGGGCCTGGACTTTTCTTTCTGGGTAATTTTTGAATTACTAGTTCAATCTCTTCACTTGTTATAAGTCTATTCACATTGTCTTCTTGAGTCAGCTTCAGTAGTTTGTGTCTTTCTAGGGATTTGTCCATTTCATCTAAGTTATACAATTTGTTGGTGTATAATTGTTCATGGTGTTCCTTTACAACACTTTCTATTTCTTCAGGGTCCTTAGTTATGTCCCCATTTTCATTTCTGATTCTAGTCATTTGAGTCATTCCTCTTTTTTCTTAGTCAGTCTAGCTAAAGGTTGGTCAGTTTTGTTGACCTTTTCAAAGAACCAGCTTTTAGGTTTCATTGATTTTCTCCACTGGTTTTCTCTTCCCTGTTTCTCTTATTTCTGCTCTAATCTTTATTATTTCCTTCCTTCTGCTTGTTTTCAGTTGGGTTGGCTCTTATTTTTCTTATTTTCTTAGGGATTATCTACCACTGGGGTTTGCAAGTGGAACGTTAGATTATTTATTTCAGATCTTTGTTCTTTTGTGATCTAGCATTTATAGCTAGACATTTCCCTCTAAGCACTGCTTTAGTGGCATCCTGTAAGTTTTGGTATGTTGTGGTTTTGTTTCACTCAGTTCAAAGTATTTTCTAGTTTCCCTTGTGATTTTTTTCTTTGAACCATTGGTTATTTAGGAGTGCATTGTTTATTTTCTTCAGTTGGTTTCCTCCAGAGCATTGCAGCCTTTCCTGACTTCTGAGTGACTTTTTTCTTTTAAAAGATAAGAATGGCAGATTAAAGATGGCCACAACTTCTTTGACAGTCCTCTCTTCAAGAGTTGGGGTCTATGGTTCCCTTCCCTTGGAATTTAGACAGGCTCTATGACTGTTTTGATCAATGGAATGCAGGAGACTTGATACTGCATGACTTCTAAGGCTAGACTGAAGAAACTTTGGTGCTTTTACTTTGGTATCTTAGTGCTCACTTGAAAGGGGATGAGGGTAGGCAGCCATTATGTGAGAAGTCCAACTACCTTGAGGCCACAATTCTATGATGAACCCAAGCTAGCCATGTCAAGAAGCCACTTGGAGAGAGAGAGAGAGAGAGAGAGAGAGAGAGAGAGAGAGCGAGCTGTCCAGACCCTAGCTATTCCACCCATATCATCCCGGGTGCTAGGATCACTAGACCGGCAGTAAAAGAAGTCACCTTGGTAATTTCTGTCACATCAAAGCTCTTGCTTCATCTAAACATCCATCCAGAGCTACAGGACTGGGAGACTTGTCGGGAAAGAACTGCATTGTTGGAGGTTCAGGAAGGACTGATGTAAACCAGTAAATTGTTTCCCCAGAATCCTGCAGGATTTCATGGAATTAAATACCCTCACAGACTCAGAAGGTTCAAATGGAAACATAAACAGTTCATCATACATACTTGATGGGATAATGGTTAGCTTCTTTTAAAAATGCACCAAATCTACATAAGTTACTGAGAATCCCCAGAGGATGCCATGTCAAGAAGAATCAAGGCCCACACATGTGACACGACTTGAGCTGTCCCTGCTATCTCCTATTTCAGCAGAATGAGTCTGCCAACATGGTAGGGCAGAGACAAGCTTTCCTCTCTGTGCCTGCCCTGACTCCTGACCTGTAGAATTGTGAGCATAAATAAAATGGCTTTTATATTGCTAAGTTTTAAGATGGTTTGTTACCCAGCAAATAGAAACTGGAACAGTGTATTTGTCCCATTTATATTTATTGTTATAATTACCAATTGACTTCAATTTCAGGTGCTTCAGTTTCTTCATGTGTAAAATGGAAATAAGACTATTAATTCAATTTAAGGATTAGGTAAGATTATGTACAGTACTTGCATATATATTTATATGATTTATATAAACATTTATATAAATATGTGCTTTATGTATATAAATAAACATATATACATATATAAGGTACTTAAAAAGTTAGATGAAAAAGATATCTACATGTCTAAATTTTTACATGTTTTCTTTCATTGACTTGAGAATATGAGAACAGTTTTTGTCTCCACTTTAATTTCTTGCCATGTTCTGAAGTGCTCTCTTTATCTGCTTTTTTACTTTGCTGTATTTTCATTTTGAAGTTTTGTATAGCTTAAGGTGCTGGAATTCTTTTATTTACTCATCTTGGAGTGACGGGAGTTTCATATGGGTTTTCCATTTGCCCCAAACTAGAGAGAGCAAAAGTCCTTGTCCTGTATGCCTGGGCCCCGCGGCTCCTTTTAGTCCGGACTTCGTTCTCTGTGCACCCCCACAGCGGGTTTGCTCTAGGGTGTCTGTCATGAGCTGGTGGTTTTTGGTGATTTCAGCATCCTTGAACTTTTCTTTATTTTTGGTAGTAGTGGGTAAGAGGGAGTATGTTCTGTGGTGCGATTTGTGTAAGAATGTATGACATGTTGGTAAGTGTGCAGCATTATGCCATTTTTCTTTCTTTCTTTCGCCATCCAGGGTGAAACAAAACCCTGCCTCAGCCCTGGAATTTACCGGAGCTCGTTTATGGGAAATCTCCTTGGTCCCTTCAAGGGGCAGCTGTGTCTGTTGGCTCAAGCGACAGCACTTCTCTCACATCAAAGCTCTTGCTTCATCTAAGCGTCCGCCCTGCTACGGGGGTGGGAGGCTCATCGGGAAAGAATTCTCGTTTTGTCAGAGGTTTGGGAAGGACTGACGTGAATCAATAGACTGTTTCCTCAGAATCCTGCAGGATTTCAGTGGTTTCCACAGAATTAAATACCATCTTAGACTCAGGGGGTTTAAATGGAAACATACACACTTCGTCCGATGTACTTGATGGGATAATGGTTAGCTCCTTTTAAAAACGCACCAAACCTACAGAAGCTACTGAGAATCCAGCAGGGGTCATCTCAGTTCCTGGAGAGGAGAGGTGGGAAGCTTGTTTTAATTAGACTTGGACTTGCTGTCATACACATGTCTGCATCTGATTTTCACTCTGAGCACTTCCGCCTCCCCAGGCAAACGGAGGGTCGGAACGCTTGATGTGAGAACACATTTCACGCACACGCTGGTGTATTTACTTACACAGACACGCACTGCACACACATGCAGACCTACATGCTTTCCTGGGCTCGTCATGTGGGGGGCACATTGCAGCTCCTCCTCCCACTCTGCTCTTTGTGGAGAGCTGGGTCGTCTTGCTATTTATTTTTACACAGAGGAATTCATCAATCAAACATCCAACTTTGAGATCCGGCCTATCAGGAACTATTCCTGCAATGCCAACTCAGCGCTTTCATCTCCACCCTTGGCCTCGTTGTGCTATTTGGACAAAGATCCTGTAGCCTTTCTTATCCAGAGGGAGCAAAGGAGAAGTTGGGGTGTTCTTACCGTCCTGTGGAGACCCTGCTGCTCAGGGGTTGGATCTGCTCTCTGGAGGTGCCCCCTCACCCCCCTCCCACCCAGGGACTCTGCACCGGCCGTGGTGGTTGGGCCACTAAACCTGGAGGTTCTTGGGGATTATCTACCACTGGAGTCTGTGTTCAGTTTTCAGTGCTGGGTCCCTGGTGATCTGTTGGAGATCACAGAGCCCCTCCCTGGAGGTTTGTGCACACACCTCCTCACACGTGCGTGCACACGCTACTTCTGGTACATGGGCAGTGCTGGTCTGGCCTTGCTGTTAAAGGCCGAGAAGCCAAGGCCCAGGGTGGGTATGTCAGTCTGTTGGTGCTTAGTGATGTGGCCTGGACTGGAAGCCAGCTGGCCAGGCACCTGTATACCCTGCCTTTTGCATGCTGGGGCCGCTGTCTCTTAGCCCTGGCTTTCCTTCTTACCTTGAATGAGTCTTTCCTTGCTGCCATTTCAAGAGGCCTGGCTTGGCACCCAGTGAGGGTTGGCTGGGCCCCTGGCAAAAGCTTGTGGGGAGGCTTTACTCAGGCCAGGTTTGACCGGTCCCAGGGGTCCCACCCACCCCACCTCACAGAACTCTCACTCACCTGTGACCCTGCCGTCTGGGGGCCCAGCCACCGGCAACCCTGGGCCACAGAGGCGACCCCAGCAGCAGGCACTGCTCTCCCTGTGGTCCTCCTCCTTGGAACCTGCCCTCCCTCAGTGGAATTCACAGGGATATACACATTTTTAGGCTCTTCTTGGGGGTGAGGCTGTGTACCAGGTAGTCATATGGCCTCCTTTAATTCTCAACATAACCATTTGGGGAAACTCAGGCTCAGACAAGCTAAATGACATGGCCAAGTTGATACAAGTCTAAATAATATAGCCAGGCCTGGAGCTCCAGCACACTTGCTCCCCCTTCTCTATTCTGTGTTTGAAAAGACACAAAGCAGGGACTTTGTGTCACACCGCCCTGCACCCTGATCACAGGGGGAGAAGGGAGGCAGGGTCTCCTTGCTGTGACTCCCAGAGAGAGGTGGGGGAAGCTTGCCATTCCCCGGAACTTCCCAGCCTGTACAACCATGGGCTAAAGAAACCTGTTTTTTTTTTAAATAATAAATTATCCAACACCCATTCTAGCAACACCCAACAGACCATATAGATGGGAAGGCGAATTACAATGGAAACAAACAAACAAACAAACAAAAGAAGCAAATAGCTATTAGCAAAACTGTCCATAAATGAGATGGGCTGACTCAGAGAGTTGCATGTTCTCTGTCACAGGAAGACCACTTGAGAGTGATGATGGTTATGGTGGTGATGGTGATGGTGATGACAGTGATGTGGTGGTGATGGTGATTATGGTGGTGATGGTGACAGTGGTGGTGATGGTGATGGTGATGATGGTGGTGATGGTGATGAAGGTGATGTGATTGTGATTATGGTGGTGATGGTGATGGTGACGGTCATGGTGATGATGGTGATGGTGGTGATGGTGATGATGGTGATGGTGATGATGGTGGTAATAATGATGGTGGTAGTGGTGATGGTGGTTGTGATGATAGTGATGATGGTGGTGGTGATGGTGGTGGTGATGGTGGTGATGGTGATGATGGTGATAATGATGGTGATGATGGCAGTGATGGTGATTATAGTGATGACAGTGATGGTGGTGGTGATAATAGTGATGGTGGTTGTGATGATAGTGATGATGGTAGTAATGATGGTGGTGGTGATGGTGATGATGGTGGTGATGGTGATGGTGGTGATGGCAGTGATGATGATGGTGATGGTGACAGTGAAAGTGACGGTGATGATGGTGGTGATGGTGATTATGGTGGTGATGTGATGGTGGTGGTGATGGTGATTATGGTGGTGATGGTGATGGTGGTGATGGTGATGGTGACAGTGATGGTGATGGTGGTGATGGTGATGGTGGTAATAGTGATGGTGGTGATGGTGATGGTGGTGATGGCAGTGATGATGGTGATGGTGGTGATGGTGATGGTGACAGTGATGGTGATGGTGGTGATGGTGGTGGTAATAGTGATGGTGGTGGTGATGACAGTGGTTGTGATGATAGCGATGGTGGTGATGATGGTGTTGGTGATGATGATGGTAATGGTGATGGTGGTGGTGATGAAGGTGATGGTGATAGTGATGGCGATGATGGTGGTGATGGTGATGGTGATGGTGAGAGTGATGGTGTTGGTGATGGTGACAGTGATGGTGTTGGTGATGGTAACAGTGATGGTGATGTGATTATGATAGTGATGGTAGTGGTGATGATAGTGATGGTGGTGGTGATGATGAACTTAAACATTCTTAACATCCTTAATGTTCATGTTATTTTAACAATGAACAAAGCATTCCTTTCCATACCCAACTGATACTTGCACCAGCCCTTTGTGGGTGTGCTCATGTGTGTTAACATCCAGCAGAGTGAATGAGGCTGAAAGATATGGTCACTGGTGTACCAGAGGCAGAGTCAGACTTGGCTCAGGCCTTTCACTCCCAGCCCAGGGCTTTGTCCCCCTTGATCTGAGAGTGGCAGCACCTTGTGCAAACCAAAGGCATCTGGAAAGGCTTTTTCTGTGGATCCCACTGCACAGGCCTGTGGCTCGGGAAAATGTGGCCACAGCCTGCACCCTCAGGCCTGGGACAATGTGGGGTGAGGAGCGGGTTTGCAGGAGCACGGTGTGGGCAAGAGTGTTTCCGTGGTGGGAGCCTGTGGTCGTGTATCTTGAGACCTTCCCCTCCCACAGTAGCAGCAGGGGGACAGGTGACGCTGTTTCCCCAGGATGGGCCACGCCAGTCTCGAAGACCTTATCCTGGCATTCTGCGGACCTTTCCACTTTGCAGCCTGGCCCTTGAGTGTGGAGGCTGCCCTGGGTCCCTCCATTTCCAGGCTCTGCTTCCCCACATTTGCTGTGGCCTCCTCCCCTGCCTTTGGCCCAGACGGCCCTCCTGACGTCTGACACCAGCTGGCTGTATCCGCCTGCCCTCTGCCTGGTCATTCCTGCCACCTGTTTCAGTCATGGTAAACTAAGTGCTTCCAAAGCAAAGCCCCTCCCAGATGGCACTCATGTTCCTGCCAGGCACCTTGTCTGGAGGGGCCCGCATGCCACCACCTGCTCAGGGGTGTGCAGTCCCAGGTCCTGGTGACTGTTCTTCCCCGTTCTTCTCAGAGCTGCCTCCCCCTCCTCTTCGGCTGTGGCCCCCCTCCCATTTTGGGGTACAGCAGCCTCTGCACTAGCTGCTGCCTGCAGCCCCCCAACTGGCCGGTCAGCCTCTCACACTTTGCAGGTGGGTCCCCTCCCTACTGTCTGCCCTGCATGGCTCCTGGGCTCTCAGGGGGATGTACAGTCCCCTTTAGTAAATCTTCTTTTCTGCCTCTTTGAGGTTTTCGCTCTAGCCACACGGGCTCCTGAGTGGTCCCCAAATGTCCTCAATCTCTTGTGTCTCCAGGTACCCCCAGGCTTCATCCTCTGCCTTAACTGGTCTTCCTTTTTCCTTCACTTGAGAAACTCCCTCCATCCTTTGGGCTCAGGTGGGTGTCAGCCTGGGAAGCTGCCATCCTGACGCCCATTCCTCCCTCTGGTGGGCACCCCAGTGTCCTTCCATCAGGGTCTCTGTCACAGCCCTTGTTACACTAATGACAATTGAGGGCAGGGGTGGCATCCATTTACTGTCTGGCATGGAGCAGGTGATCAGGGTTCTTATGGGGTGTGTAAATACAGGAGGGAGAGAATGAAGAATAAAAGGAACTGGCCCCGGTCACATGGCTCCTCATGGCAGAGCTGGGATTTTCATCATTCAGCAAGTGTCTGCTGCGTCCCCATCTGGGCCCAGCCCTGAATTCAGAGCCAGTGCCACAGAAGCCAACCAGGCAAGCAGAGGTTCAGCCTGCCCCGGGGCATGCAGGCAACTGGAACGCAGGCCTTCAGACTCCTAGTTCAGTGCTCTTCCTGACATGCTGCAGGAGGGTAGGGGGCTAACACGACCTGCGGGGGACGCTGCACCTTCAGCTTGAGTGAAGTGCAGTTGAGGGCCCAGCAGCCCTGGTGACTGGTTGCACTGTGCTCCAATCCGTTGGGGACCCCAAGCGCTCTGCATTATCTACTTCTTGTCTCTAAGCGGCCACTCTTAAGCGGTGAGGAGAAGACAGTGGGCCGGCTACCCATGCATGAGGTGAAGGCCTGCGGGAACAGGAGAGGGAGCTGCTGAGCGGCTCTCAGAGGGCTCCTGGGCCGGGTCCCTGCCTTGCTCCCATCAAAGGGATGGCTCTGCAGTGACAGCACAGAGCATCAGACACATGCCGGCCCGGTGGGGCCAAGCCAGCCGCGCTATTAAGCAACAGCACCAGATCCCTTTGTTTCTCCGCTTCTTCCAAAGTGGCAAAAGATCAAGGCCCTGAGCTTGAAATAACAAAAGGGAACTAGCTTGCAGACTGCGCATCTGGAGGCCAGAAGGAGTTTAATAGCCGTGCTCAGGAGGGAGAGGGGAGGGGCTGGACGCCGGCTCATAAACTCTTCGCTGTGGCTCCCCAACCTGCTCTGCTCAGGCTCCCCGCGCCCGTCCCTGGTCCCGCGGCAGGCTCCCGCTTCGTCATTCGCGGGGCAGGTGGCATACCTTGCCCATCAGCATGGGCACAGGACGTCTGGGCCTCTCTGCAGGTTCCCCATCCCTGCCAGCGCCCAGGTCTCCCTCTCTCCTCTCGGCCCCTTGCTCCTCTCAGAGTCCTCAAGTCCCCGGGTTAATGAGGATCTACTGCGGGGTCGTGGGAGTCTGACCAGTGACATGTGCAGACACATGTCTGTAATTACTCGGGGCTGAGGAAAGCCAGCCCCCGGAGCTCTGTGGCCTTCCCCATAGACAGAGCTGAGCCGGGCGGGCCTCCCGGGGGAGGAGAGCCATGCAGGGCATCACAGCACCCACGGCCATGGTCAGAGGCCTGACCTCAGAGGCGGAGGCCTCTCACTCTCCTGTGGGTCCCCTGGTCTCTGACCTTTGGGGGTGTTTGCAGTGAGGAGCTTACACAGCACATGGTTCTGTGGGCTGACGTCTTCTCTGTACAACTGGTGAGAGGGGAGCCTGGAGTCCTGGGGGAGTGGGGCGGGTGGAGGGGGCTCCCTGCTGCCGTGCTTGATACTCACCATGAGACACCACCATGAAACTCACCCAAAGGCACCAGCTAACAAGGACCAAAAGGAAATGTTCACGAGGGGCTGCAGCCCATGCCAACATGATGTGGTGCCATCTCACAGCATTTGCCCCAGGCTGGGCCCACTGCGGTCACATCCCTGAAGGGCCTGGCCAGGTGGCGTTTCCGTCCCTGTTGGACAGAAAGCGGGTGGGTTGTTGTTTGAAGTCACACAGCTTGTCAGAGTCAGTGCTGAGATTCGAATCTGCACCTCCCTGACAACTCGGGCTTTCCCGAACCCCTCATCCCCTGAGATCCCAAGCAAAGGAATTATCCAGCCTGGTCCAATCCTTTCTTGGTGCATATTTTCCTAAAAGGCAATTTGGAACCCGTCACTTCCCACCTCAAGAGCTGGCTGAAGCTCCCCTTTCTTGGCAGTTCTTTTGGATGGCTGGAGTGACAGATGACCCGGGAGGCTGGAGTTGGTCATGGTGCAGCCCCCAGGGGCAGGCGGGCAGAACCGATGGGCACGCATGCCCTCTCTCCTGAGCGGGTGTGTGAACCCCAGAAGCTGGCTGTCCAGGCTCCTGGGCGGTGCTGACTGTGGGCTCAGGCCACCCATTGGCCTTCATTTGTTGGGCACAAGTGATCAGTTTGCCCTATCTCTAAGGTGCTTCTGCCAGGGGAAGGGGAAGGAAGTGAGGGCTGACACCTGGCTCATCGGTACCACTCGAGCCTCGTGGACTGGAGTTGCCCTGGGCTCCGCTGGACACATTGTACATTTTCAGGCTCCTCCAAGGAGCAGGATGTGTTTCCCCTTGCGTAGAATGGAGCTTGGGGCTTGTGCTTGTTCAGCCAATAGCTCCGTGGGGCCAAGGGAGAGGTTGGCCCTGTGGGATCCCCTGGTTCCTGAACTGCAATTCTTGGGTCACTTTTTACTAAGCAAAATTACTGGAATATCCTGGATGTTAGGATGTCCTAGGAGGCTTTATCCTGGGGTGACTTTGCACCCTCCCAAGCCTTTGTTTCCTTCCTTTGTCAAGCTGGTGACCGGGCACTCCGTGTGTCTTTCTGTGGCCGCAGGTTCTTACTATGGCTCCCAGGCAGGTCACCCCATGACTTAGGGAGCTGTCGCTAGCTGAAGCCTGGTCGGGGGCAGGGTGGGTGGTTCAGCCAAGCTCTCTATATCTATTCTAGAGGTCCCAGGAGGTCTGCTGTGAGCCCCATCACAGTCCCATGCCCCTTCCTGCTGAAAGTCACAAATGTTGCCACGCATGAGTTGTTGCTGAGGCTCCTCAGGGAAAGCCCGTCCCACGCCGGTGCTGCCCTTGGCTTCTCCCTCCGTTTTGTTCTGGCGTCGGTGTGATAGGTTCTACTTACATCCTCCAGAATTAGGCAACATTCTCTATTTCTAGTGCTCTAGGAAATATGTTCATAGTTCCATACTTACTTTGTTAATTTAATGGGATTTGTGGCAGAAGATGTAAACGCTTCAGTCTGCCATTTTGAATGGGAAGTCAAGTGAATTTTAAAGACAGGAAGAAAGGCTACAATTTGGCTGGGCGTGGTGGCTCATGCCTGTCATTCCAGTGCTCTGGGAGGCCGAGGGGGGAAGATCGTTTGAGCCCAGAGGTTTCAGACCAGCCTGGGTAACATAGTGAGACCTTGTCTCAAAAAAAATTATATTAAAAAAAGAGTACAGTTTAAGGAACCACACAAATGCAGATTCTCTTAGACAGCTACAATTATTGTGGTTGAATAATATTTTGAAATATTAAGTGATTTAACTTGCCCAGCATGTCCTGTTGCCTTTTTTTAAATCAAGGGTTTTTTTCTACCCTGTTATTGGAAAGAGTGGTGGCCTGAGGAAGAGAAGACACAGCTGATCTTGAAAAGGGAAGTCGTCAGTCCATGGCTTTGTGGGCTGCCAGCATGGGGTTTCCTGGGATACTGGCCAACAATGGCTGCACCTGCAGCTGCTCTTGCCACGCTCAGTCCCCCGCGTGGACCATGGCCCAGGCCTCTATCAGTGTCTGGAAGGCGCCGGAGAGCAGTGCGGGTCTGATTTGGGCTTGTGCCTCTTTCTCTCTCTCTTTTTTTTTTTTTTTTTTTTGAGATGGAGTCTTGCTCTGTCATCCAGGCTGGAGTGCAGTGCTATGATCTTGGCTCAGGGCAACCTCTGCTTCCCGGGTTCAAACTATTCTCCTGCCTCAGCCTACGGAGTAGCTGGGACTGCAGGTGCGTGCCACCACACCTGGCTAATTTTTTTTTTTTTTGTATTTTTGGTAGAGATGGGGTTTCACTGTGTTAGCCAGGATGGTCTCGATCTCCTGACCTCGTGATCTGCCCATCTCGGCCTCCCATAGTGCTGGGATTACAGGTGTAAGCCATCGCGCCCAGCCTCTGGGCTTGTGCCTCTCAACAGTCTCAAGCGATGTCCTGGCATGAGGGATGGTGCCTCCAGGACTCTGCTTCTTGGTCCTGGAGCTGGAGATTTTCAGGGGCCGATGGGCTCTGCCCTCTTCTGCTCTCAATTTTTGTCCATCAGGTGGGCTTGGCAAGTCCCCTTGACCTTTCTCAGGAAAACTTTGGTCCGTCTGGCCCTCCCCGACCTCCCCCCAGTGTCTGCTCCCTGCAAGGTTTCTCATGCCTTCCTACACACGCTCACCTGGAATGCAGCCCTGCCCTTTTGTATCATGAATGTCCAGAGTAGGCACTGGCTCGAGGAGAATTGGTGAACACGCTAAGTAACTTCCCCAAAACTGACAACAGGCACTGTAATTCCAGTTAGTGCACTGATCCCTGTGCAGAGATTCCAGATCTGGAGACTGTATGTGGCAGAATTTATCATTTGACATGTGTGGCATTTCAAATAAGTAGGGAGAATTGAATACAAGATTTTAGATCACTGGCTCTCCATAGAGAAAACCATGTTACCTAAAAAGTAACATCTTTCTGCCAGTCCATACGTACAATACATTCCATACGTACAATACATTTCATATGTACAATGCATTCCATACACACAATACATTCCAGCTGCGTTAAAGATTTAGGTGTAATAAAAAAAAACCTGAAAAATTCCAGAAGGACATATAGAGAGTATTTTTGTCTCCTTGGGGAGGGCAAGGTATTTTTAGCCAAGACATAGAAATTACTGATATTAGGAACACGTTGGAGCCAATCCTGGTGTCCTGGAAACTGACCCAGCACAGATTGACTTCTTTTTCAGGCTACGTGTTTTGTGGAGGTCGGCAGGGGCTCTGCTCTACCGAGACACCCAGGACCCAGGCTGATCGAGACTCTACCATCTGGGAGAGTAGAGCAGCAGAAGGGACCCCTGGGGGCTCACGCACTGTTTCTTCTGTATTTTGGCCCAGAGGTGACACACACCACTCTTGCCCAAACTGGTCCAGAACCAGTCACATGCTCCTGCTCTGGCTGTGTGGTAAGAACGCAGGACAATGTGGAGACTGGGTTGAATGCTGAGGAATGTTACTCTCCCTGCCACAGACTCTCTCCTGATACATTCTGACGTCAGAGGGGATGGTGACTTTCCTGGGAAGTGTTAACTAGCAGAATTGATCTGAGATGTAAGAATTCCAAAGAGATGCATAAGAAGACAAGGGAAAGGTTTCTAAGATTTACCTTCCAGACTGGATCCCATCCCAGATGGTTTTATTGAAAGGATAACCAGTGCATGTGTCTGTCTGGGGGGAGGGACAGGATGCTTCCAAAATGGACTTGAGGGCTGGATGCCAGGTGTGGAATCAATGAAACTCAGGGGGCAGGAAGTGCATGGCATTAGGGGCTGGGTGTTGGGCCACCCGGACCTGCTCTCTAGTTCTTCCAAATCTAGTGAGAGGCTGCTCAGACCCTGTCACTTCTGCTGTAGAAGCTGATTACCCAGAATTGTGCTCCCAACAGACTAAATGTAGCAGGGGAGCTGTGATTCCCCATAAGAAACTGGGGAACATGGGGTGCTGTCACAGGCTGAGAAAATGAACTCTTGGCAGCCAAAGAGGAATTAAAGAAAGCAGAGAGAGACAGAGAGAGAGAGAGACACCCATGGGGCATAAGGCTGGAAACTGTCAGAGAATATGACAGGGAGGCATGACAAGCTAGCAGTTCATAGAGTGAAGCTAAGGAAATCACAGGAAAATGGGTGTTATTTATAAATGTACATACTTGGTCCAGAACAGTGGTTCACGTCGGTAATCCCAGCACTTTGGGAGGCTGAGGTGGGAGGATCACTTGAGGTTAGGAGTTTGAGACCAGCCTTGGAAACATAGCAATACCCCATCTCTATTAAAATAGTAATTTAAAAAATTAGCCAGGCATGATGGTGCACCTGCAGTCCCAGCTACTTGCGAGGCTGGGGTGGGAGGATCGCTTGAGCCTGGGAGGTTGAGGCTGCAATGAGCCATGACGGCACCACTGCACTCCCACCTGGGTGCCAGAGTGGGACCTTATTTCTGAATAAAAAGTACATGCTTAAAATTAAAGGGGCTTCTTGTTAATCATTGGAAATGGATATAATCCAAAGTCCGTAGCTACTAGGCACCTACCACCTTCATCATCATGGTACCATTTGAAGCTCCCCTCTGTGCTGGGGACCAATGGCTCTGAGACCATCATGGCTGTGCCTGGCAGTGCAGGAGCAGAGAGCTGACATGTGTGTCCCTCAATCAGAGACATGGATAAGATGGCACCCTGATGGGAGGGTGAGGGTCCAGAGAGCCAGTAAATCCACAGCCATGTGGCCGGTCATGGAACAAGATTGGCCAAGAAAGAAGGTTTTAGAAGGTAAGAGGTTCATTTCAGATCTTCCCTTAAAGGTGCCCTGAGGCATCTTTTTTAACAAGAGCACCAAAGAGGAGGTTTCTGGTAGGCAGCTCGCTCCTGAACGCTGAGCAGAACGGGCCGGCCATGCCAGGTGCTGCTTTGCTTTGTTTGAACAAAGGTCCTGGGGTCCTCACAGTGAGACACGGTTCTCACTTCCCATCTCTGCTCTCAAGGCCTTTGTGATCTTTGTGCTATCCTACTGAAGACAGGTAGAGGAGAGGAACAGAGGACCCCAAACAAGTCCCTGTTCAGCCTGGACACCTGGGAAAGGGAGGAGTGTGGAAGAGGGAAGGAAGTTAGCTGGGGGACAGTGAACACCAATGTATGTGCAGATTCAATCAGCAGCGATCTGTGAGTCAGAGGCTCTCAACATGCTCCAAAGCAAAGCTGGGTAAACACTGCCACTTTTTGTTTGCGTTGAGTTAGCTGCCTGCAAGCATATTAGGAAACCCTGACAAAGAGCATTCTAAATGCATGTGGTGCCTTTGAGTTTATTTGTCTCAATTTATTCCAGTTACATTTGAGCATGACATGATTATACATCTCACACTGACTGAAGACTGTGGGCCTGCGTGGCAGGCAGGGGAAGAAGGGGGGAGGAAGAGGGTTTCCTAGCGCCATCTAATTTAAAGCACCTTTAGCTGAGTGGTGCAGTGAAAAGGATGTGGCTAAAACAAATAAAAATCATAGCAGGATCAAAGTACACACACAAATTTATTCCTTCTGGAAGCAGCTTCTCTTTCCCTTTCCCCCTCTCTCCTTCCCTTGTTTTCCCCTCCTTTGAGTCCCAGCGATTCTTTCATGGCAGAACTCCAGGATGGCCTCGTCTCCTTGCAGCACAATCACAGTTTCATCTCTGATTGATGGGGCGAAGGCACCGGCACCGCGGGTTTGAAGGAGATCTAAGGGCCTTCCTAATTTCATGGTGGGCATGTGAAGTGTCACATTAATCAGCGCTCTTTATGAGCAGTTCAAAGAGTCATAGATGTTGGGAAGGTGGCTGTTTGAAGCACAGAGCCAAGGGATTTCAGGATTTTATCAACAACCTGGGGGTTCCACCTCCTCTCCCCAGTGCACCTCTTGCCTGACTGCTGGGTGGAATTTTACATGAGAATCATACGGAGCTAAAGGAACCTACGATACCATCCAGTTCCAACCCATACTTTACATAGGAATCAGCAGAGGCTGGGAGTCTCTCTTGGGGTCACACAGAAAGCCATCTAGTCTGGAAGCAGTGGGTTATTCAAGCCTCCTGGTTGCGTGTGACAACTCAAATGAGGTTAAGCACTGATATAGTTTGGCTCTGTGTCCCCAACCAAATCTCATGTCGAATTGTAATTCCCAGTGTTGGGGAAGTGGGCTGGTTGGAGGTGATTGGATCATGGGGGCAGATTTCCCCCTTGCATTCTTGTGATGGTGAATGAGTTCTCAGGAGACCTGGTTGTTTGAAAGTGTGTGGCACCTCCCTCTTTGCTCTCTTCCTCCTTCTCCAGACACATGAAGACGTGCCCGCTTCCCCTTTGCTTTCTGCCATGATTGTAAGTTTCCTGAGGCGTCCCCAGCCCTGCAGAACTGTGAGTAATTTAAACCTCTTTCCTTTATAAATTACCCAGTCTCAGGCAGTTCTTCATAGCAGCATGAGAATGGAATAAAACAGTAAATTGATACTGGGTAGTGGGGCGCTGCTATAAAGATACTAAAAAACGTGGAAGTGACTTTGGAACTGGGTAACAGGCAGAGGTTGGAACAGTTTGGAGGGCTCAGAAGAAGACAGGAAGATGTCTTCCAGGAAAGTTGGAACTTCCTAGAGACTTGTTTAATGGTTTTGACCAAAATGCTGATAGTGATGTGGACAATGAAGTCCTGGCTGAGGTGGTCTCAGATGGAGATGAAGAACTTTTTGGGAACTGGAATAAAGGTGACTCTTGCTACATTTTAGCAAAGAGACTGGCAGTATTTTGCCCTTGCCCTAAAGATCTGTGGAATTTTGAACTTGAGAGAGATGATTTAGGGTATCTGGCAGAAGAAATTTCTGAGCAGCAAAGCATTCAAGAGGTGACTTGGGTGCTGTTAAAAGCATTCAGTTTTATGTACTCACAAATATATGGTTTGGAATTAAAACTTATGTTTAAAAGGGAACCAGAACATAAAACTTAGGAAAATTTGCAGCCTGATGATGCGATAGAAAAGAAAAACCCATTTTTGGAGAAGAAATTCAAGCCAGCTAGATAAATTTGCATCAGTAACGAAAAGCCAAATGTTAATCACCAAGACAATGGGGAAACTGTCTCCAGGGCATGTCAGAGTTCTTCACAGCAGTCCCTCCCATCACAGGCCCAGAGGCCTAGGAGGAAAAAAGGGTTTCACGGGCTAGGCCTAGGGCCTTGCTGCTTTGTGTAGTATAGGGATTTGGTGATAGTGAGTTCCAGCTGTGGCTCAAGGGGCCAACATAGAGCTCAGGCTGTTGCTTCAGAGGGTGCAAGCCCCAAGCCTTGGTGGCTTACACGTGGTCTTGGACCTGTGGGTGTACAGGAGTCAAGAATTGAGGTTTGGGAACCTCAGCTTAGATTTCAGAGGATGTATGGAAATACCTGGATGTACAGGCAGAAGTCTGCTGTAGGGGCAAAGCCCTCATGGAGAACCTCTGCTAGGGCATTGAAGAAGGGAGATGTGGGATTGGAGCCCCCACAGGGAGTCCCCATGGGGGTGCTGCCCGGTTGAACTGTGAGAGGAGGGCCACCGTCCTTCAGACCCCAGAATGGTAGATCCGCTGACAGCTTGCACTGTGCACCTGGAAATGCCTCAGACACTCAATGCCATCTTGTGAAAGCAAAGCCACAGGGGTGAAGCAGTCCAAGGCCATGGGAGCCCACCTCTTGCATCAGCGTGACCTGATGTGAGACATGGAGTTGAAGGAGATTATTCTGGAACTTTAAGGTTTGGTTACTGCCCTGTTGGATTTTGGACTTGGGTGGGGCCTGGAGCCTCTTTGTTTTGGCCAATTTCTCTCATTTGGAATGGGTGTATTTGTCCAATGCCTGTATCTCCATTGTATCTTGGAAGTAATTAACTCACTTTTGATTTTACAGGCTCATAGGCGAAGGAATTTGCCTTGTCTCAGATGAGACTTTAGATTTGGACTTTGGGGATAATGATGGAATGAATTAAGACTTTGGGGGACTGTTGGAAGTACATAATTGTGTTTTGAAATGTGAGGACATATTTTAAAGGGACCATGAATGGAATAACATGTTTTGGCTGTGTCCCACCCAAATCTCATCTTGAATTGTAGTTCTCATAATCCCCATGTGTCATGGGAGGGACCTGGTGGGAGGTAATTAAATCATGGGGGTGTTTATTAGTCTGATCTCACACTGCTATAAAGAACTGCCCAAGACTGGGTAATTTATAAAGAAAGAAGGTTTAAATGACTCATAGTTCTGTGGGGCTGAGGAGGCCTCAAACAACTTACAATCAAAGTGGAAGGAAGTAAACACATCCTTCTTTACAGGATGGCAGGAAGGAGAAGTGCCAAGTAAATGGGGGAAAAGCTCCTTATAAAACCATCAGATCTGAAAACTCACTCACTGTCATGAAAACAGCATGGAGGTAACTCCCTCCATGATTCAGTTACCTCCCACAGGGTCCCTTCTATGACATGTGGGGATTATGGGAGCTACAATTCAAGATGAGATTTGGGTGGGGACATGACCAAACCATATCACTGCACCTCAGGGATGATCCAAGACACCTCCTGGTACAGTGCTCACACCTCAGGGATGACCCAAGACATCTCCTAGTGTAGTGGTCCTACCTCAGGGATGATTCAAGACACCTTGTGGTGCAGTGCTCACACTTCAGAAATGATCCAAGAAACCTCCTGGTGTAGTGATCCTACCTCAGGGATGATCCAAGACATCTCCTGGTGCAGTGCTCACACCTCAGGGATGATTGAAGACACCTCCTGGTGCAGTGCTCCCACCTCAGGGATGATCCAAGACACCTCCTTGTGCAGTGCTCACAATTCAGGGCTGATCCAAGACACCTCCTGATACAGTGCTCACAACTCAGGCATAATCCAAGACACCCCCTGGCACAGTACTCCCTTCTTAGGGATGAGCCAAGACAACTGCTTGTGCAGTGCTCACACCTTAGGCAGAATCCAAGACACTTGCTGGTGCAGTGTTCTGACCTCAAGGATGATAAAATACACTTCCTGGTGCAGTGCTGACAATTCAGGCATCATCCAAGAGACCTTCTGGTGCGGTGCCTACATGTCAGGTTTGATCCAAACATCTCCTGGTGTAGTGCTCTGACCTCGGGGATGATACAAGATACCTCCTGGTGCAGTACTCACACCTCAGGAATGATCCAAGACAACTCCTGGTGCAGTGCTTCCACCTCAGGGATGATCCAAGACACCTCGTGGTGTGGTACTCCCACCTCAAAGATGATCCAAGACTCCTCTTGGGGTAGTGCTCCCACCTAGGGATGATCCAAAACACCTCCTAGTGCAGTGCATACATCTCAGGCATGATCAAAGACACCTCCTGGTGCAGTGCTCAAGCCTTAGGGATGATTCGTGATGCCTTTTGATGTAGTGTTCACACTTCAGGGATGATCCAATACACCTTCTGGTGCAGTGCTCCCTCCACAGGGATGATACAGGACACCTCCTGGTACAATGGTCACACCTCAGAAGTTATTCAAGACAGCTCCTGGTGCAGTGCTCACACCTCAGAGATGAATCAAGACACCTGGTGCAGTGCTCACACCTCAGGGATGAATCAAGACACCTCCTGGTGTAGTGCTCACACCTCAGGGCTGATTCAAGACACCTGGTGCAGCACCTGCACCTCAGAAATGATTCAAGATACCTCCTGGTACAGTGCCTGCACCTCAGGGATGATCTGAGACATCTCCTGATGCAATGTTCACACCCCAAGGATGATCCAAGACACCTACTGGTGCAGTGCTCACACCTCAGCGATGATTCACAACACCTCCTGGTGCAGTGCTTACACTTCAGCGACGATCCAAGACACCTCATGATGCAGTGCCTGCACCTCAGAAATGATCCAAGACACCTCCTGGTGTAGTGCTCCCTCCTCAGGGATGATCCAAGACACCCCTCGTGTAGCGCTCCCACCTAAAGGACGATCTGAGACATCTGCTGGTGCATTGCTTGCATCTTAGCAATGATCCAAGACACCTTCTGGTGCAGTGCTCACAAGTCAGGTTGATCTAAGACACTTCCTTGTGCAGTGCTTCCACCTCAGCAATGATACAAGACACCTCCTGGTGCAGTGATCCCCCTTCATGGATGATTGAGGACACATCCTGTTGCAGTGCTCACACCTCAGGGATGATCCAAGACACTTCCTGTTGCAGTGCTCACACCTCAGGGTAGATCCAAGATACCTCCTGGTGCGCTACACTCTCCTCAAAAATCATTCCAGATACCTCCTGGTGCAGTGCTCACACCTCAGCGATGATCCAAGAGATCTCCTGATGCAGTGCTCCCACATCAGGGATGATCCAAGACACCTTCTGGTGCACTGCCTCCATCCCAGGGTTGATCCAAGACACCTTCTGGTGCAGTGCTTATACCACAGGGATGATCCAAGACACCTCCTGTTGCAACTGAGACATGATCCAAGATGCCTCCTGGTGCAGTGGTCACTTTTCAGCATGATTTAAGACACCTCCTGGTGTAGTGCTCAAACCTCAGAGATGATTTAAGACACGTCCTGGTGCAGTGCTCACAACTCAGACATGATCCAAGACACTTCCTGGTGAGGTGTTCACATCTCAGGGATGATCCAAGATACCTCCTGGTGAGGTGCTCACACCTCAGGGATGAATCAAGACACCTCCTGGTTTAGTGCTCACAATTCAGGGATGATCCTAGATATCCTGGTGCAGTGCTCACACTGCAGGCATGACATAAGACACTTCTGGGTGCAATGTTCACACCTCAGGGATGATCCAAGACACCTCCTGGTGCAATGCTCACACCTCAGGGATGATCCAAAATACCTCCTGATGCAGTGCTCACAACTCAGACATGATTCAAAATATCTCCTGGTGCAGTGCTCACACTCAGGCATAATACAAGAAACCTGGTGCGGTGCTGAGACCTTATGGATGACCCCAAACACCTCCTGGTGTAGTGCTCACACTCAGGGATGATCCAAGACAATTCCTGGTACAGTGCTCACACCTCAAGGGTGATCCAAAACACATCCTGATGCAGTGCCCACACAACTCAGGCATCATGCAAGGTACATCCTGGTGAGGTGCTCACACTCAGGCATGATCTAAGACACCTCCTGGTGCAGTGCTCACATCTCAAGCATTATCCAACACACTTCTTGGTGTAGTGCTCCCACCTTAGGGATGATGGAAAATACCTCCTTGTGCAGTTTTCACACTACAGGGATGATCCAAGACACCACCTCATGCAGTGCTCACACCTCAGGGATGCTCCAAAACACCTCTTGGTGCAGTGCTCACAACTCAGATATGATTTAAGACACCTCCTGGTGCAGTGATCACAACTCAGACATGATCCAAGATACCTCCTGGTGCAGTGCTCACACCTAGGGATGATCCAAAAAAACCACGTGGTGCAGTGCTCACACTCAGGCATGATCCAAGACACCTCTTGGAACAGTGCTCTCAACTCAGGGATGATCCAAGAGACCTCCTGGTCCAGTGCTCACACCTTAGGGATGATCCAAAACATCTTCTAATGCAGTGCTCACATCTCTGGCATGACTTGAGATACCTCCTGGTGCAGTGGTCACACCTAGGAATGAGCCAAAAAGACACCTGGTGCAGCGTTTGCACTCAGGAATAATACAAGACAGTCCTTTGTGCAGTGCTTACACCTCAGGGATGATCCAAGACATCTCCTGGTGCAGTGCTCACACATCAGGGATGATCCAAGACACCCCCTGGTGCAGTGCTTGCACCTCAGGGATGATCCAAAACACCTCATGATGCAGTGCTCACAACTCAGGCATGATTCAAAATACCTCCTGGTGCAGTGCTCACACTCAGGCATGATCCAACACAATTCCTGGTGTAGTGATCTCACCCCAGGGATGATTAAAAACACCTCTTTGTGTAATTCTCACACTACAGAGATGATCCAAGACACCACCTGGTGCAGTGCTCACACCTCAGGGATGTTCCAAAACACCCTCTGGTACAGTGGTCACAACTCAGGCATGATACAAAACACCTCCTAGTGCATGGGTCACACCTCAGACATGATATGACACTTCTGGGTGAAATGTTCACACCTCAGGTATGATGATCCAAAGACCTCCTGGTGCAGTGCTCTTACCTCAGGGATGATTCAAGACACCTCCTGTCACAGTGTTCACCCCTCAGGGATGATTCAAGACACCCCTGGTACAGTGATCCCACCTCAGAGATGATCCAAAACATCTCCTGATGCAGTGCTCACAACTCTGGCATGATGATGGTGCAGTGGTCACACCTAGGAATCATCCAAAAAACCACCTGGTGCAGTGTTCACACTCAGGCATAATACAAAACACTTCCTGGTGCAGTGCTCACACCTCAGGGATTATCCAAAACACATCCTGGTGCAGTGCCCACAAAACTCAGGCATGATCCAAGGTACATCCTGGTGAGGTGCTCACACTCAGGCATAATCTAAGACACCTCCTGGTGCAGTGCTCACACCTCAGGTATGTTCCAAAACATATCCTGGTGGAGTGGTCACAACTCAGGCATGATCCAAGACACCTCTTGGTGCAGTGCTTACACCTCAGGGATGCTCCAAAACACCTCTTGGTGCAGTGATCACAACTCAGATATGATTTAAGACATGTCCTGGTGCAGTGATCACAACTCATACATGATCAAAGGTACTTCCTGATGCAGTACTCACACCTAGGGGTGATACAAAAAACCCACCTGGTACAGTGCTCACACTCAGGCATGATCCAAGACACCTCCTGGTCCAGTGGTCACACCTCAGGGATGATCCAAAACATCTCCTGATGCAGTGCTCACAACTCTGGCATGATCCGAGATACCTCCTGGTGCAGCGGTCACACCTAGGAATTATCCAAAAAACTACCTGGTGAAGTATTCACACTCAGTCATAATACAAGACACTTCCTGGTGCACTGCTCACACCTCAGAGATGATTCAAAGCACCTGGTGGTGTAGTGCTGCACTCCAAGGGATGATCCAAGACACCTGTTACAGTACTCCCTCCTCAGGGATGAGTTAAGACACTTGCTGGTCAGGCACCATCAGGCACGATCCAAGACACTTGTGATGCAGTGCTCCGACCTCAGGAATAATGCAGAACAACTCCTGGTGCAGTGTACACACCTCAGGAATGACGCAAGACACCTCCTGGTGCAATGCTTACACATCAGGGATGATAAAAGACACTTCCTGATGCAGTGCTCAAACCTCAGGCATAATCCAAGAGACCTCCTGGTGCAGTGCCTGCACCTTAGGGATGATCAAAAACACCTCCTGGTGCAGTGCTGACACCTCAGGCATGATTTTAGACACTTCCTGGTGCAGTGTTCACACCTGAGGGATGATCCAATACACCTTCTGGTGCAGTGCTGCCACCTCAGGGATGATTCAAGAGACCTCCTTGTGCAGCGTCTGCACCTCAGATTTGATCCAAGACACCTCATGGTGTGTGATCCCATCTCAGGGATGATACAAGAGACCTCCTGGTACATGGGTCACACCTCAGGCATGATAAGACACTTCCGGGTGCAAAGTTCACACCTCAGGGATGATCCAAGACACCACTTGGTGTAGTGGTCTTTCCTCTGATGATTCAAGACATCTCCTGTAACAATCCTTACACCTCAGGAATGATTCAAGACACTCCCTGAGACAGTGATCCTACTTCAGGAATGATCCAAGACACCCCCAAGTGCAATGCTCACACTCAGGCATAATACAATCAGGCATAATACAAGACACCTTTTGGTGCAGTGCTCACACCTCAAGGATGACCCAAGACACCTCCTGGAGTAGTGTTCCCCCCACTCCAGGGATGATCCAAGACCCCTTTGGTGCAGTGCTCTTACCTTAGGGTTGATTCAAGATACCTCCTGGTGAAGTGCTCCTACCTCTGGAAAGATCCAAGACACCTGCTGGTGTAGTGCTCCTACCTCAGGGATGATGCAACATGCAAGCCACTTCCTGGTGCAGTGCTCCCACCTCAGGGATGCTCCATGACACCTCCTGGTGCACTTCTCACAATTCAGGGATGATCCTAGACACCTCCTGGTACAGTGCTCACACCTCAGGTGTGACACAAGACACCTCCTCGTGCAGTACTCCCTGCTCAGGGATGAGCCAAGACACCTGCTGGTGCAGTGCTCACACGTCAGGCATGATCCAAGGCACTTGCAGGTGCAATGCTCCACCTAAGTGATGATCCAATACACCTCCTGGTGCAGTGCTCCCAACTCAGGGATGATAAAAGACACTTCCTGGTGCAGTGCTCAAACCTCAGGGATAATCCTACAGACCTCCTGGTGCAGTGTCTGCACCTCAGGGATGATCCAAGACACCTCCTGGTGTAGTGTTTCCACCTCAGAGATTATTTAAGGCACTTCTTGCTGCAGTGGTTAAAACTCAGTTATCATCCAAGATACCTCCTGGTGCAGTGCTCCCTCCTCAGGATTATCCAAAAAACCTCTTGGTGCAGTAGTCCCTTCTGGGGGATGAATGAAGACACCTCCCTGTGCAGTGCTCCCACCTCAGAGATTACTTAAGACACCTCCTTGTGCAGTGCTCACACTTCAGGGATGATAAAAGACACTTCCTGGTGCAGTGCTCAAACCTTAGGCATAATCCAAGAGACCTACTGGTACAGTGCCTGCACCTCAGGGATGATACAAAACACCTCCTGGTGCATGAATCACACCTCAGGCATGACATAAGCCACTTCTGGGTGAAATGTTCACACGTCAGGTATGATGATCCTGGTGAGGTGCTCACACCTCCTGGATGATCCAAGACACGTCTTGGTACAGTGCTCACACCTCAGGGATGATTCAAGGCACCTCTTGTTACAGCGATCACACCTCAGACGTGATCCAAGACATATCTTGGTGTAGTGCTCTTTCCTCTGATGATTGAAGACACCTCCTGCTGCAG
Source organism: Homo sapiens (assembly GCF_000001405.40). Classification (NCBI taxonomy): domain Eukaryota; kingdom Metazoa; phylum Chordata; class Mammalia; order Primates; family Hominidae; genus Homo; species Homo sapiens. The sequence continues at coordinate 238,539,268 of NC_000002.12, forward strand.
TGCTCACATCTCAGGGAGGATCCAAGACACCTCCTGTTACTGTGCTCACACCTCAGGGATGATTCAAGACACTTCCTAGTGCAGTGATCCTACCTCAGGGATGATCCAAGACACCTCCTGGTGCAATGCTCACACCTCTGAGATGATCCAAGATACCTGCTTGTACAGTGCTCAACTTTCAGGGATGATCCAAGACACCTCCTGGTGCAGTGCTCACACCTCTGAGATGATCCAAGATACCTGCTGATACAGTGCTCAACCTGCAGGAATGATCCAAGACACCTCTTGGTGTGTGCTCACACCTCAAAGATGACCCAAGACACCTCCTGGAGTTGTACTCTCTCCCCAGAGGTGATCCAAGACATTTCCCGGTGCAGTGCTCCCACCTCAGGGATGATGGAAAACACCTCATTGTGCAGTTCTCACACCACAGCGATGATCCAAGACACTTCCTGCTGCAGTGGTCACACCTCAGCGATGATCCAAGACACCATCTGGTGCAGTGATCACAACTCAGATATTATTTAAGACACCTCCTGGTGAGTGATCACAACTCAGACATGATCAGCGATACTTCCTGGTGCAGTGCTCACACCTAGGTATGATCCAAAAAACCACCTGATGCAGGCTCACAACTCAGGGATGATCCAGGTGACCTCCTGGTCCAGTGCTCACACCTCAGGGATGATCCAAAACACTTCCTGGTCCAGTGCTCACAACTTAGTCATGATTGAATATACCTCCTGGTGCAGTGCTCACACTCAGCCATAATACAACAAGCCTCCTGGTGTGGTGCTCACACCTTATGGATGACCCCAAACACCTCCTGGTGCAGTGCTCACACTCAGGGATGATCCCAGACATTTCCTGGTGCAGTGTTCACACCTCAGGGATGTTCCAAAACACCTCCTGGTGCAGTGCTCACACCTCAAGGATGCTCCAAAACACCTCTTCGTGCAGTGCTCACAACTCAGACATGATTTAAGGCACCTCCTGGCGCAGTGATCACAACTCAGACATGATCCAAGATACTTCCTGGTGCAGTGCTCACACCTACAGATGATCCAAAAAAACCATGTGGTGCAGTGCTCACACTCAGGCATGATCCAAGACACCTCCTGGTCCAAAGCTCACACCTCAGGGATAATCCAAAACATCTCCTGATGCAGTGCTTACAACTCTGGCATGATCCGTGATACCTCCTGGTGTGGTGGTCACACCTAGGAATGATCCCAAAAACCACTTGGTGTAGTGTTCACACTCAGTCATAATACAAGACACTTCCTGGTGCAGTGCACACACGTCAGGGATGATCCAAAGCACCTCCTGGTGTAGTGCTCAACCCACAGGGATGATCCAAGACACCTCTTGGTGCAGTGCTTCCACCTCAGGGATGATTCAAGACACCTCCTGGTGCATGCTCACACTTCAGGCATAATCCAAGATACCCCTGTTATAGTACTCCCTCCTCAGGGATGAGTTAAGACACTTGCTGGTCACACATGATCAGGCACAATCCAAGACATTGCGATGCAGTGCTCTGACCTTAGGAATAATGCAAGACACCTCCTGGTGCAGTGCTGATACCTCAGGCATGATTTAAGGCATTTCCTTGTGCAGTGTTCACACCTGAGGGATGATCCAAGACACCCTCTGATGTAGTGCTGCCACCTCAGGGATGATTCAAGAGACCTCCTTGTGTAGTGCCTGCACCACGGGTTTGATCCAAGACACCTCATGGTGCAGTGATCCCACCTTAGCATCAATACAAGAGATCTCCTGGTGCATGGGTCACACCTCAGGCATGATAAGACTTGCAGGGGCAATGTTCACATCTCAGGGATGATCCAAGACACCTCTTGGTGCAGTGCTCTTTCTTCTGATGATTCAAGATGCCTGCTGGTGCAGGACTCACACCTCATGGAGAATCCAAGACACCTTCTGTTACAGTGCTCACACCTCAGGGATGATTCAAGGCACTTCCGGATGCAGTGATCCTACCTCAGGAATGATCCAAGACACCTCCTGGTGCAATGCTCACACCTCTGAGATGATCCAAGATACCTGCTGGTACAGTGCTCAACCTTCAGGAATGATCCAAGACAACCCCTGGTGCAGTGCTCACACTCAGGCATCATACAAGATGCTTCTTTGTGCAGTGCTCACACCTCAAGGATGACCCAAGGCACCTCCTGAAGTAGTGCTCCCTCCCCAGGGATGATCCAAGACCCCTTTGGTGTGGTGCTCTTTCCTTAGGGGTGATTCAAGATACCTCCTGGTAAAGTGTTCCCACCTCAGGAAAGATCCAAGACACTTGCTGGTGTAGTGCTCCTACCTTAGGCATGATGCAACATGCAAGACACTTTCTGGTGCAGTGCTCCCACCTCAGGGATGCTCCAAGACACTTCCTGGTGCAATGCTCGCAACTCAGGGATGATCCATGAGACCTCCTGGTCCAGTGCTCACACCTCAGTGAAGATCCAAAACACTTCCTGATGCAATGCTCACAACTCAGGCATGATTCAAAATACCTCCTGCTGCAGTGCTCACACTCAGGCATAATATAACAAACCTCCTGGTGTGGTGCTCACACCTTATAAATGACCCCAAACACCTGGTGCAGTGCTCACTCTCAGGGATGAACCAAGACAATTCCTGGTGCAGTGCTCACACCTCAAGGGTGATCCAAAACACATCCTAATGCAGTGCCCACAGAACTAAGACATGATCCAAGGTACATCCTCGTGAGGTACTCACACTCATACACCTCCTGTTGCAGTGCTCACACCTCAGGGATGCTCCAAAACACCTCTTGGTGCAGTGGTCACAACTCAGGCATGATCCAAGACATCTCCTGGTGCAGTGCTCACACCTCAGGGATGCTCCAAGACACCTCTTGGTGCAGTGATCACAACTCAGATGTGATTTAAGACATCCCTTGGTGCAGTGATCACACTCAGACATGATCCAAGATACCTCCTGGTGCAGTGGTCACACCTAAGGATGATCCTAAAAAACCACCTGGTACAGTGCTCACACTCAGGCATGAGCCACGACACCTTCTAATCCAGTGCTCACACCTCAGGGATGATCCAAAACATCTCCTGATGCAGTGCTCACAACTCTGGCATGATCCGAGATACCTACTGGTGCAGTGGTCTCACCTAGGAATGATCCAAAAAACACCTAGTGCAGTGTTCACACTCAGGCATAATACAAGACACTTCCTGGTGCAGTGCTCACACCTCGGGGATGATCCAAACCACCTCCTGGTGTAGTGCTCAACCCACAGGGATGATCCAAGACACCTCCTGGTGCAGTGCTACCACCTCAGGGATGATTCAAGATACCTCCTGGTGCAGTACTCACACTTCAGGCATGATCTAAGATACCCCCTGTTACAGTACTCCCTCCTCAGGAATGAGTTAAGAAACTTGCTTGTCAGTCATGATCAGGCATGATCCAAGACACTTGTGATGCAGTGCTCTGACCTCAGGAATAATGCAAAACAACTCCTGGTGCAGTGCACACACCTCAGGGATGACCCAAGACATGTCCTGGTGCAGTGCTCACACTTTAGGGATGATAAGACACTTCCTGGTGCAGTGTTCAAACCTCAGGCATAATCCAAGAGACCTCCTGGTGCAGTGCTTGCACCTTAGGGATGATAAAAAACACCTCCTGGTGCAGTGTTGACACCTCAGGCACGATTGAAGACACTTCCTGGTGCAGTGTTCACACCTGAGGGATGATCCAAGACACCTTCTGATGTAGTGCTGCCACTTCAGGGATGATCCAAGAGACCTCCTTGTGCAGTGCCTGCACCTCAGGTTTGATCCAAGACACCTCATCGTGTAGTGATCTGATCACAGAGACGATACAAGAGACCTCCTGGTGCATGGGTCACACCTCAGGCATGATAAGACACTTCTGGGTACAATGTTCACACCTCAGGGATGATCCAAGACACCTCTTGGTGTAGTACTCTTTCCTCTGATGATTCAAGACACCTGCTGGTGCAGTGCTCACATCCCAGGGAGGATCCAAGACACCTCCTGCTACAGTGTTCACACCTCAGGGATGATTCAAGACACTTCCTTATGCAGTTATCCTACCTCAGGAATGATTCAAGGCACCTCCTGGTGCAATGCTCACACCTTTGAGATGATTCAAGACACCTGCTGGTAGAGTGTTCAACCTTCAGGAATGATCCAAGACAACAACTGGTGCAGTGCTCACACTCAGGCATAATACAAGACACCTCTTGGTGCAGTGCTCACACCTCAAGGATGACTCAAGACACCTCCTGGAGTAGTCCTCCTTCCCCAGGGATAATCCAAGACCCCTTTGGTGCAGTGCTCTTACCTTAGGGATGATTCAAGATACCTCCTGGTGAAGTGCTGCCACCTCAGGGAAGATTCAAGGCACCTGCTGTTGTAGTGCTCCTACCTCAGGGATGATGCAACATGCAAGACACTTCCTGGTGCAGTGCTCCCGCCTCAGGGATGCTCTAAGACATCTCCTGGTGTAGTGCTCACAATTCAGGGATGATCCTAGACACCTCCTGGTCCAGTGCTCACACCTCAGGTGTGATGCAAGACACCTCCTCTTGCAGTACTCCCTCCTCAGGAATTAGCCAAGACACCTGCTGGTGCAGTGCTCACACGTCAGGCATGATTCAAGACACTTGCAGGTGCAGTGCTCCCACCTAAGTGATGATCCAAGACACCTCCTGGTGCAGTGCTCCCAACTTAGGGACGATAAAAGACACTTCCTGGTGCAGTGCTCAAACCTCAGGCATAATCCTACAGATCTCCTGGTGCAGTGTCTGCACCTCAGGGATGATCCAAGACACCTTCTGGTGTAGTGCTCCCACCTCAGAGATTACTTAAGACACCTCCTGATGCAGTGGTTACAACTTAGTTAACATCCAAGATACCTCCTGGTGTAGTACTCCCTCTTCAGGGTTATCCAAAAAACTTCCTGGTGCAGTAGTCCCTTCTTGGGGTTTAATGAAGACACCTCCCTGTGCAGTGCTCCCACCTCAGAGATTATTTCAGACACCTCCTGGTGCAGTGCTCACATCTCAGGGATGATAAAAGACACTTCCTGGAGCAGTGCTCAAACCTCTGGCATAATCCAAGAGACCTACTGGTGCAGTGCCTGCACCTCAGAGATGATACAAAACACCACCTGGTACATGGGGCACACCTCAGACATGATATAAGATACTTCTGGGTGAAATGTTCACACATCAGGTATGATCCAAAGACCTCCTGGTGAAGTGCTCACACCTCCGGGATGATCAAAGACCTGTCTTGATACAGTGCTTACACCTCAGGCATGATCCAAGACATCTCTTGGTGTAGTACTGTTTCCTCTGATGATTCAGGACACCTCCTGGTACAGTGCTCACATCTCAGGGAGGATCCAAGACACCTCCTATTACAGTGCTCACACCTCAGAGATGATTCAAGACACTTCCCGGTGCAGTGATCCTACCTCAGGGATAATCCAAGACACTTCCTGGTGCAATGCTCACACCTCAAAAATGACCCAAGACACTGCCTGAAGTAGTGCTCTCTCCCCGGGGAGATCCAAGACATCTGGTGCAGGGCTCCCATGTCAGGGATGATTGAAAACACCTCCTTGTGCAGTTCTCACATTACAGGGATGATCCAAGACACCTCCTGCTGCAGTGATCACACCTCAGTGATGATCCAAGGCAGTGCTCACACCTCAGGTATGTTACAAAACACCTGGTGCAGTGTTCCCAACTCAGGCGTGATCAAAGACACCTCCTGGTGCAGTGCTCACACCTCAGGGATGCTCCAAAATGCCTCTTGGTGTAGTGCTCACAACATAGATATGATTTAAGACTCCTCCTGGTGTAGCGATCACAACTCAGACATGATCCAAGATACTTCCTGGTGCAGTGCTCACACCTAGGGATGATAAAAAAAAACCACCTGCTGCAGTGCTCACACTCAGGCATGATCCAAGACACATCTTGGTGCAGTGCTTGCAACTCAGGGATAATCCAGCAGACCTCCTGGTCCAGTGCTCATGCCTCAGGGATGATCCAAAACACCTCCTGATGCAGTGCTCACAACTCAGGCATGATTCAAAATACCTTCTGGTGCAGTGCTCCCACTCAAGCATAAGACAAGAAACCTCCTGGTGTGGTGCTCACACCTTATAGATGACCTGAAACACCTCCTGGTGCAGTGCTCACACCCAGGAATGATCCAAGACAATTCCTGGTGCAGTGCTCACACCTCAAGGGTGATCCAAAACACGTCCTGATGCAGTGCTCACAACTCAGGCATGATCCAAGGTACATCCTGGTGAGGTGCTCACACTCACACATGATCTAAGACACCTCCTGGTGCAGTGCTCACACCTCGGGGATGTTCCAAAACACTTCCTGGTGCGGTGGTCATAACTCAGGCATGATCCAAGAAACTTCCTGGTGCAGTGCTCACACCTCAGGGATGCTCCAAAACACCTCTTGGTACAGTGGTCACAACTCAGATATGATTTAAGACAACCCTTGGTGCAGTGGTCACACTCAGATGTGATCCAAGATACTTCCTGGTGCAGTGCTCACACCTAGGGATGATATAAAAAAACCACCTGGTACAGTGCTTACACTCAGGCGTTATCCAAGACCCCTTCTAGTCCAGTGCTCAAACCTCAGGGATGATCCGAAACATCTCCTGATGCAGTGCTCACAACTCTGGCATGATCTGAGATACCTCCTGGTGCAGTGCTCATACCTAGGAATGATCCAAAAAACCACCTGGTGCAGTGTTCACACTCGGGCATAATACAAGACTCTTCCTTGTGCACCTTGGGGGTGATCCAAACCACCTCCTGGTGTAGTGCTCAACCCACAGGGATAATCCAAGACACCTCCTGATGCAGTGCTCCCACCTCAGGGATGATCCAAGATACTCCCTTTTACAATACTCCCTCCTCAGGGATGAGTTAAGACACTTCCTGGCCAGGCACAATCAAGCACGATCCAAGACACTTGCGATGCAGTGCTTTGACCTCAGGAATAATGCAAGACAACTCCTGGTGCAGTGCATACACCTCAGGGATGTCCGAAGACACGTCCTGGTGCGGTGCTCACACTTCGGCGATGATAAAAGACACTTCCTGGTGCAGTGCTCAAACCTCAGGCATAATCCAAGAGATCTCCTGGTGCAGTGCCTGCACCTTAGGAATGATCAAAAACACCTCCTGGTGCAGTGCTGACACCTCAGGCATGATTTTAAACACTTCCTGGTGCAGTGTTCACACCTGAGCGATGATCCAAGACACCTCCTGGTGCAGTGCTCCCACCTCAGGGAACGATCCAAGAGATCTCCTGGTGCTGTGCCTGATTCAAGACACCTCATGGTGTGGTGATCCCACCTCAGAGACGATACAAGAGACCTCCTGGTACATGGGTCACACCTCAGGCATGATAAGACACTTCCAGGTGCAATGTTCACACCTCAGGGATGATCCGAGACACCTCTTGGTATAGGGCTCTTTCCTCTGATGATTCAAGACACCTCCTGGTGCAGTGTTCACACCTCAGGGAGGATCCAAGACACCTCTTGATGTAGTGCTTTTTCCTCTGATGATTCAAGTCACCTGCTGGTGCAGTGCTCACATATCAGGGAGGATCCAAGACACCTCCTGTTACAGTGCTCACACCTAAGGGATGATTCAAGACACTTCCTGATGAGTGATCCCACCTCAGCAATTATCCAAGATACCTCCTGGTGCAATGCTCACACCTCTGAGATGATCCAAGATACCTGCTGGTACAGTGCTCAACCTTCAGGAATGATCCAAGACACCTCCAAGTGCAGTGCTCACACTCAGGCATAATACAAGATGCCTCTTGGTTCACTGCTAACATCTCAGGGATGACCCATGATGCCTCCTGGAGTAGTACTCCCCCCCCAAGGGATGAACCAAGACCCCTTTGGTGCACTGCTCTTACCTTAGGGATGAATCAAGATACCTCCTGGTGAAGTGCTCCCACCTCAGGAAAGATCTAAGACACCTGCTGGTGTAGTGTTCCTACCTCAGGGATGATGCAACATGCAAGACACTTCCTGGTGAAATGCTCCCGCCTCAGGGATGCTCTAAGACACCTCCTGGTGTAGTGCTCACAATTCAGGGATGATCCTAGACACCTCCTGGTGCAGCACTCACACCTCAAGTGTGATGCAAGACACCTCCTTGTGCAGTACTCCCTCCTCAGGGATGAGCTAATACACCTGCTAGTGCAGTGCTCACATGTCAGGCATAATACAAGACACCTTTTGGTGCCGTGCTCACACCTCAAGGATGACCGAAGACACCTCCTGGAGTAGTGCTGTCTCCCCAGGGATGATTCAAGACATCTCCTGCCACCTCAGGGATGAGTTAAGACCCCTTTGGTGCAGTGCTCTTACCTTAGGGATGATTGAAGACACCTCCTGGCGAAGTGCCCACACCTCAGGAATGATCCAAGATACCTCCTGGTGTTGTGCTCCTACCTCAGGGATGATGCAACATGCAACACACTTCCCAGTGCAGTGCTCCCACCTCAGGGATGATCCTAGATGCCTCCTGGTAAAGTAATCACACCTCAGGCGTGATGCAAGACACCTCCTGGTGCAGTGCTCCCAACTCAGGGATGATAAAAGACACTTCCTGGTGCAGTGCTCAAACCTCAGGCATAATCCTACAGACCTCCTGGTGCAGTGTCTGCACCTCAGGGATGATCCAAGACTCCTCCTGATGTAGTGCTCCCACCTCAGAGATTACTTAAGACACCTTCTGGTGCAGCGGTTACAACTCAGTTATCATCCAAGATACCGCCTGGTGCAGTGTTCCCTCCTCAGGGTTATCCAAAAAATCTCCTGGTGCAGTAGTCCCTTCCGGGGGATGAATGAAGACACCTCCTTGTGCAGTGCTCCCACCTCAGAGATTATTTAACACACCTCCTTGTGCAGTGCTCACACCTCAGGGATGATTAAAGACACTTCCTGGTGCAGTGCTCAAACCTCAAGCATAATGCAAGAGACCTACTGGTGCAGTGCCTGCACCTCAGGGATTGTACAAAACACCTCCTGGTGCATGAATCACACCTCAGGCATGATATAAGACACTTCTGAGTGAAACGTTCACACATCAGGTATGATAATCCAAAGACCTCCTGGTGAAGTGCTCACACCTCCTGGATGATCCAAGACACGTCTTGCTACAGTGCTCACACCTCAGGCATGATCCAAGACATCTCTTGGTGTAGTGTTCTTTTCTCTGATGATTCAAGACACCTCCTGATACAGTGCTCACACCTCAGGGAGGATCCAAGACACCTCCTGTTACAGTGCTCACACCTTAGGGATGATTCAAGACACTTCCTAATGCGGTGATCCTACCTCAGGGATGATCCAAGACACCTCCTGGTTCAATGCTCACACCTCTGAGATGATCCAAGATACCTGCTGGTACAGTGCTCAACTTTCAGGAATGATCCAAGACACCTCCTGGTGCAGTGTTCACAGTCAGGCATAATACAAGACACCTCTTGGTGCAGTGCTCACACCTCAAGGATGACCCAAGACACCTCCGGGTGTAATGCTCTCTTTCCGGGGATGATCCAAGACATCTCCTGGTGCCCTGCTCCCACTTTAGGGATGATCCAAGACCCCTTTGGTGCAGTGCTCTTACCTTAGGGATAATTCAAGACACCTCCTGGTGAAGTGCTCACACCTCAGGGATGATCCGAGATACCTCCTGGTGTAGTGCTCCTACCTCAGGGATGATGCAACATCCAAGACACTTCTTGGTGCAATGCTCTCAATTCAGGGATGATCCTAGGCACCTCCTGGTACAGTGCTCACATCTCAGGTGTGATGCAAGACACCTCCTCTTGCAGTACTTCCTCCTCAGGGATGAGCCAAGACACCTGCTGGTGCAGTGCTCACACGTCAGGCGTGATCCAAGGCACTTGCAGGTGCAGTGCTCCCACCTAAGTGATGATCTGAGACACCTCCTGGTGCAGTGCTCCCAACTCAGGGTTGACAAAAGACACTTCCTGGTGCAGTGCTCAAACCTCGGACATAATCCTACAGATCTCCTGGTGCAGTGTCTGCACCTCAGGGATGATCCAAGACACCTCCTGGTGTAGTGCTTCAACCTCAGAGATTATTTAAGACACTTCTTGGTGCAGTGGTTACAACTCAGTTATCATCCAAGATACCTCCTGGTGCAGTGCTCCCTCCTCAGGGTTATCCAAAAAACCCCCTAGTGCAGTAGTCCTTTCTTGGGGATGAATGAAGACACCTCCTTGTGCAGCGCTCCCACCTCAGAGATTATTTAAGAAACCTCCTGGTGCAGTGCTCACACCTCAGGGATGATTCATGACACTTCCTGGTGCAGTGATCCTACCTCAGGGATGATCCAAGACACCTCCTGGTGCAATGCTCACACCTCTGAGATGATCCAAGATACTTGCTGGTACAGTGCTCAGCCTTCAGGAATGATCCAAGACACCTCCTGGCACAGTGCTCACACTCAGGCATAATACAAGACACTTCTTTGTGCAGTGCTCACACCTCAAGGATGACCCAAGACACCTCCTGGAGTAGTGTTCTCTCCCTTGGGATGATCCAAGACAGCTCCTGGAGCAGTGCTCCCACTTCATGGATGATTCACACCCCTTTGGTCCAGTGCTCTTACCTTAGCGATGATTCAAGACACCACCTGGTGAAGTGCTCCCACCTCAGGAATGATCTGAGATACCTCCTGGTGTAGTGCTCCTACCTCAGGGATGATGCAACATGCAAGACACTTCCTGGTGCAGTGCTCCCACCTCAGGGATGCTCC